>NC_000007.14:66143142-66446172 GCF_000001405.40 Homo sapiens
CGGGAAGTGTTTCACGTGTTTAGACGCTTACTGGCATGCCTGCTCCTGCTGGCCAACTTCATAACTCACTCTCACTCACCCAGGGGGTGTTACAATGCATTCCTCACTGTCTGCCTCCATTTTCTTGGGTCTTCCCAAATCGCTGCCAGCACCAGCCAGAGCATGCCCCTCTTCCTTGATTGCTCTCCTATATTGACCAAGTCACACCCAGCCTCTTGATAGTCAGGGCCCTTTCGATCTTGTCCCAAATGACTCTTTCACCCCATGTCCCACCCCTCTCTAGCTGTTTCCTAAAACTCCGGGAGCTTTCTTTCCTCTGGGCACGTCCTTGTGTTGTTCCTGCCCTGGCTGGCTGTCCCTCCCATCCCTTTTGTGTTGAAAAGCCATCAGGATCTAGTGCAAGGGTCATCTCTGTGGAGTCTCCCTCCTTGAGTCTAGAGTAAACATTTGGGGGATTACAAGCAGTAGAAATTGACTAGAACTGCCCTAATAATGACTGCCATTTATGGAGAAACTATCGTGAGACAGATGGCATTATGACACTTTCCATCCATTATCACATGTACACTAGAAGCAGATGGCCAAGAACAGGAGCTTCTCTGCCATTTACTAGCTTTGCAACTGTAGACAAGTTATTTACTCTCTCAGTGTCAGTGAAATCTGAGGATTTGATGTAGTTCCACATGGAAAGCAAGCAATAAATGGTAGTGGCGGCCTCTGGAAAGATTTTCATCCCTGTTAATCCTCTCATAAGATAGTTAAGTACTGTTATCATTCCTATTTCACAGATGAGGAAACTGAGGCTCAGGGAGAGTGGGTAAGTGTTCTGCTTCCCCCAACACATGGCTGCAGGAGTCGTGGCTTCTTCATGTTTTCACTCCAGAAGGTCTTTAATGCGATAAATACTTACTGAGCTGATTGGAAAGATGGATATGCAGCCCCAGGGTCAAATTGAGAGAGAAATGTAGAAGTTGTTGCCTGCACAGGGGTGGTCACTGCAGTCATTTGATCTCCTCTGAAGTTCTGTAGTCTTTCAGAGTCCACATGATTCAGCCACCCTTTCAGCAATGATCTGTTTCTTTCTTTGAGGCAGATGATCACTATATCTAACTGTCACTCAGATCTTTTGTTGTGAAAATTTACATGTATTTGTCTTCTTTCTCCAGCTGGGTTAAGTGCTTTCAGGGCAGAGGCACTGTACCTGTATTTCTGTGTATTAACTCCTGCCCCTTTTAGTCCCTGTTTTGTTTACTAAGATAATAAGTCAAATTTGGGAAATATTAAATCTTCATCTCAAAAAGGAATTTACCCATTTCTAAGAGATGACCACACAAGATGATTTTGTGTGTTTTAATTTTTTAGTTTTAGAGATAGGGTGTGGCTCTGTCGCCCAGGCTGGAGTGCAGGCTAAAGCGATCCTCCTGCCTCACCTCCTTGTCCTCTGCCTTCCGTAGCTGGGACTACAGGTAGCTGGGACTACAGGCGCAACCCATCATGCCCAGCTAATTTATTTTAATTTTTTTGTAAGGTTTTTTAATGTCGCCCAGGCTGATTGGGAATGCCTGGCCTCAAGGGATCCTCCCACCTGGCCTCCCAAAGTGCTGGGATTACAGGCATGAGCCACCACACCTGGCCTAAGGTGATTTTGTTAGTTGGTACTTTCTATAATTTGGATGAAGAAAGCATTATTTTCTTCACATTTTCCAGATAGGAATTACCGTCCTGGGCCGGGCACGGTGGCTCACGCCTATATCTTACCACTTTGGGAGGTCGAGGCAGGTGGATCCCCTGAGGTCGAGGGTTTGAGACCAGCCAGGCCAACATGATGAAACCCCATCTCTGCTAAAAAAATACCAAAAATTTACTGGGTGGGTGTGGTTGCGAGCATCTGTGATCCCAGTTACTTGGGAGGCTGAGGCAGAAGAATCACTTGAACCCTGGAGGCGGAGGCTACAGTGAGCCAAGATCGTGCCACTGCACACCAGCCTAGGCAATAAGAGGAAAACTCTGTCTCAAAAAAAAAGGAAAAAAGAAAATGACCCCCCTGTTTTTAAAATGGCATATGCCCTGCTGCTTTGTTTCCTACAATCATGCCTCTGATACCCATTCGTACCGTGGGCTGGGAGTCACTCACATACACGCTCCTGTTCCCATTCTCTCGATTTACAGTTGAAGGAACTGAGGGCCACACTCCAGTGGTTCTCCCATTTTTTATCTGGCAAATTATTCTCTGTGCAGCTCAGTCAGGACTCAGGACTTAGGGCTATGCGAGTTGTCAACGCTGTACTTTCCCTCCACAGAGCTGAGAAGCTCCAGCTGCTGAACCACCGGCCTGTGACTGCTGTGGAGATCCAGCTGGTGAGTGAAGGGCGCCTGTGCTGGGGAGGCTGCTGTGGGTCTGAGATGTAGAATGGCTGTGGTGGACAAGCCAGGAACTGCGTTTTTTTTAAGAGGCTGCCCAACCACTCCATTTCTTAAGGAAAAAGAGACCTTGCCAGTTTGATCCTAGTTAGTGTGGACTTAGGGACCACAAAACACTGGAGGAGATTTCATTCCTCCTCTAGGGTTTTGGCTGATGACTTGGCGGCTCTCCGACTCCCCTGATGTCCAGGCCATTCTGGCCATTGCTTCCCTGTAGGCGTTGTTGCCAACCAGATGTTGCATAAAAAACATGAAATTCAGCATGTCTCTGGTGAACATTCTCTGTCCCCACGCCCACCCTTCACCCTGCTCTTGCTTCCTCTCTTTCTGGGTGAGGGGAGCATGTGTGCGCTGTCCCATCAGCTCCCTTCCTTGCTCATCTCCTGGCCTGGCCTCCCACGCCGGAAACCTGCAAGCCATTCTCTTCCTTTCATCTCACAGTCAGGGAGTCCCCAAGTTCTGTTGCTTCTGTCTTCGTTCTTGCTTCTCTCCCCCGTGTACTGCGTTGATTTCTGCCATTATTTCTTCACGCGGCTCTTGCGGTTATCCTCTCCCCATTCTCCCTGGCTCCCCAAGTCCATCTCCCACATCACCGTCAGAGATCACATCTAAAACCATGAATGTGATCCCATTTCCCTGCATAAACCGTTTATTTAGTACAGCCTCATCACTTGTGAAGTCCGCTTTGTACTGAGAGCGTAGGCTTTGGAATAGGAGGAGGCAGCCAGAGTAGAGGGGCCTACGATGGGATAAGGGGCCCGGGAAATGATCCAGGGAGATACCCGGGCCACCACTGGGCACGCTGTGGCCGCTGCCTTCTTATTACAGGGCAGAGAGCATCGGTACCTGACAAGTGTTAAGCAGGCCGTCTAATTGCCAGTTTAAAAAAAAAAAAGAAGAAGAAACTTTAGAGAATTAACAAAATGAGAATAAAGCAGTTTCCAAAGTCAGTTTTAGAAATACTTAGCTCTTTGTCAAATTTCCTTTAGAAAAGTATGGAAGAAAATGGTCAAAAATACGATTTTTAGAGTTGCTAATGGAAAAACTTTTTAAAAGGCCACAGGGTATTTAATTTTTTACTAAATTGTTCATTGTCTTCCTAGGGTTGTTTTTGCCCTTCAGAATGTACCCAAAATTAAATTAGAACAGTTCCTTTCATGAAGGGTGCCTTTCTCTGGGAACCCGCCTGTAGGCTAAATAGAAACCCCTTTCTCATGTGTCCTGATTATTTTCATGCTTTACACTGTATTGGAGTTTCAACCTAGAGCTTAGAGGAGAGAAAAAACAAACAGAACAGCAAGAAACGAATCCCTGTCCCTCTGGGTTAAAGATCATATGTCATGTCTCCTCCAGCTTTAATCAGCAACATATGTTACTCATGGCTTAATGACAGGCAGAGAGAAGAGATGAGGATTAGTGTGACCTCAGCCAGAGCCTGTGGAAAGTGGTATCATTACTTGGGGGAAGATTTGCTGCTATTGAGAGTGCCTGGGGTGGGCCGGGCGCGGTGGCTCATGCCTGTAATGCCAGCACTTTGAGAGGCCAAGGTGGGCAGATCACCTGAGGTCAGGAGTTCAAGACCAGCCTGGCTAAAGTGGTAAAACCCCATCTCTACTAAAAGTACAGAAATTAGCTGGGCATGATGGTGCACACCTGTAATCCCAGCTACTTGGGAGGCTGAGGCAGAATCACTTGAACCCGGGAGGCCAAGGTTGCAGTGAGCCAGGATTGCACCACTGCACTCCAGCCTGGGTGACAGAGTGAGACTCCATCTTGGGAAAAAAAAAAAAAAAGAGTGCATGGGGTGTGCCAGACACGGTCTCAGTCCTTGGTCCTGGTGCCTGTGATTGTCTGTCACTTCGAATGCCCGCCCCATAGTCTTGGAAGGGGGCAAGTGTCCTCTCCATTTTAGCCCAGAGGGCTGGTGAGTGGCTGATTGGGACCTTCTGATTCAGAAGCTTTACTTTGCTCCTCCAAGCCAGGTACTTGTGCTTGATGAGAAGAAAGATGTGTGTGGCATCCCCTGAGATGGTTTCCTTCTCGTTTCTACAAAGTAGGTAGGCCTTGGTAGAAACTGCTGTTTCTCAGTAGTTGGACCATTTTATAGCCAGATTCTTCCCACTCTGGAATTTGGCTACAAAAGGTAGCAAATTGTTTACCAAGGTTTGTAGCAGTATCGCTTCTCACCAGAGTGAATAAGAAATGAAAGCTGTGGCCGAACATGGTGGCTTGCGCCTGTGATCCCAGCACTTTGGGAGGCCAAGGTGGGAGGATTGCTTGAGGCCAGGAATTCAAAACCAGCCTGGGCAACATAGTAAGACCCCATCTCTACAAAAAATGAAAAAAATTAGCCAGGTATGGTGGCGCACACCTGTGGTCCCAGCTACTCAGGAGACTAAGGTGAGAGGATTGTTTGAGCCCAGAAGTTCAAGGCTGCAGTGAGCTATGATAGTGCCACTGTACTCCAGCCTGTGTGACTGAGCAAGAACCTGTCTTTTAAAAAAAAAAAAGCAAATGGCTGGGCACGGTGGCTCACGCCTGTAATCCCAGTACTTTAAGAGACCGAGGTGGGTGGATCACCTGAGGTCAGGAGTTTGTGACCAGCTTGGCCAACATGGCGAAACCTCATCCCTACTAAAAATACAGAAATTAGCTGGGCATGGTGGCGGGCACCTGTAATCCCAGCTACTTGGGAGGCTGAGGCAGGAGAATCGCTTGAACCTGGGAGGCGGAAGTTGTAGTGAGCGAAGTGTAGTGAGCGTGACTGCACTCCAGCCTGGGCGACAAGAGCGAAACTCCTTCTCTAGAAAACAAAAGGAAATAAAAGGTTTCACTTACAGTGGCAAGCACAAAGGACTTGAGTGAGAAGTTCCCTATATTAACACTAGAGCCATTTTTTCTCCCTGGGTTCAGAAAACAGTCCCAGCATCCAACATTTATTAGCATTCACTTGGAAGCCAGGTGTCTTTTGGAGGCTGAAGCCTCACCTCTTCAGTTACGCCTGGGCTGTGATTTGCTGTGGCCCTCTGATGACTGCCTGCTGACTCAGAGGCTCGGTGAGGAAATGAGGTGGCCACCCAGCTTAGGACTTGTTGTGCCCGGTTGTGTATTGATTTGGAATGATTTGTGAGCCCTCCGGCCTGAGGTCAGTGAATCCTGTGACCTCACAGGCCACTGCCCTGAACAGCACTACCATCTAGGCCTGTTAGTGATTTCGTGATTATGAAGTCTTGACTCATATAGAGCGTTATTGCTTGTAAAACACTGTTACATGTGTTCTCCTTTTGTCCTCGCTGTAGGCGTTACTTTCATTTTACATTAGAGAAAGTTGAAATTTAGAAAGCCAGATTCAGTGAACTGTTCTGGATCAAATATTTAATAGTATACATTGTTGCTATCAGATCTTTGAATCATTTTGAGGAAAGTAGGACTTTAGGTTTGGCGACTTCAAGTTGCCATTTTTGGAGGTCGGCAACCCGGTTTGATGCTCCTGGGATTGAGATAATAAATGTATCATTTATGTTAACCCAGCTGTTGATACTTTGGATTTTTAAGTTTTATTTCCCCTTATGTTCTCAACTACCTGAAATGGTTGGTATCTGAGAACCTTGAGATGGTGCTTTGAACTTTACTTCTTTATTTGGACTGTTTCTCCTGTGTTGGAAAGAAAAGGTGAAAGGCCGGACACAGTGATTCATGTCTATAACCCCAGCACTTTGAGAGGGTGATGTGAGAGGATCACTTGAGCCCAGGAGTTCAAGACCAGCCTGGGCAACCCCATCTCTACAAAAAATAATAAAAAATAATTAGCTGGACATGGTGGCACATAGCTATAGTCCCAGCTACTTGGAAGGCTGAGGCAGGAGGATTGCTTGAGCCCAGGAGTTTGAGACTGCAGTAAGTGATGATTGCGCCCAAAGAATAAAGCAGGGAAAGGAGGGAAATAGCCAAGATTTGATTATTTAACCTGGAGAAAAGATGATCTCCGTTTGAGAAAATAATGTGCAGAAAAGAATTTTGCTAAGTTCACTAACGGCCGGAGCTTTTATCAACATCCAATCCTCCTTAATTACAGTCAAGACCTTTTTTTTCAACCTAAGGTTCCCAGTCACAGGAAGAAACCCTAAGCTGCATTAAACTAAATGAAATATAAACAAAAAAGAAACTTTCAGAAATAAAAAACTTACTAGCACGTCTTGGATCACTAGGATAAATGACAATGACTACATTATCCCTCACCCCCACCTTTTTTTTCCCCAAAGAGAGTGGGTCTTACTCTGTCACCCAGGCTGGAGTGCAGTGGCACGATCTTGGCTTACTACAACCTCTGCCTCCTGGGTTCACACCATTCTCCTGCCTCAGCCTCCCGTGTAGCTGGGACTACAGGCGCACGCTGCCACGCCCAGCTAATTTTTTGTATTTTTAGTAGAGACGGGGTTTCACTGTGTTAGCCAGGATGGTCTCGATCTCCTGACCTTGTGATCCGCCCACCTCAGCCTCCCAAAGTGCTGGGATTACAGGCGTGAGCCACCGCACCCGGCCCCATGTCTGATTTTAAAAATGGGTTTTTGGCCGGGCGCGGTGGCTAACTCCTGTAATCCCAGCACTTTGGGAGGCCGAGGTGAGTGGATCGCCTGAGGTCAGGAGTTCGAGACCAGACTAACCAACATGGAGAAACTCTGTCTTTACTAAAAATACAAAATTATCTGGGTGTGGTGGTGCATGCCTGTAATCCCAGCTGCTAGGGAGCCAAGGTCATGCCATTGCACTCCAGCCTGGGCAACAAGAGTGAAGGGGGGGAGTTGAAGATTGTTTCTTTCTCAGAAGAGAATTTACATTTTCCTGAGCCATGGAATCTTTAGAAAATGGTCATTTTATTTCACAGCATCATAGGGAGTAGCCCCCATTGATTCACTCAGGATCTCCCCCATCCTGGGACACCAGGATTATTATCTAGTTGCAGAAACACTTTTGGGCTGAAGTGAGTGGAGAGACCAGGGTTTTGCCAGGAGTTCGTGGTGTGACCTTGGGCGTGTCACATGACTTCCTGAACTGTGCTGTTGTCTGTAAAGGGAGGTGGTCAGACTGGGATCCTCTCCAGGATTGCAGGCCTGTCTTATTATCTTGTTTTACTTCAGTCTGCCAGGATTTCTTTCTGGAACTCCCTGTGGTCCCAGTTGCCGGATTTCAGAGATTGCTGTGGGGAATGCCATGGAATAGAATCTGGCCACCTTGAGCTGAGAAAGGTGTTTGTGATTGATGGTTGATGCCACCAAGCAAACAGGGTTAAGCAACTTGACTGCCTGCCTGCTGCTTTTAAAAAGGCAGCTGACGACCTAATTCTGTTTAGAATTAGGGGCGAAGCTAAGGAAACTGGCTCAGGCTGTGAGTATCATCTCTAGATTCAGATTTCTGGGACCACATCAGAAACCAGGTTTTATGTGGACCTTTGATGGGCAGTGTGGTGTGCAACGTGGGGGACTGTGGGTTTTAGACTGGGCAGTTCTGGCTGGGGATTCCAGTTCTACCCCTTAGCAGCATTGTTGGGAGGACGAAAGGAAATGCCGGATGGGAAGTGCAAGATGCAGCTCCAGACACATGGGAGGCCTCCCTGCAGGGCTGTTGCTAGTGGGAGTGAGGATTAGAAGAAGGCTCCAAACCATTTGGCACATAGTGGGCATCATCAACCGTGTTGCTGATACAGTTCATTAAATTACAGATGTGTGCCTGGCACAGTGGCTCACGCCTGTAATCCCAGCACTTTGGGAGGCCAAGGTGGGTGGATCACAAGCTCAAGAGATTGAGACCATCCTGGCCAACATGGTGAAACCCCGTCTCTACGAAAAATACGAACAGTTAACTGTCTGTGGTGGCTCGTGCCTGTAGTCCCAGCTATTCGGGAGGCTGAGGCAGGAGAATTGCTTGAACCTGAGAGGCGGAGGTTGCAGTGAGCCGAGATTGTGCCACTGCACTCCAGCCTGGCGACAGAGCAAGACTCTGTCCTGCCCCCCCAAAAAAAAAATTACAGATGTGCTTGTGAAATATAAAAGTACATAAAGTGCCATTTAACTTCTTCGAGATGCATATGCAACCTGTTCACCACTTCTCTCTGTGTGTGTGTGTGTGTGTGTGTGTGTGTGTGTGTGTGTGTGTGGTTATATAACTTAGCTTTTTCCTTTTTTTCTTTTCTTTTTTTTTTTTTTTTTTTAGACAAAGTCTTGCTCTGTCACCCAGGCTGGAGTGCTTGGCTCGACCTCCTGGGCTCAAGTGATCCTCCCACCTCAGCCCCCCAAGTAGCTGGGACTATTGGCACACACCACCATGCTTGGTTGATTTTTTTTGTTTGTTTTTAAGAGATGGGGTTCCTCTGTGCTTCCCAGGCTGGGGGTTTTCCTTTTCTTTAAAGAAAAATGCTATCCTACAACTTGGTTTTTACTGACCCATTTTGATCAGTCGCATTGGCTCAGTCCAGGATGTGACTTGGCTCCACCCTTCCGTCTGTAAGATGGAGAGGACTCACGAGGACCCAGGCTGTGAGGTCTGTGTGCCAGGAGGCCGGGCTGAGACCATGAGCACAGTGGGCAGGGCTGCCCAAGGCTGTAAGTTTCATTTGTAACCCTGGAGGATTTTCTTTCCTTCTGCAGATGGTGGAAGAGAGTGAAGAGCGGCTCACGGAGGAGCAGATTGAAGCTCTTCTCCACACCGTCACCAGCATTCTGCCTGCAGAGCCAGAGGCTGAGCAGAAGAAGAATACAAACAGCAATGTGGCAATGGACGAAGAGGACCCAGCATAGAAGAGCACAGCTGGCCCCGGCGTTTCATGAAGTCAGAAGGCCTGGCAGCCATTTCCTGGACGTTGAGAGGATTGTTTATTTGATTTTTATCCTCATCCCAGCAGGCCTGGCTTTGTGGTTAGTTGGGTACATCACAAAAATAAGTTAAAAAGAAATATTTGTGCCTTGGGGAGAAGAAACATGGTGAAAACAGGCTGAGGTTGTCAGGGCAGAGAGCTGAAGGTGGGGACAGTGACCGCGGACCCCTCTGTGCTTGAAAGATTTCCTCCACGGCCTTTGCCCCAGTTGTGGGGAGGTCTCTGTGCACAGCGGGGAAAATGCTTGTGTCGCCTTTGGTGGGCCATGTCCTAATTAGTTTCATCTGCTTCCCTGGGAACTTACTAAGGGGCCCAGAGCACTGTTGGAAGTCTGGTTAGAGTCCCCAGAGAGTTACTCTAAGTTAAAATGAGCCACTGACCTTGGCTCACCTTAGAGGAATTTCCTCGAGAACAACAGAGATAAGAAAAGAACCGGCCTGGCCAATCCTTCAACAGCTCTAGAGCCCCTTTTCTCTGCTGGCAGGGGCTTTGTTTACCAGCTCACTGTTTAGGCTAAATGTTAGGGACCAGATCACTGCAGTTGAAAACGGGCACTCCAGGCTTAGTGACAGTGGCAGCAGAAACAGTGTTGGCTGCCTTTCTGACCACCCCACTTTCCTGCCCTGAGACAGCAGCCCAGGGCAGGTGCTTCATATTCAGACCAGGTAAGCCTCATTTGCACAACAGTCAAATTGTTTGTTCCTTTAAAAAGGACACAATTAGCCTGGCACGGTGACTCATGCTTGTAATCCCAGCACTTTGGGAGGGCAAGGCAGGCGGATCACCTGAGGTCAGGAGTTTGAGACCAGCCTCACCAACATGGAAAAACCCCATCTCTACTAAAAAAATACAAAATTAACCAGGGGTGATGGCACATTCCTGTAATCCCAGCTACTCGGGAGGCCGAGGCAGGAGAATCGCTTGAACCCGGGAGGCAGAGGTTGAGGTGAGCCAAGATTGCACCATTGCACTCCAGCCTGGGCAACAAGAGCAAAACTTCATCTAAAAAACAGAAAATATTAAGATGATTACCATGTGAAAACCTTTTTAATATTCAGGATTTGGAAAGTATAGTTGCCCCAGGCATGTGGTTGTTGCCTTAGGTCCTGCGAATATTGCTGAAAATCGGATTTTCCACATTCACTTTCTTCCCTGTTTTAGGGAAGAAAATGATCATAGACATTCGATTTTCCAAATTGGCGCTCTTATTTTCAATGCTAATTGGATTACTTCTCTTCCAACCCTCCTGCCCGTCCATCCATCCCAGTCCCCAGGCATCTTAACCTTACCATCTGAGCTTCAGCTGAAATCTGTTTATAGGCAACATTGAAAGTACCAGATTGGGGCCAGGTGTAGCGGCCCACACCTGTAATCCCAGCACTTTGGGAGGCGGAGGCTAGCGGATCATGAGGTCAGGAGTTCAAGACCAGCCTGGCCAACATGGTGAAACCCCCATCTCTACTAAAGATATAAAAAACTAGCCGAGCGTGGTGTTGCATGCCTGTGATCCCAGCTACTCGGGAGGCTGAGGCGGGGGAATCGCTTGAACCGGGGAGGCAGAGGTTGCAGTGAGCCAGATCGTGCATTGCACTCCAGCCTGGCCGACAGGGTGAGACTCCATCTCAAAAAAGAGAAAGTACCAGATTGTACTTTTAAATCTGTCTAGCGTATTGAGAATTTTAGTGGGAGCTGTTGATTTATTTCTCAGGGCATACATGTGCCAATCTGTCTCATTGTTGTCTCTCTCTTTTTTTTTTTTTTTTTTGAGACAGTCTCGCTGTGTTGCCCAGGAGTGCAGTGGCACGATCTCTGCTCACTGCAACCTCTGCCTCCCAGATTCAAGCGATTCTGGTGCCTTAGCCTCCTGAGTAGCTGGGACTTACAGGCACGTACCACTATACCCTGCTAAAATTTGTATTTTTAGTAGAGACAGGGTTTTGCCATATTGGCCAGGCTAGTCGTAATGTCTCTTTTTAACACTGAATATGTTAGGTGGTTTTTCTTGATGGATTTAGGGTTAACCTAGTTAATAATAAATTGTTTCCAGGTAATTATCAAGTTTTGTCATTTTATAAATCTGAAGAGTTAATATTGTCATCGATACAAATAAAGTGAAATCTGACTGAGGCTAAAATGTGTGATTTTTTTCTTAAAAGACTGACTCTATTTAGATCTACTTTTTTTTTTTTTTTTTTTTTTTGAGACGGAGTCTCGCTCTGTCACCCAGGCTGGAGTGCAGTGGCGCCATCTAGGCTCACTGCAAGCTCCGCCTCCTGGGTTCATGCCATTCGCCTTCCTCTGCCTCCCGAGTAGCTGGGCTAATTTTTTGTATTTTTTAGTAGAGACAGGGTTTCACCGTGTTAGCCAGGATGGTCTCAATCTCCTGACCTTGCCCACCTCAGCCTCCCAAAGTGCTGGGATTACAGGCGTGAGCCACCTCGCCCAGCCTAGATCTACATTTTTAATTGGATTTCAAGAAAAGTTTAAGTTTCTATATTTGAGACCTGAATTTAACCTCAGTTTTTTGTTAAACCAGGTTCTGGAAGACTTAACTTTATAAGAAATGAACATATATTCTGTGTAATTTTCCCATCACATTAATAATAAATGTTTCAGAAATAAAAATTGGCCAGGCTCAGTGGCTCACGCCTGTAATCCCAGCACTTTGGGAGGCCAAGGAGGGTGGATCATGAGGTCAGGAATTCAAGACCAGCCTGGCCAACATGGTGAAACCCCATTTCTACTAAAAATGCAAAAAGTAGCTGGGTGTGGTGGCAGGCAACTGTATCCCAGCTACTTGGGAGGTTGAGGCAGGAGAATTGCTTGAACCCGGGAGGCGGAGGTTTCAGTGAGCTGAGATCGTGCCACTGTACTCCAGCCTGGGTAACAGAGTGAGACTCTGTCTCAAAAAAAAAATAAAAAAAAATTAAAACAACTTAATTAATGGAGGTAGAGATTTGAAGAATGGTTATCAGAGGCTAGGAAGGGTAGTGGGGGTTGGGGGGGATGGCTAATGGATACAACAATATAATTAGATAGAAGGAATAAGATCTAGTATTTGATAGCACAACAGGGTGACTACAATCAAAGATTTATTGTACTTTTTTTTTTTTTTTTTTGAGACAAGGTCTCATTCTGTCACCCAGGTTGGAGTGCAGTGGTGCAGTCTCAGCTCATGGGCTCAAGCAACCTGGGCTCAAGCAATCCTCCCACCTCAGCCTCCCGAGTAGCTGGGACCACAGGTGTGTGCCACCACACCAGGCTAATTTTTTTGTATTTTTTTGTAGAGACGGGGTTTTATCTCATTGCCCAAGCTGGTCTCAAACTCCTGAGCACAAGCAATACGCTTGCCTTAGCCACCCAAAGTGCTGGAATTACATGGGTGAGCTACCGTGTCCAGCCTCAATTTAAAAATAAAGAGCATAATTGCATTGTTTGTAACACAAAGAATAAATGCTTGAGGGGATGGATACCCCCTTTACCCTGTGATTATTATGCATTGCATACCTGTATCAAAGTATCCCATAAATATATACACCTACTATCTACCCACAAAAATTAAAAATTAAAAAAATAATGGCCAGGCATGGTCGCTCATGCCTGTAATCCCAGCGCTTTTGGATCACCTGAGGTCAGGAGTTTGAGACCAGCCAGGCGAACATGGTGAAACCCCACCTTTACTAAAAATACAAAAATTATCCAGGTGTGGTGGTGTGCGCCTGTAATCCCAGCTACTCAGAAGGCTGAGGCAGGAGAGTCACTTGAACCCAGGTGGCAGAGGTTGCAGTGAGTTGAGATTACGCAACTACACTCCAGCCCTAGTGACAAAGCGAAACTGTGTCTCAAAATAATTAAAATTTAAAAATAAGAATAACTAAAAGTATAGATTTTGTTTGTTTGTTTGTTTGTTTTTGTTTTTGAGACCAAGTCTCACTCTGTTGCCCAGGCTGGACTATAGTGGCACGATCTCGGCTCACTGCAACCTCTGCCCCTGGGTTCTAAGCAACTCTCCCTCCTCAGCTCCAGAGTAGCTGGGATTATAGGCAAGCGCCACCGTACCTGGCTAATTTTTTTTTTTTTTTTTTTAAGTAGAGATGGGGGTTTCACCATGTTGGCCAGGCTGATCTTGAACTCCTGACCTAAGGTGATTCACCTGCCTCGGCCTCCCAAAGTGCTGGGATTACAGGTATGAGCCACTGCACCCATCCTAGATTGCTTATAACACAAAGGGTAAGTGCTTGAAGGGATGGATACCCCATTTTCTATGATGTGATTATTACACATTGCATGACTATCAAAACATCTCATGTAATCCATAAATAATACACCTACTATGTACCCACAAAAATTAAAAAACAACAACAAAAAACCCCACACCACTACCTCACTGATGCCATAATGTTTAACCATGCCTTTCACTTAAAGAATTCCAGGAAATAAGCCAGGTGTGTGGCTCGTGCCTGTAATCCCAGCACTTTGGGAGGCCAAGGTGGGTGGATCACCTGTCACCTGAGCTCAGGAGTTCGAGACCAGCCTGGGCAACATGGCAAAATCCCGTCTCTACTAAAAATACAAAAAATTAGCTGAGTGTGGTGGCATGCGTTTGTAGTCCCACCTACTCTGGAGGCTGAGGCACGAGAATTGCTTGAACTGAATTCAGAAGCAGAGGTTGCAGTGAGCCAAGATTGTGCCACTGCACTCTAGCCTGGGGGACAGAGTGAGACTCTGTCTCAAAGAAAAAAAAAAATTCCAGGAACTGGCCTTAGAAAATCTAAATATCAGAGTGAGGTTGGGGAGTGTTCCACCTCAGGAAGAAATGCTGAGTAATTGATTTACAGCCCTTTTGTCACCGGCCAGACCACTAAATTGTCCATTACCCAAGATAACCATTGCAACCAGATATGCCGACTTGCATGCCTTGCCCATCATGTGCTACCAGCTCAGCCTGCAAACCTTACCCCTGATGTCAATTCCCACACTTTGTCTAATTAAAAAAAAGCACTCCTACTGGCTTTTTTCAGAGAGTCAGCTGGAGCGTCCTTGTACTGGGGCACAAGCCCCGAAATAAAAGCCTTGTCTGGGGCCAGGTGTGGTGGCTCTTGCCTGTAATTCCAGCACTTGGAGACTGAGACAGGTGGCTTACCTGAGGTCAGGAGTTTGAGACCAGCCTGGTCAGCATGGTGAAACCCTGTCTCTACAAAAATACCAAAACTAGCCAGATGCAGTGGTGCAGCCTGTAGTCCCAACTACTCAGGAGGCTGAGGCATGAGAATGGCTTGAACCTGGGAGATGGAGGTTGAAGTGAGCTGAGATCACACCACTACACTCCAGCCTGGGTGACAGAGTGAGACTCCATCTAAAAAGAAAGAAAATTAATAAGGGGACCAGCAGATTTCCCAGACAAGGCTTTTGCTTTGTTTTTTTAAGGTGGAGTCTTGCTCTGTTGCCCAGGCTGGAGTACAGTGGTGTGATCTCAGCTCACTACTGCAACCTCCACCTCCTGGGTTCAAGCAGTTCCCTTCCCTTAGCCTCCCAAGTAGCTGGGACTAAAGGCATGCACCACCACACCTGGCTAATTTTTGTATTTTTAGTAGAGATGGGGTTTCTCCATGTTGGCCAGGTTTTCTCGAACTCCTGACCTCAAATGATCCCCCTGCCTCAGCCTCCCAAAGTGCTCCCAAAGTTACAGGCGTGAGCCACCTCACCCAGCATGATTTAGATAAGACTTTGAAGCTTAGACTTTTAAGGGTGATGCTGAAACAAATTAAGACTTCTTGGGGTTATTAGGATGGAATGAAGATATTTTGGATGTGAGAAAGATATGGATTAGGGGAGCTAGGGGAGAATGCTATGGTTTGAATGTTTTTCTCTTCTCCAAAAATTTATGTTGAAATGTAATCCCCATTACAATAGTATTGGGAGGTGGGGCCTAATGGGAGGTCATGAGGGCTCTGCCCTCATTAATGGATTAATACCACTGTATAAAGGGCTTACTGCCATGTGAGGACACACATTTCATCCCTTTGTACCCTCTGCCTTGTGCCATGTGAGGATCCAGCAAGAAAGCCCTTATCACACCAGATGTGGGCACCTTCTGCTTGGACTTTCCAGCCTCCAGAACTGTGAGAAATACATTTCTGTTCTCTGTAAAGTACCCAGTCTGTAATATTCTGTAATAGCAGCACAAAATGGACCAAGACATTTTGCTTTCTCCTCAGGCCGATCCCAAGACACAAAAAATGTCCTGCTAATTAGTGAAGGAGTTCACTGGCACAGACCCAATCTGCAGACAAAGAAATGGCTGCCTTTTCAAATGCCTACTTTCCAACAACAAAAATCACAAATTGTATTTAAAAAAACAAGGCCGGGTGCGGTGGCTCACGCCTGTAATCCCAGCACTTTGGGAGGCTGAGGCAGGTGGATCACGAGGCCAGGAGATCAAGACCACCCTGGCTAACACGGTGAAACCCTTCTCTACTACAAATACAAAATATTAGCCGGGCGTGGTGGCGGACTTCTGTAGTCCCAGCTACTCTGGAGGCTGAGGCAGGAGAATGGCATGAACCCGGGAGGTGGAGCTTGCAGTGAGCCGAGATAGCGCCACTGCAGTCTGGCCTGGGCAAAAGAGCAAGACTCCGTCTCAAAAAAAAAAAAAAAAAAAAAAACCAAGGTAACATGGACTATTTCAAGGAAGAAAATGAAGTGGCAGAAATTATATCTGGAGAGGCTGGGAGCACTAGCTCACGCCTCTAATCCCAGCACTTTGGGAGGCCGAGGCAGGCAGATCACTTGAGGTCAGGAGTTCAAGACCAGCCTGGCCAACATGGTGAAACCCCGTCTCTACTAAAAATACAAAAATGAGCTGGGTGTGGTGGTGGGCACCTGTAATCCCAGCTACTCAAGAGGCTAAGGCAGGAGAATCACTTGAACCCGGGAGGTTGCAGTGAGTTGAGATTGCACCACTGCACTCCAGCCTGAGTCACAGAGCAAGACTGCATCTCATAAAAAGAAAATAAAGAAATTATTCCTGAAGAGACACAGGTATCAGACTTACTAGACAAAGACCTTAAAACCATCTTAAATATGCTTGAATAGTTAAAGAAAAGCATGGACAAAGAACTAAAGGAAATCAGCAAAATTATATATTAATAAAATGAGAATATCAATAAAGAGATAGAAATTATAAAAAGAACCTAAGCAAAAATTCTGGAGATGAAAAATACAATAACTAAACTGAAAAATTCAGTAGAGTCAATGGAAGGATCGAGCAGGTAGAAGAGAATGAACAAACTTGAAGAAAGTACATTTGAAATTACTTTGAGGAGCAAACAGAAAAGAACAAACAGTCCAGGCATGGTGGCTCATGCCTGTAATGCCAGCACTTTGGGAGACTAAGGCAGGCAGGTCACCTGAGGTCAGCAGTTCAAGACCAGCCTGGCCAACATGGTGAAACCTCATCTCTACTAAAAACACAAAAATTAGCTGGGCGTGGTGGCAGGCACCTGTAATCCCAGCTACTCTGGAGGCTGAGGCAGGAGAATCACTTGAACCCAGGAGGCAGAGGTTGCAGTGAGCTGAGATCGCGCCACTGCACTCCAGCCTGGGCGACAGCAAGACTGTCTCAAAAGAAAAAAAAAAAACCTGTCAACTAAGGATTCTATACATGTAAAAGTGTCCTTTAGTTACTATTAAAAAGAAAGTAACTAAGATGCCAGAAATAACAAGTGTTGGAGAGGATATGGAGAAAGTGGAACCCTTATGCACTGTTGCTGGCAATTTAAAATGGTGCAGCTACTATGGAAAACAGTGTAGCAATTCCTCAAAAAATTAAAAATAGAATTATTATACAATGTAGCAATTCCATATCTTTGTATATAGCTCGCCCTCTGTATCCATGGTTTTTTTGTTTTTTGTTTTTTTTTGAGATGGAGTCTCACTCTGTTGCCCAGGCTGGAGTGCAGTTGCACAATTTCAGCTCCCTGCAACCTCCACCTTCCGGGTTCAAGAAATTCTTGTGCCTCAGCCTCCTGAGTAGCTGGGATTACAGAAGTGCACCACCATGCCCAGCTAATTTTTGTATTTTTAGTAGAGACGGGGGTTTCATGGTGTTGGACAGGCTGTCTCAACTCCTAAGCTCAGGTGATCCACCCACCTCAGCCTCCCAAAGTGCTGGGATTACAGGTGTGAGCCACTGCGCCCAGCCTGTATCCATGGGTTCTGCATGTTGATTCAACCAGCTACACATGGACATTGTAGTTAGGCCTATGATGATTGTGTCTGTTCTGAAGATGTACATACCTTTTCTTCTATCATTATTCCCTAAACAATACAGTATAACAACTATTTACACAGCATTTACATTGTATTGGGTATTATAAGTAATCTAAAGATGATTTAAAGTATACAAGAGGATATGCATAGATTATATGCAAATACCACCTCATTTTAAATAAATGACTTGAGCATCTGTGGATTATGATATCCTCAGTGTGTCCTAGAACCAATCCCCTGTGGATACTGAGGGATGACTGTATACACAAAATAATTGAAAGCAAGGTCTTGAAAAAATATTTATACACCCATGTTCACAGCAGTCTTATTCACGGTAGCAAAAAATGGAAACAGTCTGGGCGCAGTGGCTCACACCAGTCACCCAGCACTTTGGGAGGCCGAGGCAGGTGGATCACTTGAGGTTAGGATTTGGAGACCAGCCTGGCCAACATGGTGAAACCCTGTCTCTACCAAAACAACAACAACAACAAAAAGTAACCCAGCATCGTGGCACATGCCTGTAGTCCTAGCTACTCGGGAAGCTGAGGCAGGAGAATCACCTGAACCCAGGAGGTGGTGGTTGCAGTGAATGGAGATCACACCACTGCACTCCAGCCTGGGCAACAGAGTGAGACTCTGTCTCCAAAAAAAAACCATACACACACACACACACACACACACACATACACACACACAATATGGAAACAATCAGTGTTCATCAGTGAATAAATGGATAAGCCAAATGTGGCATATACATACAATGAAATATTATTCAGCCTTAAAAAACAAAAAAATTTTCAGACATTACAATATGGATGACCCTTAGGGATATTATGCTAGATGAAGTAAGCCAGTTACACACAAAAAATATTGTATGATTCCACTTATAGAAGGTACTTAGCATAGTCAAAATCATAGAGACAGAAAGTAAAATGGTGGTCTCCAGGGGGTGGGTGGAGAGGGGTTGGAAGTTATTGTTTAATAGGTATATGTTTTTTGTTTTACGAGATGAAAAGAGTTGTGGAGATAGATGGTAGTGATGGTTTACAACATTTTAAATATATTTAATATCACTAGACTGCACACTTAAAAACTGTTAAGGCAGGGCACGCACGGTGGCTCACGCGTGTGATCCCAGCACTTTGGGAGGCCAAGGTGGGAGGCTCACTTGAACCCAGGAGTTCCAGACCAGCCTGGGAAACATGGTCAGACTTCATCTCTACAAAAATTAAAAAAATTAGCTGGTTATGGTGGCATGTGCTTGTAGTCTCAGCTACTCAGGAGGCTGAGGGAAGAGAACTGCTTGAGCCCAGGAAGTCAAGACTGCGGTCAGCTGTGTTCGCACCACTGCACTCCAGCCTAGGCAACAGAGAGAGACCCTGTCTCAAAAATTAAAAAAAAAAAAATTAGACCAGGCATGATGGCTCACGCCTGTAATCCTAGCACTTTGGGAGACTGAGGTGGGTGGATCACCTGAAGTCAGGAGTTTGAGACCAGCCTGGCCAACATGGCGAAACCCTGTCTCTACTAAAAATACAAAAATTAGCCAGGCCTGGTGGCGGGTGCCTGCAGTCCCAGCTACTGAGGAGGCTGAGGCACGAGAATTGCTTGAACCCAGGAAGCGGAGGTTGTGGTGAGCCAAGACTGTGCCACTGCACTCCAGCCTGGACAACAAGAACGAGACTTCGTCTCAAAAAAAAATTAAATAAAAATGGTTCAAGGCATGTGAAATACAAAGACAATTTAGATATCTCTGCTTTTTTTTTTTTTTTTTCTGAGACAGGGTCTCACTCTGTTGCCCAGACTGGAATGTAGTGGTGTGATCTTGGCACACTGCAACCTCCAATTCCCAGGTTCAAGCAATTCTTGTGCCTCAGCCTCCCGATAGCTGAGACTACAGGTGTGCACCACCATGCCCGGCTAATTTTTGTATTTTTAGTAGAGATGGATTTTGCCATGTTGACCATGCTGGTCTCGAACTCCAGGCCTCAAGGGATCCTCCCACCTTGGCTTCCCAAAGTGCTGGGATTACAGGCATGAGCCACTGCACCATGCATCAGCAAAACAGATAGGTTGGAAACCTCACCCTTAGCATCTCAGATGTGACCTTATTTGGAGACTAGGTTTTTTGACACTGGTAATCAAGTTGAAATGAGGTCATTTGGGTGAGCCCCAGTCCAATATGACTGTTGTCCTTATAAAAAGGGGAAATTTGGACACAGAGACACACGTAGAGAGATGATGTGAAGAGACACGTGAGAAGACAGCCAACTATAAACCAAGGAGAGGGGTCTGGAACAGAGCTCTCAGAAGGAACAAACCTGGCTCCCACCTGTGACCCCAGCACTTTGGGAGGCTAGGCGGGCAGGTGACCTGAACGCAAGAGTTTGAGATCAGCCTGGGCAACGTGGCAAAACCCCATCTCTAAAAAAAATCCAAAACTTAGCTGTGCATGGTGGTGTGCACCTGTAGTCCCAGCTACTCAGGAGGCTGAGGATGAGCCCAGGAGGTTGAGCCCAGGAGGTGGAGGTTGCAGTGAGCCAAGATTGCACCACTACACTTTAACACTTTAGCCTGGGTGACAGAGTGAGACCCTGTGTCAAAAAAAAAAAAAAAGGAATCAACCCTGTCATTACCTCTAGCCTTTGGACTGTGAGACAATACATTTTTCATGTTGAGAAAGAGAAAAAAATAAACTAAGCATTTAACTCTTAACATTCTAGGTCATTCACCATTTGGCTTCCAATAATATTTCCAACTTTAAATCTCTTGTGGCTGAGTGCAGTGGCTCTTGCCTGTAATCCCAGCACTTTTGGTGCCTGAGGCCGGAGGATCACTTGAGGTCAGCAATTTGTTGCCAGGTTAGGCAACAAAGTGATTCCCCATCTCTATAAAAAATTTTTTTAGGCCAGGCGCAGTGACTTGCGCCTGTAATCCCAGCACTTTGGGAGGCTGAGACGGGTGGATCACCTGAAGTCAGGAGTTCAAGACCAGCCTGGCCAACCTGGCAAAACCCCATCTCTACTAAAAATACAAAAAGTAGCCATGCATGGTGGTGCACACCTGTAGTCCCAGCTACTCGGGGAGGCTGAGGCAGGAGAATCGCTTGAACCGGGAGGTGGAGGTTGCAGTGAGCCAAGATTGTGCCATTGCACTCCAGCCTGGGCAACAAAGCGTGATTCCGTCACACACATACAAAAAAAATTTAATTATCTGGCATGGTGGCACACATCTGTAGTACCAGCTACTCAGGAGGCTCAGGTGGGAGAATGGTTTGAGCCCGGGAGGTCCAGGCTGCAGTAAGCCGTGACTGTACTGCTGCAACCCACCCTGAATGACAGAGTGAGACTCTGTCTTAAGAAAAAAAATTATCTTGCAGAACCTTCTATTCCAGCTGAATGGGTTCGCACGTAAATTTTCATCAATTTTTATTGAGTGTCTATGACGCAAGGTTTAGGACTACGCAGTGCAAGGCTTAGTTAGGACTAGGCAGTGGAGACATGATATGACTCAGACAACCAGGTCCCCTGCCTTCTGGGAGAGGAGATGCTAAATGACCAAGATCACAATTCACCACTGAATTACAACTGTGGTAAGAGTTACAAAGGAGAGTGCGCTAAGAACCTGACCTTTTCTGGGAGACACAGGAAAAGTTCTTTGAGCAAGTAATGTTTGGACACGAAGGATAAGTAGAAGTTAACCAGTGGAGGAAAGAACATTGTGCGAAGATATTTTGTGTTTTCCCTTCTCTGTGCTTTTGTGTATTCAGTTCCATCTGCTTATACAGCATGCCTGTTTCAAGTATCCAAATCCTAACTCAAGATTTGGCTCCTGGCCTGGCGCGGTGGCTCACATCTGTAATCCCAGCACTTTGGGTGGTGGAGGCAGGTGGATCACTTGAAATCAGGAGTTCGAGGCCAGGCTGAGCAACATGGTGAAACCCCGTCTCTACAAAAATATAAAAATTAGCTGGACAGGTGCCTGTAATCCCAGCTACTCAGGGGGCTAAGGCAGGAGAATCGCTTGAACCTGGGAGGCAGAGGTTGCAGTGAGCTGAGATTGTGCCACTGCACTCCAGCCTGGATGACAGATTGAGGCTCCATCTCAACAACAACAACAACAACAACAAAAAAGCTTTGGCTCCTGCCCTGCTTTTTCTGGAAAGCCATTCCTGACCATCTTACAAAGTACTCTATCCTTGCAATACATTGGAGGAGTTTGTAAAACAAACTTGTTATAAGCTATACATGGCCTTGTGATGTTTTTGTGATTCTTGCCTTGCTCTGTTATGTAAATCCAGGAGTCACTTTTGATTCCAGTTCTATCCAATCCACTTACTTCAGTTTTATGTCCATGAAGGACTTCCTGGGAAAAAAATTAGAGGATTTGGTTTTGAAATAATCTTTAATTTTTTAATTGTATGATAAGACACAGATACAAAAAAAATCAAAAACAAACAAATAAATAAATAAATAAAAACACAAAACATGTGAACTGGCCGAGCTGTGGTGGCTAACAATTGTAATCCCAGCACTTTGGGAGGCTGAGGCAGGCAGACCACCTGAGGTCAGGAGTTCGAGACCAGCCTGGCAAACATGGCAAAACCCTGTCTCTACTAAAAATACAAAAATTGGCCAGGTGCAGTGGCTCACGCCTGTAATCCCAGCACTTTGGGAGGCCGAGGCAGGTGGATCACGAGGTCAGGAGATTGAGACCATCCTGGCTAACATGGTGAAACCCCATCTCTACTAAAAATACAAAAAATTAGCCGGGTATGGTGGCGGGCGCCTGTACTCGGGAGGCTGAGGCAGGAGAAAGGCGTGAACCCAGGAGGTGGAGCTTGCAGTGAGCCGAGATCGCACCACTGCACTCCAGCCTGGGTGACAGAGCGAGACTCCGTCTCAAAAAAAAAAAAAAAAAATTAGCTGGGAGTTGTTGCAGGCACCTGTAATCCCAGCTACTTGGGAGGCTGAGGCAGGATAATTGCTTGAACCCGGGAGGTGGAGGTTGCAGTGAGCCGAGATACCCCTACCACACTCCAGCCTGGGCAACAGAGCAAGACTCCATCTCAAAAAAACAAAACACAAACAAAAAAACCACGGACAAAAGGAGAGAACTATTATTATTACTATGTTATTATCATCATTATTATTATTTTTTAGAGATAGGGTCTCACTCTGTCGCCTCCAGCTGGAGTGCAGTGGCACGATCATAGCTCATTTGCATCCTTGAACTCCTGGGTTCCTGTGTCAGTGTTAGGATTGCAGGCATGAGCCCCTGCACCCGACCTAAGGAGAGAATTATAAATAAAATGTGTTAATTATAAATCATAGTTTTATGAATTTTAAGGAGAGCTTATAATTGTAACTACCACTCAAGGACAAGAAGTAGACTGGCTGTGGTGGCCTATACCTAGAATCCCAGCACTTTGGGAGGCTGAGATGGGAGGATTGTTTGAGGCCAGGAATTTGAGACCAGCCTGAGCAACATAGCAAGACACTGCCTCTACAAAAAAAAAAAAAAAAAAAAAAATCCCAACAATTAGCTGGGTATGGTGGCATGCAGCTGTAGTTCCAGCTACTTGGGAGGCTGAGGTGGGAGGATCGCTTGAGCCCAGGAGTTTGAGGCTGCAGTGAGCTATGATGGCGCCACTGCATTCCAGCCTGGGCAACAGAGCATGACTGTATCTCCAAAAAAGAAAAAATGAAAGAACTCTTTTACAGCCACTACGGAAACCTCCCTTTTGTCCTGTCTCAAATACAATGACCTTTCTCCTGCTTAAAGCACCCACAATCCTGACTTCGCAGAAACCATTTCTTTGGGGGTTTTTTTTTTACAGTTTTATTACTATTCCTTACCATGATAGTTTTCTCTTGCACTTTTGTCCACTTTAACATGTCTTTTAAGACTCTGGCTGGGCGCGGTGGCTTATGCCTGTAATCCCAGAACTCTGGGAGGCTGAGGCAGGCGGATCACTTGAGGTCAGGAGTTCGAGACCAGCCTGGCCAACATGGTGAAACCCCGTCTCTACAAAAATACAAAAATTAGCTGGGCAAGTGCCTGTAATCCCAGCTACTCAGGAGGCTGAGGTGGGAGAATCACTTGAACCTGGGAGGTGGAGGTTGCAGTGAGCCCAGATCGGGCCATTGCCCTCCAGCCTAGGCAACAGAGCAAGACTCTGTCTCAAAAAAAAAAAAAAAAAAAAAAAGACTCTTTCTAGAGGATCACCCTCGATTCGTTTCTTTTTACTTTATTTTATTTTACTATTTTTTTGTAGAGACAGGATCTTGCTATGTTGCCCAGGCTGGTCTTGAACCCCTGGCCTCAAGCAATCCCTCTGCCTCAGCCTTATCCCTTTTTATTCTTTTTTTTTTTTTTTTTTTGAGATGGAGTCTCACTCTGTCGCCCAGGCTGGAGTGCAGTGGCAAGATCTCTGCTCACCACAAGCTCCGCCTCCCGGGTTCACACCATTCTCCTGCCTCAGCCTCCTGAGTAGCTGGGACTACAGGCGCCCGCCACCACGCCCGGCTAATTTTTTTGTATTTTTAGTAGAGACAGGGTTTCACCGTGTTAGCCAGGATGGTCTCGATCTCCTGACCTCGTGATCCGCCCGCCTCGGCCTCCCAAAGTGCTGGGATTACAGGTGTGAGCCACCGCGCCCGGCCCCCTTTTTATTCTTACAGTTTCATGATGAAGAGCCCAAGAAGTTTGACCTGTAGAATTTCACATAGTCCTGGATTTTGCTGATGGCTTACTTATTGCACAGTTCAACTTGTTAATTGTCTTATGTTTTTCCTTCATTTTAGCAGCTGGATCCATAAGCTCAGTCAGATTCACACTTGATCCCTTTGGCAACACTATAGGTGGTATTGTGATCCTTCCTTATGAGGGACATAGTGTGTTTTTGTGACTTACGCTGCAAGATATAGTTTGTATAGGGCAGGCAAGATGAATGTTTGATTCTTTCCCATTTTTTGCCTATTTTCAAGGTAATGAATTGGCTTCTCTTTTTTTGAGACTGGGACTTATTCTTGCTGCCCAGGCTGGAGTGCAGTGCTGCCATTACAGCTCACAGCAGCCTTGACTTCCCTGGCTCAGTTGATCCTCCCACTTCAGCCTCCTGAGTAGCTGGGACTACAGGCATGTGCCACCACGCCTGGCTAATTTATTGTATTTTTAGTAGAGACGGGGTTTTGCCATGTTGTCCAGGCTGGTCTGGAACTCCTGGCCTCAAGCGATCCACCTGCCTCGGCCACCCAAAGTATTGGGGTTACAAGTGTAAGCCACTGTGCCCGGCCAATTTCATGCTTTTTTAAGGCTGAATAAGAGTCCATTGTATGTGTATCCTGCATTTTGTTTATCCATTCGTCTGCTGATGCACATTTGGCTTGTTTCCAACTTTTAGCTATTACAAATAATGCTGCTATGGACACTGGCATGCAAGTATCTGAATCCCTGCTTTCTGATCTGAGTATGTATCTACGAGTGGAATGACTGAATTGCTTAGTAATTGTGTGTTTATCTTTTTGAGGAACTGCCAAACTGTTTACATAGCAGCTGTACCATTTTATATTCCTACCAGCAATGCACAATGTGGTTCCCATTTCTCCACATTCTTGCCAACCCTTGTTATTTTTCATTTTCTTTTTTAAATTTGTTTTTCATATCAGCCATCCAAATGGGTGTGAAAGGGGATGTCATTGTGGTTTTGATCTGCATTTCCCTAATGATTCATGATACTGAATATCTTTTCATGTACATTTCAATCTGTATCTATATCTATATATATATATATATATCTTCTTTGGAGAAATGCCTACTCAAGTCCCTTGCCTTTTTTAAAATTTTTAATTTAATTTAATTTTTTAGTGACCATGACCCAAGACACAGCCCTCAGGAGATCCCGAGAACATGTGCCCCCACCCTTGCCTTTTTTTTTTTTTGGTGGGGGCAGATGGAGTTTCGCTGTTGTCTCCCAGGCTGGAGTGCAATGGCAAGATCTCAGCTCACTGAAACCTCCGCCTCCTGGGTTCAAGTGATTCTCTTGCCTCAGCCTCCCGAGTAGCTTGGATTACAGGCGCCCGCCACCATGCCCAGCTAATTTTTTGTATTTTTAGTAGAGATGGGGTTTTCAACATGTTGGCCAGGCTGGCCTCGAACTCCTGACCTCAGGTGATTCACCTGCCTTGGCCTCCCAAATTGCTGGGATTACAAGTGTGAGCCACCATGCCTGGCGATTTTTAAATTGATGTTTTGTTGTGTTTTTTAGTCACAGGAATTCTTAATGTATTCTGGATATCAATCTTTATCATATATGTGAATTGCAAATATTTACTTCCAATCTGAGGGTTGTATTTTTACTCCTCTGATGGTGTTCTTTGATTAGTTCTCCCTCCCCTTTTTTAATCTTTGTGAGACAGGATCTCACTGTGTCACCCAGGCTGAAGTGCAGTGGTGCCGTCATAGCTCACTGCAGCCTCGACCTCCTGGGCTCAAGCGATCTTCCCTCCCAGGTAGCTGGGACTACAGGTGTGCACCATCACTCCCAGCTTTTTTTTTGAGACAGAGTTACACTCTTGTTGCCCAGGCTGGAGTGCAGTGGCATTATCTCGGCTCACTGCAACCTTCTTCGCCTTGTGGGTTCAAGCAATTCTCCTGCCTCAGCCTCCCAAATAGCTGGGATTATAGGCATGCACCACCACGCCCGACTAATTTTTGTATTTTTAGTAGAGACGGGGTTTCGCCATGTTGGCCAAGCTGGTCTCGAACTCCTGACCTCAGGTGATCCGCCTGCCTCAGCCTCCCAAAGTGCTGGGATTACACTATGTTGCCTGGGCTGGTCTCGAACCCCTGGCCTCAAGTGATCCTCCCACCTCGGCCTCCCAAAGTGTTGGGATTACAGGTGTGAGCCACTGCACCCTGCCCCCATTTTTAATTAACAAGCAATTTATGGGGAGATATTTGAGAGAAATATTCTCTTACCACATTTTTACTCACTACTCTTATATTCTAGTGATGATTCTTGCCTCAACCAATAGCTACTAGTTTTCAACACCAACCACATTCCAGGTGCTGCACTAAGGGCTCTGCATGCCTTATCCCTATGTCATAGAGGAGGAAACCAAAGGTGCAGAGTGAAAAAATGGCCCAGGCACTCCCAGGGAGCAAGTACTGGAGGCGGAGGCAGACAGCTGGGTGCAGTGGCTCACACCTGTAATCACAGCACTTTGGGTGGCTGAGGCAGGAGGATCGCTTGAGTCCAGGAGTTTGAGACCAGGCTAGCCAACAAAGTGAGTCCCCATCTCTACAAAAAAATTTTTCAGGGCCAGGCGCGGAGGCTCACGCCTGTAATCCCAGCACTTTGGGAGGCTGAAGTCGGGGATCAACTGAGGTCAGGAGTTTGAGACCAGCCTGGCCAACACGGCAAAACCCTGTCTCTACCAAAAATTACAAAAATTGGTTGGGCATGGTGATGCACGCCTGTAGTCCCAGATACTCAGGAGGCTGAGGCAAGAGAATCCCTTGAACCTGGGAGGAGGAGGTTGCAGTGACCCAAGATCGCGCCACTGCACTCCAGCCTGGGCGACAGGGTGAGACTCTGTCTCCAAAAAAAAAAAAAAAAAAAAGATGCAAGTCGACCTAGACCTGTCTGCTCCAGAGCTAGAGATCACGTGCTTGGGCTTGGGAAGCAAGTGTTTGCTGGGAACTCGAAACGCCCAAGCATCAGATCTATTGAGCAATCCTGTTTCTAAAGCTCCTTCCCCGTGGTTCCCAAATACCCCTGACCAAGGAGGAGGATGGAGCAAGTAGACTTTAGGGCTGGGGGCTGTGACATGCTGGGTATGGCTTGCAGCCAAGAGTCAATCTTCCCTTCACTCCCCCTAGAGTACTAGCTACTCAGAATGAGCCTCTGTTAGAAGCTTCGTGGGTCATTAATTACATGTCTGCCGTGTCCTGCGTGCACGGCTGGGTCAGTGGCTGTGTTCGTAGAACCGGAAGACCCATGTTGTCCTTGCACAGGGCAGGGGCAGAGAGTCCCAGGAACCTGGTGGGTTCTGGGTTAAATGCTCTCTTTTTCCCCCTTGTGGGGCCTTAGCTGGAAGGGCCAGAACATGGGCAGGGTGGGGTCCTGGGGGCAGGGAGCCAGAGTCTTGAGTCATAGGGACACCAAGGAGTCAGGGCCAGGGCAGGGTGCGCTGAGCCAGGGAAACCAGAGGACAGCCAAGGTCTGAATGCTGGGAGATGCGGAAGTCACCGATGCAGGCGAGGTCACAGGAGGGGACTGCAGTCAGGATTGGAGCCAAGAACAAGCCCCGGTGAGCCAGGATCACATAGGACCAGGGCAGCAGAGCCTGAGCATGTATTTGCAGATCTCTGATGCTGGAGGCTTGCTCACCCTCTGGCCCACCCTCAGCCCTCATGTAATATGAGGAACAAATGTATGTTGTAAGCCACTGGAATGTTGGGGTTGTTTGTTACTGCAGCAAAAACTGACTAAGAAGCAGCTTAATGAAAAGAAAACAAAAAATACACCACCTCCTCAAACCAAAGCTCTCTTGTGAACATTCCTTCATTCATTTATTTTGGGGGATGGGGTCTCACTCTGTTGCCCAGGCTGGAGTGCAGTGGTGTGATCTCGGCTTACTGCAACCTCCACCTCCCAGGCTCAAGTGATCCCCCCACCTCAGCCTCCCAAGTAGCTGGGACCACAGATTTGCACCACCATGCCCAGCTAATTTTTGTATTCTTTGTAGAGATGGAGTTTTGCCCTGTTGCCCAGGCAGGTCTCGAACTCCTGAGCTCAAAGCAATCCACCCCCATCGGCCTCCCAAAGTGTTGGGATTACAGGCCTGAACCACTGCGCCCAACCTATGCATTCTTGTGAACATTTAAACAATACGGATGTATATAAAATAAAACATGAAGTTCTGGCAGGGCGTGGCAGCTCATGCCTATAATCCCAGCACTTTGGGAGGCTGAGGTGGGAGGATCACTTGAGCCCAGGAGTTGGAGACCAGCCTGAGCAACATAGTGAGACCCCATCTCTACAAAAAATAATTTTTAGAAAAGCATTGCATAGTGATGCATGCCGGTATTCTCAGCTATATGGGAGGCTGAGCTGGGAGGATCACTTGAACCCTGGAGGTTGAGGCTGCAGTGAGCTGTGATTGCACCAATGCACTCTAGCCTGGGTGACAGAGTGAGGCCTTATCTCAGGAAAACAAAAACAAAAAAAACACATAAAATTCCTCTTCATCTCCCTCCTGATCCTGAAGGAGTCATCATTGATAACATTTTGGTGTATATACTTTCAGAGAGCCAAGTTTTGAAATGGCTGTTTACTAATCTTAGTGAAATAAAATTCACACTTATGGATGCAGGAATTAACAGAAGAAAATATGTCAAGACACATAAAAATGATAAGAAATCAAAACTTTGGACACAGAGGCTCACGCCTGTAGTCCCAGCACTTTGGGAGGCTGAGGTGGGCAGATCACTTGATGTTAGGAGTTTGAGACCAGCCTGACCAACATGGTGAAACCCAGTCTCTCTCAAAAATAAAAAAGTTCACTGGGCATGGTGGCACGTGCCTGTAATCCCAGCTACTCGGGAGGCTGAGGCGGGAGAATTGCTTGAACCTGGGAGGCAGAAGTTACAGTGAGCCAAGATCGTGCCACTGCACTCCAGCCTGGGCGACAGAGAGAATCCATCTAAAAAAAAAATTAAATTCAAATTTCATTGTTCATAAATCAAGTTTTATTGAAACATAGTAATGCTTTTTTGTTTGTTTTGAGACAGGGTCTTGCTCTGTTGCCCAGGCTGGAGTGCAGTGGTGCCAACACAGCTCACTGCAGCCTTGAACTCCTGGGCTCAAGCAATCCTCTCATCTCAGCCTCCCAAGTAGCTGGAACTACAGGTGTGCACCACCATGCCCAGCTACTTTAAAAATTTTTTTTGTAGTGACGGGATCTTGCTATGTTGCCAGGGCTGTTCTCCAACTCCTGGGCTCAAGCAGTCCTCCTGTCTTGGCCCGCCAAAGTGCTGGGATTACAGGCATGGGTCACCATCATGCCCGGCCCATGCTTATTGGTCTATATATTGTTTATGGCTGCTTTCATGCTAAAACAGCAACGTGGAGTATTTTGGCAGAGACTTTATAGGCTGCAAAGCCTAAATAATTTACAATATGGCTCTTTACAGAAAACATCTGCTGATCCTTCATCAGCCAAATTAGCATTTGGCATACTGCCACCTTTATTTTCTCTCTCTCTTTGGATCTTTTTTTTTTCTAAACCATTTAAAATAAATTATAGATATGACACTTGTCCTTATATACTTTGGCAATGATATGGTTTGGCTGTGTCCCTACCCAAATCTCGTCCCGAATTGTAATAATCCCCACATGTCAAGGGCGGGGCCAGGTGGAGATAATTGAATCACGGGGGTGGGTTTTTCCCATGCCATTCTCCTGCGAGTGAGTAAGTCTCATGAGATCTGATGGTTTTATAAAGGGGAGTTCCCTGCACACACTCTCTTGGCTACCACCATGTAAGATGGGCCTTTGCTCCTCCTTTGCCTTCTGCCATGATTGTGAGGTCTCCCCAGCCATGTGGAACTGTGAGTCCATTAAACCTCTTTCTTTTATAAATTACCCAGTCTCAGGTATGTCTTTATTAGCAGCATGAGAACAGATTCATACAAGCATGTAACTCTAAGAGCAGGTGTATTCTCCTACATAAACCACATCACAGTTAACCACACCCAGAGCATTGACCATGAATATAATTATATTAACTACTATTCAAATTTCTCCAAAATTGTTCTGAAAATGTCCTTCAGAGCCTTTTCCCCCAGTGCACTACGTAAACATCACATAATGCATAAAGTTGAGTAAGTTGCCTTTAATCTAGATCACACTTTTTAATTTTATTTCAATTTTTTTTTTGAGACAGAGTCTCACCCTGTTGCCCAGGCTGGAGTGCTGTGGTGCAATCATAGCTCACTGCATCCTCTGCCTCCCAGGCTCAAGTGATCCTGCCTCCTTAGCCTCCCAAGTAGCTGGGACTGCAGGCATGCACCACCATGCCCAGCTAATTTTTGTATTTTTTGTAGAGACAGGGTCTCACTGTCGAGTCAGCTGCCTTTAATCTAGAGCAGTTGCCTAGTCTTTTTTAAAAATAATTTTTATCCAGAAGCAGTGGCTCTCGCCTGTAATCCCAGTGTTTTGGGAGGCTGAGGCGAGGAGTTCAAGACCAGCCTGGGCAAAACAGTGAGGCTTTGTCTTGACAAAAAAGTAATACTAAGTAAACAACAACAACAAAAAAATGCTGGGCATGGTGGCTCATGCCTGTGGTTTCAGCTACGGGAAGCTGAGCGAGGAAGATTACTTGAACATAGTAGTTTGATGCTGCAGAGAGCTGTGACCATACCACTGCACTCCAGCTCCAGCTTGGGCAACAGAGTGAGACGCTGTCTCAAAAAAAAATTTTAATATTATTTATTTTATTTTATTTATTTTGTTATATAGAGATGGGGTCTTGCTATGTTGTCTAGGCTGGACTTTTACTCCTGGGCTCAAGCGATTCTCCCACATCAACCCCCTGAGTAGCTAAGACACAGGCACACATCATGGCACGGGCACCCAGTCTTTTTTGATTCTCATGAAACTGACATTTTTGGGCCAGGCTCAGTGGCTCAAGCCTGTAATTCCAGCACTTCAGGAGGCCAAGGCGGGCAGATCACTTGAGGTCAGGAGTTCGAGACCAGCCTGGCCAACATGGTGAAACCCCATCTCTACTAAAAATATAAAATTAGCCAGGCATAGTGGCCCATGCCTGCAACCCCAGCTACTCGGGAGGCTGAGGCAGGAGAATCGCTTGAACCCGGGAGGCAGAGGTTGCAGTGAGCCGAGATTGCGTCCCTGCACTCTAGCCTGGGTGACAGAGCAAGAATCAGTCTCAAAAAAAAAAAAGAAAAAAGAAACTGACATTTTTCAAGAGTCCAGGCATCTGTTTTACAGATTATCTCTCAATTTGGATTTGTCTGTTTTTTTCCCTGTCATTACTAGATTCAAGTTCATCATTTTGGGCAGAAATTCTCTCTCGTTGTGAGACGGATGACGTTGTGATCTTCTCGTGGCATCACAGTGGGAGGTTCATCTTGTCACGTTGTCCCACTATTTGTGCTAAGCTTGTCACTTATTATGTGGTGTCTGCCAGAGTTATCTGTTGTACAGGTAATTTTTCCCTCTTTGTAATCAATAAGTGGTCCATGGGGAAAAGCTTTGAGTTGTAGGAATAACCTGCTCTCCCACATCCTTTTGCCCTGTGGTTTTGGTCTCCACTGATGATTCTTACCTGAATCAACTGATGTCATGGAGGATGTAAATGGACATCAATATTTTCTTAAATGGTCCCCAAATGGTTTCAAAGTGCAGCTGGGGCTGGCAGTCACTGCAGTGACTGCTTCTTGATCTGTGTTAACAAATTCCCTGGATATCTCATTAAAATGCGCATGTGGGCCGGGCACACTGGCTCACAGCTGTAATCCCAGCACTTTGGGAGGCCTAGGCGGGTGGATCACGAGGTCAGGAGATTGAGACCATCTTGGCCAACATGGTGAAAACCCGTCTCTACTAAAATACAAAAAATTAGCCGGGCGTGGTGGCACGTGCCTGTAATCCCAGCTACTTGGGAGGCTGAGGCAGGGGAACTGCTTGAACCTGAGAGGCAGAGGTTGCAGTGAGCTGATAGCACGCCACTGCACTCCAGCCTGGTGACAGAGCAAGACTCCGTCTCAAAAAAAAAAAAAAAAAAAAAGCGAATGTGGATTCAGCAGGACTGGAGTGATATTGACATTAAGTGGTTCTAACAAGCCCCCAGGTGCTGCTGACCCACGTGGATCGCACTTCATTTTATTTCACTTTTTTGAGACAGGGTCTTACTCTTGCCCAGGCTGGAGTGCAGTGGTGCAATCACGGCTCACTGAAACCTCTGCTTCCTAGGCTCAAATAATCCTTCCCCCTCAGCTTCCCGAGTAGCTGGGACTAACGGCGTTTGCCACCACACCCAGCTAATTTTTGTATTTTTTTCTTTTCTTTTTTTTTTTTTGAGACAGAGTCTCGTTCTGTCACCCAGGCTGGAGTGCAGTGGCGCAATCCTGGCTCACTGCAAGCTCCGTCTCCCGGGTTCACGCCATTCTCCTGCCTCAGCCTCCCGAGTAGCTGGGACTACAGGCGCCCACCACCACACCCAGCTAATTTTTTGCATTTTTAGTAGAGACGGGGTTTCACCATGTTAGCCAGGATGGTCTCGATCTCCTGACCTTGTGATCCACCCGCCTCAGCCTCCCAAAGTGCTGGGATTACAGGCGTGAACCACCGTGCCCGGCCAATTTTTGTATTTTTTGTAGAGATGGGGGTCTCGCCATGTTGCCCAGGCTGGTCTCAAACTCCTGGGTTCAAGTTATCTGCCCGTTTTGGCCTCCCCAGTGCTGGGATTACAGTTGTGAGCCACTGCACCTGGCCTAAAGTCAGTCTAGATAATACCTACAATTTATTCTGGATTATACCTTTCTTCCCTAACTTAGTTTTGCCTCCTGTATCAGTTAAGTTTCCTAGTTACAAACATCAGCACATACTCTAGTTAGCACAGAAAAGGCACTTTTCAAAAAAAATTTATTTATTTATTTATTTATTTGAGATGGAGTCTCACTCGGTAGCCCAAGCTGGAGTGCCATGGTGTGATCTTGGCTCACTGCAACCTCTGCCTCCGGGGCTCAAGTGATTCTCCTGCCTCAGCCTCCCAAGTAGGCAGGGATTACAGGCACCTGCCACAATGCCTGGCTAATTTTTTGTATTTTAGTAGAGACGGGGTTTCACCATGTTGCCCAGGGTGGTCTCGAATTCCTTAGCTCAGGTGATCTGCCCACCTTGGCCTCCCAAAGTGCTGGGATTACAGGTATTTATTTATTTGAGACAGGGTCTCTACCACCTAGGCTGGCTGGCATGCAGTGGTGCAATCATAGCCCATGGCAGCCTCAGACTCCTGGGCTCAAGCCATCCTGCTGCTTCCGCCTCCAGAGTAGCTGTGACTATAGGCACACACCACCACACCCACCTATTCTCTTCCATTTTTTGTAGAAAGAGGATCTCGCTATGTTGCCCAGGCTGGTCTCAAACTCCTGGCCTCAAGCACTTCTCCTGCCTCAGCCTCCCAAAGTGCTGTGATTACAGGCATGAGCCACCACACCCAGCCGAAAAAGCATTTATTATCAGGCACTGGGGAACTCTCAGAACCACTAGGGCCCTGGGCTCCCAGGAACAGTGCCCAGACCACGTTGCAAAACTGAAATGATGAGAGAACCAGCCTTCCAAGTGCAGGACACTGAGCCAATGTGCACTGATGCCAGGGACAGAAACCACTGCATCCACCACTGTCACCAGCACCAATGCCACATGTGTATCTGGAACTCAACCTCACAGCTATTGCCAGCCCCCAGAGCTGGACATTGCTGTGGTCATCCTCACCAGCAGATGGATGGACTCCACATAGAGCCTGCTTTTTCATGTTGTTTATTTAATTAATTCTTTTTTTTTTTTTTTTTGAGACAGAGTCTCACTGTGTTGCCAGATTGGAGTGCAGAGGCACAATCTTGCCTCACTACAACCTCCGCCTTCCAGGTTCAAGCAATTCTCCTGCCTCAGCCTCCCAGGTAGCTGGGACTACAGACAGGCATGTGCCACAATGCCCAGCTAATTTTTGTACTTTTAGTAGAGAAAGGGTTTCACCATGTTGGCCAGGATGGTCTTGATCTCTTGACCTCATGATCTGCCCGCTTCGGACTCCCAAAGTGCTGGGATTACAGGCGTGAGCCACCGTGCCTGGCCTCTTTTTTTTTTTTTTTTTCTGAGACGGAGTCTCGCTCTGTTGCCCAGGCTGAAGTGCAGTGGCGCAATCTGGGCTCACTGCAAGCTCTGTCTCCCGGGTTCATGCCATTCTCCTGCCTCAGCCTCCTGAGTAACTGGGACTACAGGCATCCACCACCACACCCAGCTAATTTTTTCTATTTTTAGTAGAGACGGAGTTTCACCGTGTTAGCCAGGATGGTCTTGATCTCCTGACCTCGTGATCCACCTGCCTTGGCCTCCCAAAGTGCTGGGATTACAGGCGTGAGCCACTGTGGCTGGCCATTTTTTTTTTTTTTTAAGAGACCAGGGTCTGGGACTGGGTGTGGTGGCTGAGGCCTGTAATCCCAGCACTTTAAGAGGCCAAGACGGGTGGATCACGAGATCAGGAGATCAAGATCATCCTGGTTAACATGGTGAAACCCCGTCTCTACTAAAAATACAAAAAATTGGCCGGGCGTGGTGGTGGGTGCCTGTAGTCCCAGCTACTTGGGAGGCTGAGGCAGGAGAATGGCATGAACCCGGGAGACGGAGCTTGCAGTAGGCCAAGATCACACCACTGCACTTCAGCCTGGGAGACAGAGCAAGACCCCATCTCAAAAAAAAAAAAAAAAAAGAGACCAGGGTCTTACTGTGTTGCCCAGGCTAGGGTGCAGTAGCATGATCATAGCTCACTGCAGCCTTGAACTTCTGGGCTCCAGCGATCCTCTCACCTATGCTTCCCAAAGTGATGGGATTACAGGTTGCACCACCATGCCTGGCTCATGTTTATTTCTAAAGTATCACAACAGTATGTTGGATTAGTGGAGCCTCAGTCACATGACCTAGCCTAAGTCACATGACCATTCCTTAGCTGCAAGGGAGGCTGGAGAATCATGCTTCCTGGCTTCTAACTTGGGGGATGGGGTAGTGGCAAGACTCATAAGGCAGAAAATTCTTCAAAATAGCTCACAAGACCGGGCACAGTGGCTCATGCCTGTAATCCCAGCACTTTGGGATGCTGAGGCAGGTGGATCACCTGAGGTCAGGAGTTTGAGACTAGCCTGGCCAACATGGTGAAATCCTGTCTCTACTAAAAATACAGAAATTAGCCAGGCGTGGTGACGCACGCCTGTAATCCCAGCTACTGGGAAGTCTGAGGCAGGAGAATCACTGGAAGCTGGGGAGTAAAGATTGCAGTGAGTCAAGATCGTGCCACTTCACTCTAGCCTGGGTGAAAAAGCAAAACTCCGTCTCAAAAAAAAAAAAAAAAAGAAATACATTCTGTAAGGCTGTGGCTACCATAGCTAGTGATTCCTTTTCTCAAATGGGCACAGTGACTCACGCCTGTAATCGCAGCACTTTGTGGGGTGGAGACGAGCAGATCACCTGAGGTCAGGAGTTCGAGACCAGCCTGGCCAACATGGAGAAACCCCATCTCTACAAAAAATACAAAAATTAGCTGGGTGTGTTGGCACATGCCTGTAATCCCAGCTACTTGGGAGGCTGAGGCAGGGAGAATTGCTTGAACCCGGGAGGCAGAGGTTGCAGTGAGCTGAGATCATGCCACTGCACTCCAGCCTAGGTGACAGAGTGAGACTGTCTGAAAAAAAAAAAAAGTCAGCTCACAAACATGACAAATATCCACAACACAGTTATAAACATAATGACTGGGCATGGTGCTTTACGCCTGTAATCCCAGCACTTTGGAGGCCAAGATGGGTGGATTGCTTGAGCCCAGGAGTTCGAGACCAGCCTGGATGACATAGCAAGAACCCCGTCTCTAAAAAAATAAAAATTAAAATAAAAAAAGCAAAAAATAGCCAGGTGTGGAGGCATATACCTGTAGTCCCAGCTATTTGGGAGGCTGAAGTGGGAGAATTGATTGGGCCTGAGAGGTTGAGGCTGTAGTGAGCCAAGATGGTGCCACTGCACTCCAGGGTGACACAGAGACCCGGTCTCAAAAACAAACAAACAAAAGAATAGACAAAATAACCACTGAGAAATCTGTGAAGAATAAGAGTGAGTAGGCCGGGTGTGGTGGCTCACGCCTGTAATCCCAGCATTTTGGGAGGCTGAGGCAGGTGGATCACGAGGTCAGGAGATCGAGACCTTCCTGGCTAACACAGTGAAACCCCATCTCTACTAAAAATACAAAAAATTAGCCAGGCGTGGTGGCGGGCACCTGTAGTCCCAGCTACTCGGAAGGTTGAGGCAGGAGAATGGCGTGAACCTGGGAGGTAGAGCTTGCAGTGAGCAGAGATCGCGCCACTGCACTCCAGCCTGGATGACAGAGTGAGACTCCTCAAAAAAAAAAAAAAAAGTAATAAGCCGGGTGCAGTGGCTCATCCCTGTAATCCCAGCACTTTGGAAGGCCAAGGCGGGCAGACCACCTGAGGTCAAGAGTTGGAGAACAACAACAAAAAAAAAAGAGCTGGAGAACAGCCTGACCAACATTAAGAAACCCCATCTCTATTAAAAATACAAAATTAGCCGGCCGTAGTGGCGCATGCCTGTAATCTAATCCCAGCTACTCGGGAGGCTGAGGCAGGAGAATCGCTTAAATCCGGGAGGTGGAGGTTGCAGTGAGCCGAGATCATGCCATTGCACTCCAGCCTGTGCAACAAGAGCAAAACTCTGTCTCAAAAAATAAAGAGTAATAACAGAGATTCTTCCTCTTATGTGGAAAAATACGTTGTAAAACTGTAATCATGTGTAACACCAGAATGAGAATAGATAAATCATTGAGGTATATATACATATACACATATATATATAAGTCTCGGGAGAAAATGGACTTATGTAAACACTCACACTTTACATCCAAGTTAATAACAAATGCATTAAAGAGTTAAACTGATTTGTTAATCCATTAAAATACTAGAGAGAAAGTATTTATTTATTTATTTATTTAGAGACAGAGTCTTGCTCTGTCACCCAGGCTGGAGTGCAGTGGCACAATCATAGCTCACTGCAGACTTAACCTCCTGGGTTCAAGCAATTCTCCCTCCTCAGCCTCTCCAATAGCTGGGAGTACAGGCACCTGCCCCTGCACCTGGCTACTTTTTTTCTTTTTTTGAGACTGAGTCTCCTTCTGTCACCCAGGCTGGAGTGCAGTGGTGCAATCTTAGCTTACTACAACCTCCACCTCACAGGTTCAAGCGATTCTCATGCTCAGCCTCCTGAGTGGCTGGGATTACTGGTGCATACCACCACATCTGGCTAATTATTGTATTTTTGGTAGAGACCAGATTTTGCCAGGTTGGCCAGGCTGCTCTTGAACTCCTGACCTCAAGTGGTCTGCCCACCTCGGCCTCCCAAAGTGCTGGGATTACAGGTGTGAGCCATTACACCGAGCCTACAACTTGCTGATTTTTTTTTTCTTTTGAGATGGACTATTGCTCTGTCGCCCAGGCTGGATTGCAGTGGCACGATCTTGGCTCACTGCAACCTCTGCCTCCTGGGTTCAAGTGATCCTTCTGCTTCAGCCTCTCGAATAGCTGGGATTACAGATGTGCACCACCACACCCGGCTAATTTTTGTATTTTTAGTAGAGATGGGGTTTTACCATCTTGGCCAGGCTGTTCTTGAACTCCTGACCTTGTGATCCACCCACCTCGCCCTCCCAGAGTCGCCCGGCCACCTGGCTGATTTTTTAAACTTATTTTTTAGAGATGAGATCTCACTATACTACCCAGGCTGGTCTTGAACTTCTGGCCTCAGATGATCCTCCTGCCTGGGCCTCCCAAAATTCTGGGATTACAGACATGAGTCACCCACACCCAGCTGGAAAATATGTATCAAATGTTATGATGGAAAAGAACTTCCTAAGTTTAATAACATTGGAATAACTCCCAAATAAAAAGATAAATAGCTTTGCCTTTGTAAACAGAACTTATGTAGTTAACACAGAAAGCCAAAGGCAAATAGTCATCTTAGCCATTGTACTGGTAAAGTTTGTCATCTGCTTACTTGTAAGGAGAGGAAATGTCCTGGTGGAAACTCTCTAACTTGCCTAAGTATGCTTTGTTTGTTTGTTTGTTTGTTTGTTTTGAAGACAGAGTCTCACTCTGTCTCTATTGCCCAGGCTGGAGTGCAGTGGTGTGATCTTGGCTCACTGCAACCCTCTACCTCCTGGGTTCGTGCAATTCTCCTGCCTCAGCCACCCAGGTAGCTAGGATTACTGGCATGCACCATCATGCCTGGCTAATTTTTGTATTTTTAGTAGAGACAGGGTTTCACCATGTTAGCCAGGCTGGTCTCAAACTCCTGACCTCAAGTGATCTGGCTGCTTCAGCCTCCTAAAGTGCTGGGATTACAGGTGTGAGCCACTGTGCCCAGCCTTGGCTAAGTGTGCTTTCTTTCCCAGGCCACATTTAACATTCCAGCAATACAGCTCACTTCTGAGGGAGCAAAACTATTCAAGCTAGGCCAGGCATGGTGGCTCACACCTGTAGTTCCAGCTACTCAGGAGGCTCAGGCAGGAGGATCACTTGAGGCCAGGATTTAGAGACCAGCCTAGGCAACATAGTGAGACCACATCTCTACAAAAAAATAAAAAATAGCCAGGCGTGGTGTCGCACACCCATAGAGTCTCAGCTACCCAGGAGGCTGAAGCAGGAGGATTGTTTGAGCTCTCAGGAGGTGGAGACAGTTGAGTGCTGTGATTGTGCCACTGTACTCCAGTCTGGGTGACAGAGTAAGACCCTGCCTCTGAAAAAAAGAAAAAGAAAGATTCTTAAGAAAACCAAGTGCAAAAAATAGGTCACAAGAGTTTTATATAAGTGAAAATAAAATAAACCACTCCAAATCGAGTGGCTTGAGACAATAAACATTTGTTTTTTCCCTTGTTTTATGAGTCTAAATGTTTTATGGCTGGCTCTGAATAGTCAGGGACTGTCTCACTCACATCTGGTAGCTGGCAGGCTGATGGTTCTAAGGGGTCCTCAACTGGGACAGTTCATCTCTGTTCCAGGTGGTCTCTCATCTCCCAAAAGGGCTGGCCCAGGCTTCTTCTCATGGCATTTTTTTTTTTTTTTTTTGAGATGGAGTCTCACTCGTCGCCCAGGCTGGAGTGCAGTGGTGCTATCTTGGCTCACTGCAAGCTCCGCCTCCCAGGTTCACGCCATTCTCCTGCCTCAGCCTCCTGAGTAGCTGGGACTACAGGCGCCCGCCACCATGCCTGGCTAATTTTTTGTATTTTTAGTAGAGACGGGGTTTCACCGTGTTAGCCAGGATGGTCTCGATCTCCTGACCTTGTGATCCACCCGTCTCGGCTTCCCAAAGTGCTGGGATTACAGGCGTGAGCCACCGCGCCAGGCCTCTCATGGCATTTTTGCAGCTCTAAAGAGCGGCAAGAGAACGTGCCCCAAAGTGCAAGCCCTTTTCAAGCCTCTCCTGGCTTCACAATTGCTAAGTTTCCATTGACCAATGCAAGACCGAATGACCAAGCCCAGAGTCCGCAGGGGAGGGTATTACACAAGGCTGGAATACAGGAGGATGTGAACACAAGAGGCCTTCACTATAAGAATCTACCTCAAGTATGTGTATTTATTTGAGACACAGTGTCTCTCTGTTGCCCAGGCTGGAGTGCAGTGGCGCAATCTCAGCTCACTGCAACTTCCGCTTCCCAGGTTCAAGAGATTCTCCTGCCTCAGCTTCCTCAGTAGCTGGAATTACAGGTGCCTGCCACCACACCCAGCTAATTTTTGCATCTTTTTATTTTAATTTTTGAGACACAGCCTCACTCTGTTGCCCAGGCTGGAGTGCAGTGGCGCAGTCTTGGCTCACTGCAACCTCTGCCTCCCAGGTTCAAGTGATTCTCCTGCCTCAGCCTCCCCAGTGGCTGGGATTACAGGCACCCACCACCAAGCCTGGCTAGCTTTTGTAGTTTTAGTAGAGACAGGGTTTCACCATGTTGGCCAGGCTGGTTTCCAAATCCAGACCTCAAGTGATCTGCCTGTTACCTTCCAAAGTTCTGGGATTACTGGTGTGAGCCACTATACTTGGCCTCAAGTATGTTTATGGACCTTAAATCAATTTAATTTAGATTCTGAGTACTCAGGATTGAGCTGGTGAGAAATTCAATCCTGATCATTTTTAGATGATTTCGCTAAACTGTACCTGACCATGGCTGTGCCATGGGGGACCCCTACAGTTGTTGATTGATTGTCCACACTGGTCAGAAGCATAGCTTGGTGGGGGTGTGGTGTATAGAAGGGCAAGTCATTGCCTTCCCTGAGAACATTCTCCAAAAGCAGCACTAAGATTTACTTTGCCATGGGTTGGGTTTCCCAGGAAGCCAAACTTGAGTTAGAGATTAGTGTGCAAGTGATTCATTAGGGAATGCATATGAGATCACCAGTTAAGCCAGGAGTGCTTCAACAAGGCCTTGAAAGTCTGGTGGGGAGGCAGAAGAGATAAGAGGTTTCTCAGACATAGTAAAGATTGATCTGGGGCCGGGCATGATGGGTCACACCTGTAATCCTAGCACTTTCCAAGGCTGAGGCGGGAGGATCACTTGAGGCCAGAAGTTTGAGAGCAGCCAGGCAACATAGCGAGACCTTGTCTCTATCAAAAATAATTTTTTTTTTGAGATAGAGTTTCACTCTTGTTGCCCAGGCTGGAGTGCAATGGCACAATCTCGGCTCACTGCAAACTCTGCCACCTGGGTTCAAGTGATTCTCCCGCCTCAGCCTTCTGAGTAGCTGGGATTACAGGCACCTGCCACCACGCCCAGCTAATTTTTGTGTTTTTAGTAGAGACAGGGCTTCATCATGTTGGCCAGGCTGGTCTCGAACTCCTGACCTCAAGTGATCTGCCAGTCTTGGCCTCCCAAAGTGCTGGGATTACAGGTATGAGCCAACATGCCCAGCCCCCAAACTTTTTTTTAAATTAGTCTGGTATGATGGCATGTGCCTGTAATTCTAGTTACTTGGGAGGCTTAGGTTGGCAGCATCATGTGACCCCAGGAGTTCAATGCTGCAGTGAGCTATGATGACACCACTGCACTCCAGCCTGGTCAATAAAGAGCGAGACTCTGTCTCAAAACAAAACAAAAAACCGCCCCCCCAAAAAAAACAGATTGCTCTGGAACACAGCTGGGAAGCCTGAAGCCTGACTTTAAAGAAAGGGGCTGTGCGTGGCTGACTTCTGATCTCTTGGGATTGGAGTACAGGAAGGGAAGAGAAAAAAAAGTGGAACAGAAAAGGTCTTGTTTGAGTGTGACTGTTGTGAGCTGGTGTCAAATTTGTTGGATGTTTAACGCTGCCAGCTCTTTGGTATTTTGGTGTGTTGGTGAGTTTTCTGAGGCTCTCCTCCCTTCAGTCACTGGGTGTCTATTACCTTCAGTCTCATTGATGAAAGCAAATACCTTTCCATTCTGTCTCACCCCTTAAGTCCTTCCGCAGCCCTCTAGGAAACTAGTGATAACCTTCAGCTTCTCTCTGTTGAGATCTATGTGCACCTCCAAATAGCAAAGCCCTTCTGGGTGGGATTTTTTCTTTTTTTGTTTTTGTTTGTTTGTTTTTGAGACAGGGTCTCACTCTGTTGCCCAGGCTGGAGTACAATGGCGTGATCACAGCTCACTGCAGCCTCGACCTTCCAGATTCAGGTGATCCTCCTATCTCAGTCCCCCAGGTAGCTGGGACTACAGGCACACACCACCACATTCAGCTAAAATTTTTTTTAAGAGATGGGGTGGGGGGGGTCTCACTTGTTGCCCAGGCTGGTCTTGAACTCTTGGCCTCAAGTGATCCACCTGCCTTGATCTCCCAAAGTGCTGGGATTACAGGCATGAGCCACTGCACCTGGCTAACCCCTCCAATCTTAAAGCTTAAAACTTACATCTGTTTTATCTGAATTCCTTCCTCAATAAAGGACACCCAAGTCTCTCAAAAAGTATCAAAGACAGCCAGGCATGGTGGTTCACACCTGTAATCCCAGCACTTTGGGAGGCCGAGGCAGGCGGATCACGAGGTCAGGAGGTCGAGACCATCCTGGCTAACACGGTGAAACCCTGTCTCTACTAAAAAAATACAAAAAAATTAGCCAGGCGTGGTGGCGGGCACCTATAGTCTCAGCTACTCTGGAGGCTGAGGCAGGAGAATGGCGTAATCCTGGGAGGCAGAGCTTGCAGTGAGCTGAGATCGCCCCACTGCACTCCAGCCTGGGCGACAGAGACTCCATCTCAAAAAAAAAAAAAAAAAAGTATCAAAGACTTGAAACTCACCAGACCATCGCACCCAGACAATGAGACTCCAGGCCCCTCATTCATCATGATTGCTTCCTTACCCCCTCCCGAGTTCCTCTTTTCTCAGAGGTAGTTACATTTCTTCCCTGCTGTTTAAGCCCCTAATTTTAGTCTGTCAGGGAGATGGATTTGAGACTTGTCTCCCCTCTCCTGGCCTGCAGCACCCAATTAAAGCCTTCTTCTTTGGCAAGAATCATCGTCTCAATGGTTGGCTTTCTGTGCAGCGAGCGGCAGGACCCAGACTGAATCCCTGGGGTTTCAGTAACACACTGATGTAGCCCCCTTGCTACTCAAAGTATGGACCATGGTCCAACAGCACAATCATCATCTGAGAACTTAAGGTAAATTGTCAGGCCCCACCCCAGCCCTGCTGAATCAGAATCTGCATTTTATTTTATTTTATTTTATTTTTTGGATGGAGTCTCACTCTGTCACCCTGCCACTCTGCATGATCTCGGCTCACTGCAACCTCTGCCTCCCAGGTTCAAGTGATTCTCCTGCCTCAGTCAGCCTCCCGAGTAGCTAGGATTACATGCATGGGCCACTGTGCCCAGGTAATTTTTTTTTTTGAGACGGAGTCTTGCTCTGTTGCCCAGGCTGGAGTGCAGTGGTGTGATCTCAGCTCACTGCAAGCTCCGCCTCCTGGATTCACACCATTCTCCTGCCTCAGCCTCCCGAGTAGCTAGGACTACAGGTGCCCGCCACCACGCCCAGCTAATTTTTTGTATTTTTAGTAGAGACGGAGTTTCACCGTGTTAACCAGGATGGTCTGGATCTCCTGACCTCATGATCTGCCAGCCTCGGCTTCCCAAAGTGCTGGGATTACAGGCGTGAGCCACCATGCCTGGCCTTTTTTTTTTTGAGACAGAGTCTTGCACTGTCGCCCAGGCTGGAGTGCAGTGTCTTGATCTCAGCTCACCACAACCTCCAACTTCCAGTTTCAAGCAATTCTCCTGCCTCAGCCTCCTGAGTAGCTAGGATTACAGGTGCCAGCCACCACACCCGGCTAATTTTTGTTTTTTTGTGTTTTTAGTAGAGATGGGGTTTCACCATGTTGGCCAGGCTGGTCTCAAACTCCTTACCTTGTGATCAGCCCGCCTCAGCCTCCCAAAGTGCTGGGATTACAGGTGTGAGCCACCACACCCGGCCTAATTTTTGTATTATTAGTAGAGATGGGGTTTCACCATGTTGGCCAGGCTGTTCTTGAACTCCTGACCTCAAGTGATCCACCTCCTTGGCTTCCCAGAGTGCTGGGATTACAGGTGTGAGCCACCACGCCTGGCCAGAATCTGCATTTTAACAAGATATGATGTGTATGCTCATTAAAGTGAGAAATGCTGGCTTAGCACATTTTCTAGAATGTGATTTTTTGATGATTCCAGTGAAACTGACATTTTTAACAGGAAAAGAAAAAGAAATCAAGGTCGTGGGCTGGCCATATTCTCGCCATGTTCTTTTGCACTGGCCCTCAGTTCAAGCCTTGCGTTAGAATCTCCATGGACTTTCCTCAAACAGCATGAGTCTAGGCCTCAGATCTGATTTGAGGGTTTCAGAGAAGGGGGTCTGTCATCTATGAATTTTGAAGTATCTCTCCAGGTTAAGCTCCCAGTTAAGATTCCCTGATCAGACAGTACAGGGTACTTAGCTGCCTCATACCAAGTTAATTTTTTAAATTGCAAAATTTCTTGAGATATAATATCGGATAAGAAGTGATCCTTGGCTGGGCTTGGTGGCCCATGCCTATAATCACAGTACTTCCGGAGACCAAGGCTGGAGGATTGCTTGAGGCCAGGAATTTGAGACTAGCCTGGGCAATGTAGTGAGACCCCTGTCTCTACAAAACAAACAAACAAAAAAGCTGGGCATGGTGGCACACACTTGTAGTCCTAGCTACTCGGGAGGCTGGAGGCCCAGGAGTTTGAGGCTGGAGGGAGCTATGATCATGCCTCTGCACTCCAGCCAGGGTGACAAAGCAAGACACTGTCTCATGAAAAAAAAAGAAAGAAAAAGGTGACCCTTGGCTGTTTTTCAGAAGCGCAGGGGAAAAGGGGTCATATTTGGAACCTGGATTCTTCTCCATGGCCTCCAAACCTGGAGGAGTGTGGTCCCTCTGGAAGTGTCCAGTTGTGGCATTTCCCTGGTACTTGGAGGACCCAAGGAACTGCTCATTCCACCATCACACCCTGTCCTGCACACACCCCTGCTCAAACTCTGGCCACCAACCCAGGCACAGCTCACAGTCCAGGCTTGCTCAATTCCTCTGCCTCCTCAGACAAGAATGGCTGGAAAAAGTGACAGGGCAGGGTTTCTTGGAAAGCAATCTGGCCTGCATCAGCATTAATGATTAAAACGTGTCCTCATGTGGCAATTCCCCAACTGAGAGCCCATTCCTAAGCTATTTTAACTCATCAGTTCAGAAATTCTAGAGTCCCTGTCCTTAGTTTTTGAGGTCTGGATGCTTTTTTTTCCAGAGGATCCAATCGAGACACAATTGACTAGAAGGCTTCAGAAGCCACAGAAAATACCTACCTACCTATGGCCGGGCGCAGTGGCTCACGCCTGTAATCCCAGCATTTTGGGAGGCCGAGGCGGGCAGATCACAAGGTCAGGAGATCGAGACCATCCTGGCTAACACAGTAAAACCCCATCTCTACTAAAAATACAAAAAAATTAGCTGGGCTTGGTGGCGGGCGCCTGTAGTCCCAGCTACTTGGGAGGCTGAGGCAGGAGAATGGTGTGAACCCGGGAGGCGGAGCTTGCAATGAGCCGACATCGCACTACCGCACTCCAGCCTGGGTGACAGAGACAGATTCTGTCTCAAAAAAAAAAAAAAAAATCCACCTGCCTATTATCTATCTGTCTATCTCATTATCTACTTATCATCTATCTACCTATCCATCCATCTATCTGTCATCCAACTATCTATCCATCTATATACCTATCATCTATCTATTATCTATTTATCCATCTATCTATATACCTATCATCCGTCCATCCATCATCTATTTATCTATCCATCTATCTATATACTTATCATCCATGCATCTATCATCTATCAATCATCTATCATCTATCTATCCATCTATCTAGATACCTATCTTCCGTCTATCATCTATCCATCTACCTATATACCTATTATTTATCATCTATCTATTATCTATTTATCCTTCTATCTATATACCTATCATTCATCCATCCTCTACCTGTCCATCTAGTTATATAGCTATTATCTTTTTTTTTTTTTTGAGACAAAGTCTCGCTCTTATCCCCCATGCTGGAGTGCAATGGCACGATCTCAGTTCACTGCAACCTTCGCCTCCCAGGTTCAAGTGATTCTCCTGCCTCAGTCTCCTGAGTAGCTGGGATTTCAGGCATGCACCACCATGCCTGGCTAATTTTTGTATTTTTAGTAGAGACGGGGTTTCATCATGTTGGCCAGGCTGGTCTTGAACTCCTGACCTCAGGTGATCCACCCGCCTTCCGGCCTCCCAAAGTGCTAGAATTACAGGTGTGAGCCACTGCCCCCAGCCATTTTTTTTTTTTTTTGAGATGGAGTTTCACTTTTGTTGCCCAGGGGCAGGAGTGCAATGGTGTCATCTTGGCTTACCACAACCTCTGCCTCCTGGGTTCAAGGTATTCTCCTGCCTCAGCCTCCCGAGTAGCTGGGATTACAGGCATGTACCTCCATGCCCAGCTAATTTTGTATTTTTAGTAGAGATGGAGTTTCTCCATGTTGGTCAGGCTGGTCTCAAACTCCCGACCTCAGGTGATCTGCCCTCCTCTGCCTCCCAAAGTGCTGAGATTACAGGCATGAGCCACTGCGCCTGGCGATTTCACACTTCTGATCTCCGGAGCTGTGGGAGAATAAGTTTCTGTTGTGCCAAGTCACCCAGTTTGTGGTCATCTGTTATGACAGTCTGGGAAACCAATACACCTCCAGCAGCTCACGGCCAGTCCACCTAGGACTGTGTGTGTATCCTGTGGGCATCATGCAAACCACCCCCACTCCCATTCCACCTTGACTGCCAGCCTAGGGTTGTGTCCAACAGCACAGCAGATATTTGCAGGGAGCAGAGCAACAGGCCAGGGACCGGTGGAAGGGCCTGGCTAGTGGGGCCAGGCCAGGCCCAGGTGTCTGGAACCTTGCAGATTTGCTGCACCCTGGAAATATCCTGGAGATAATATTTACTCTAATGTAATTTACTCTCAAATACTGTACTTCTGCCTTTGGTGCTTTCTCCCCTCTACCTCCTGACCAGGGATCACTAGAGGCCATTGGGGAGTGAGGAGGGAAAGAGCCTTCCTTTTGCCTCTTGCAAACTGGCCTCTCTCCAGGGCATGATCCCAGCAAAGAGCCAGCCCCATTGTGGTAGCCCAGAAGTGCCTGGTGGGCGTTGAAGGGGAGTGGGGTGTCCACCACCCACCCCTTGGTGAGCTGCATGAAGGCTCCCGGCGAGGCATCCCAAATGCCTTCCCTGCTCTCTGCACAGATTCTTGTCCTGGTTGCTTTTCCTTCTCTGCCCAGCCTGGCTCTGCCACCTCCAGCGCCTCCCAGCCTGGGCACCAGCCAGCTGCACTTTCCTTGAATGACTGGCAAGTACAACAGGACCAGGCTGGAATCATCGTCAGATGGGGCACAGGATATTTCCACAGTCATGAAGTATCTCCCAACAGATTACTTATTTATCACAAAAGAAAAACTAACTTTGCAGGGGAGAAAACTGGTGAATTTCTCTTTAACCAAATGATCAATACGTCCCACTATTGGAACAAACAGACCTCATGGGCTCCTGAAACGACTGACACCCGGGAAAGTTACAACACACTTCTGGGGCACATAACTTGTGTACTTCTAGAATGAAAGCCAGAAAGAGAGAGGAAATGTTCCAGATTAAAGGAGACTAAAGTGGCACGACAGCTAACTGCAACACATCTTGCTATAAAGGACATAATTGAAACAATCAGGGAAATTGCACTATGGACTGTATAGTAGATAACAGTGTCTGTGTCATGGCGATGTTAAATTTCCTTCATTTGATCATTGTATAAGAGAATGTTCTTTTTTTTTTTTTTTTTTTTTTTTGAGAGACAGTCTTGTTCTGTCCCTTAGGCTGGAGTGCAGTTGCTCGATCTCAGCTCCCTGCAACCTCTGCTTCTCAGGTTCAAGCAATTCTCCTGCCTGAGCCTCACAAGTAGCTGGGATTACAGGTGCCCACAACCGTACTGGCTAATTTTTGTATTTTTTAGTAGAGATGGGGTTTCACCATGTTGGCAAGGCTGGTCTCAAACTCCTGACCTCAGGTAATCCTCGTGCCTTAGCCTCCCAAAGTGCTGGGGTTACAGGCATGAGCCACCAAGCCTGGCCAAGAATGTTCTCATTTTTAGGAGACACCAATGAAGTATTTAGGAGTAAAGGGACAGAGGACGGTGTCTGTAATTTCAAATGATTCAATAACATTAAACATAATAACCTATCTGTATATATAGAGAGATTAAGCAAATGAGGCAAATGTTAATTGGTGAATCAACAGTTGGACACTTGGTGAATTGTATGGATATTGGAGTTCATGGTATTCTCACAATTTTTTTCTATGTTTAAATTTTTTTCAAAATAAGGTTTTAAATAAAAACAAGTCTGGGTGCCATGGCTCATGCCTGTAATCTCAGCACTTTGAGAGGCCAAGGCAGGAGGATCCCTTGAGCTCAGGAGTTTGAGAACAGCCTGGGCAACATAGTGAAACCCGGTCTCTATTAAAAAAATTTTCCCAAGTAGCTGGGATTTATAGGCACATGCCACCATGCCTGGCTAATTTTTGTATTTTTAGTAGAGACAGGGTTTCACCACGTTGGCCAGGCTCGTCTCGAACTCCAGACCTCAGGTGATCCACCCTCCTCAGGCTCCCAAAGTGTTGGGATTACAGGCGTGAGCCACCACACCCAGTCTAAATTTTTTTTTAAAAAGCCAGGTGTGGTGGCATGTGCCTGTAGTCCCAGCTACTCTAGAGGCTAAGGTGGGAGGATTGCTTGAGCCCAGGAGGTGGAGGCTGCAGTGAACCAAGACTACACCACCACACTCCAGCCTGGACAACAGAGTGAGACCCAGTCCCAAAAAAAAAAAAAAAAGTAAAAAACAAGGCTGGGCACGGTGGCTCACGCCTATACTCCCAGCACTTTGGGAGGCCGAGGCAAGTGGATCACCTGAGGTCAGGGTTTCCAGAGTAGCCTGGCCAACATGGTGAAACCTGGTCTCTACTAAAAGTACAAATATTAGCCAGGCATGGTTGTGTACACTTGTAATCCCAGCTACTTGGGAGGCTAAGGCAGGAGAATCGCTTGAACCCAGGAGGCGGAGGTTGGTTAGCCGAGATAGCACCACCGCACTTCCTCCTGGGTAACAGAACAAGAATCTGTCTCAAAAAAAAAAAAAAGTAAAAAGTAAAAAACAAACACGAACCATAGGGCTTTTTGTCTATAGGTAACAGAGATATAGAATAAAGTGAACTGGGCCGGGCGCGGTGGCTCACGTCTGTAATCCCAGCACTTTGGGAGGCCGAGGCAGGCAGATCACCAGGTCAGATCGAGACCATCCTGGCTAACAAGGTGAAACCCCATCTCTACTAAAAAAATACAAAAATTAGCTGGGTGTGCTGGCGGGCGCCTGTAGTCCCAGCTACTCGGGAGGCTGAGGCAGGAGAATGGCATGAACCCGGCAGGCGGGGAGCTTGCAGTGAGCTGAGATTGCGCCCACTGCACTCCAGCCTGGGCAACAAAGCGAGACTCTGTCTCAAAAAAATAATAATAATAAGTAAAAAAGAATAAAGTGAATTGATGATTCTTGAGGGAAATGCCGTCCCATCGTTCAGTTGACTCCATCTCATCAAATATTCCCAGGCCTGTCATGGGCCTGTCATAACAGCTTCCTATCTATCTGATGTAGGTGAGGGTGGAGAACCACACAAATACACAAAGAAAGAGAGTACAAAGTAGATTGGGAGAAGTGCCTTAAGAAAGGAATAAATCAGACTGGGCAGGGTGGCTCATGCCTGTAATCCCTGTGCTTTAGGAGGCCGAGGCTGAAGGATCTCTTGAGGCCAAGAGTTAGAAACCAGTCTGGACAACATAGCGAGACCCCTGTCTCTACACAAAACTTAAAAATTAGCTGGATGTGGTGACGTGTGCCTGTGGTCCTAGCTACTCAAGAGGCTGACGAGGGAGGATCACTTGAGCCCAGGAGTTTGAGGTTGCAATGAGCTATGATCATGCCAGTGCACTCCGGCCTGGGTGACAGTGAAATATAATCTCTAAAAAAGAAAGAAAGAAAACGAAAGGAAGAAAGGAAGGAAGGAAGGAAAATAGGGAGGGAGGGAAGGATGGAGGGAGGGAGGGAGGGAAGGAAGGAGAGAGGGAGGGAAGGAAGGAGATAGGGAAGAAAGGAGGGAAGGAAGGAGATAGGGAGGGAAGGAAGGGAAGGAAGGAAGGAAGGAAGGAAATAAATCAGGGTACAGATCACAAGAGTCGTAGAGATGGGTCCCTGCCTATCGGAATTGTCTTTCGTGGTGTGATGTGAAGGTTGGCTGAAGTTTTGCTGGCAGAGTTATGCTGGGAAACACAGGTGGATGGAGCTGCAGGAGGAAAGGAATAGAAGCGGAGCCCTGGGCACACTAAGGGATGAGTAAGTCATCATGGCCTTGAGTGCTTTTACTAAGCATGCTTTTCTTTCTTTCTTTTCCCTCCCTCCCTTCCTTCCTTCCTTCCTCCCCCTTCCCTTCCCTTCCCCTCCCCTCCCCTCCCGTCCCCTCTCCTTTCTCTCTCCCTTCCTTCCTTCCTTTTTCTTTCTTTCTTTCCTTCCTTCCTTCCTTCCTTCCTTCCTTCCTTCCTTCCTTCCTTCCTTTCTTTCTCTTTCCCCTTCCTTCCTTCCTTCCTTCCTCTCTTTCTCTCTTTCTTTCCTTTTCTTTGTTTTGTTTTTTTTTTTGACAGAGTCTCACACTGTTGCCCAGGCTGGAGTGCAGTGACGCGATCTCAGCTCACTGCAACCTCCACCTCCCAAGTTCAAGTGATTCTCTGCCTCAGCTTCCCAAGTAGCTGGGATTACAGGCATACGCCACCATGCCCGGATAATGTTTGTATTTTTAGTAGAGACAGGGTTTCACTATGTTGGCCAGGCTGGCCTCAAACTCCTGACCTTGTGATCTGTCTGCCATAGACTCCCAAAGTGCTGGGATTACAGGCATGAGCCACTGTGCCTGGACTCATGCTTTTCCTTTACCCTTCTTAGGTTCAGTGACTGGGGCCTGCAAATTAAACAGACAAAAGACAGATTAACAGGAGAAATTTTTTTTTTTTCCTTTAATACAGAGTTTTGCTCTTGTTGCCCAGGCTGGAGTGTAATGGCATGATCTCGGCTCACTGGAACCTCTGCCTCCCGGGTTTAAGCGATTCTCCTGCCGCAGCCTCCCAAGTTGCTGGGATTACAGGTGCCTGCCACGACGCCCAGCTAATTTTTTGTATTTTTAGTAGAGATGGGTTTTTGCCATGTTGGCCAGGCTGGTCTCGATCTCCTGACCTCATGTGATCCACCTGCCTCAGCCTCCCAAAGTGCTGGGATTACAGGCCTGAGCCACTGCACCTAACTGAGAAAAGGTTTATTTCACATGCATCTGAGAACCAACAAAAAAACCCAGCTGGCTCTTTAAGTATTTAGAATTAAAGATTTACATATCTAATTTACTAGTGGGGAGGAAGGAGGGAGATATGGGCTTTCACCTACAATAAACTGTGGGAAGTTAAATATCTGAGGGAAACTAATGGAAGAGAAAGGTTATTTAGTAAGGTTTCTTTCTTTTTTTTTCTTTTCTTTTGGAAATGGAGTCTTACTCTGTCACCCAGGCTGCAGTGCAGTGGCGCAATCTCTGCTCACTGCAACCTCCACTTCCTGGGTTCAAGCAGTTCTCCTGCCTCAGCCTCCTGAGTAGCTGGGATTATAGGCACCTGCCACCATGCCCAGATAATTTTTGTATTTCTAGTAGAGACCGCATTTCACCACATTGGACAGGCTGGTCTCAAACTCCTGACCTCAGGTGATCCTCCAACCTCGGCCACCCAAAGTCCTGGGATTACAGGGGTGAGCCACCACGTCTGGCCAATTTAGTAAGGTTTCTTAGTCTTGTGTGATAAGAGTTATCTGCTAGTTGCTTTCAGAGAACAACTAATATAAATTTCCTTTACGAAAGGGAAATTTATGCTCCAATTTTAGGGAGAAAGGGGAAGACAGAGAGCTCCTATGTTTGCTGTTTGTTTCTTAATTGCCTTCGGCTCAAAATAAGCCTTATGCCAAAATGGCATATTTGAGGGTGGCATATTCTGAACCCTTCATATGTAATTGATCACCAGATTCTCCACTAAACTGTAAGCCCAATAATGGTAGCAGGGCCCGGTCATGGTGGCTCACGGCTGTAATCTCAGCATGTTGGAAGGCTGAGGGAGGCAGATCACTTAAGGCCAGGAGTTCGAGACCCGCCTGACCAACATGGTGAAACCCCGTCTCTACTAAATACAAAAATTAGCCAGGCATGGTGACACGCGCCTGTAATCTCAGCTACTCGAGAGGCTGAGGCATGAGAATCACTTGAACCCAGGAGGCGGAGGTTGCACTGAGCCAAGATTGTACAACTGCACTCCAGCCTGGGCAACGGAGTGAGACTCTGTCTCAAAAAAAAAAAAAAAAAAAGGAATGGTAGCAGGGACTGTCTTGGTCACTGCTGTGTCCTCAGAGCCTAGAACAGTGCCTGGTGTGGGGCTTTGGCAAAGCCTGTGTGCTGGTGTCCCCTGGATCCTGCAAGAGTCTTCTAGCCCTTGAAGAAGGTGCTTGCCCTGGGAAAGGGACTTGGGAGGGTGGCAAGAAGCTGGTAGCCCTTCTAGCCTCTTTTTGTTTGTTTGTTTTTTTGAGACAGAGTCTCGCTCTGTTGCTCAGGCTGGAGTGCAATGGCGTGATTTCGGCTCACTGCAACCTCTACCTCCCCTGTTCAAGTGATTCTCTTGCCTCAGCCTCCCAAGTAGTTGGGATTACAGGTGTCCACCACTATGCCTGGTTAATTTTTGTATTTTTAGTAGAGACAGGGTTTTAGTATGTTGGTCAGGCTGGTCTCGAACTCCTGATCTCAGGTGATCCACCTGCCTTGGCCTCTGAAAGTGCTGGGATTACAGGTGTAAGCCACTGCACCCTTTTTTTTTCTTTCCTTTTTGACAAAGTCTCACTCTTGTTGCCCAGGCTGGAGCACAGTGGCGCAATCTTGGCTCACTGCCACCTCTGCCTCCCAGGATTAAGCAATTCTCCTGCCTCAGCGTCCTGAGTAGCTGGGATTACAGGTGCCCACCACCACACCTGGCTAATTGTTGTGTTTTTAGCAGAGATGGGTTTCACCATGTTGGCCAGGCTGGTCTCAAACTCCCGACCTCAAGTGAACTGCCTGCCTTGGCCTCCCAAAGTGCTGGGATTACAGGTGTGAGCCACTGCACCTGGCCCCTTCCAGCCTCTTTAACCAGGGAGGGAAAGCTAAGCCACAGGAGGAAATGGCACTCTTGAAGCAGGTCGCCAGGGGCCTAAGCAGGCCGTCCAAGGGGTAGGGTGCAGGTAGGGTAGTGTGGCAGTCAGTCCTGGTCTGCGCTGGTGTCACTGGTCAGCATCTGTGGACAGGGAAGGGCCAGCTGCTCCCTGAAGCACCTCCCACTCAGCCTCTCCTTCCTGGAGCTTCTCACCACTCTGAGAGTCCTAGACTTGCCTAAGAGGGGAAGGCATACCCCTGGAACTATTCCACCCCATACTTAGAAGCTAGGTGCTTAGAAGCACCCAGCGCCCCTCTTTAGTGTAATCTAAGCCCCTCATCCTATATCTCCAACTCAGCAGTTCTCAAACCTGGTAGAGGAACAGAATTTATTGGGGAGCCTTTTTTTTTTTTTTGAGACAGAGCCTCACTCTGTCGCCCAGGCTGGAGTGCAGTGGTGCAATCCCAGCTCACTGCAACCTCCATCTCCCTAGTTCAAGCAATTCCCCTGCCTCAGCCTCCCAAGTAGCTGAGATTACAGGTGCACGCTACCATGTCCGGTTAATTTTTTTGTATTTTTTATATTTTTTAGTAAAGACAGGGTTTCACCATGTTGGCCAAACTTGTCTCGAGCTCCATACCTCAGGCAATCCACCTGCCTCAGCCTCCCAAAGTGCTGGGATTACAGGAGTGAGCCACTGTGCCTGGCCCTTTTTTTTTTTTTTTTTTTTTTTTGTAGACAGATCTTCCTCAGTTGCCCAGGCTGGAGTGCAGTGGCATGATCACAGCTCACTGCAGTCTCAAACTCCTGGGCTCCAGCAATTCTCCCACCTCAGCCTCCCAAGTAGCTGGGACTACAGGTGCACACCACCACACCTGGTTAACTATTTTTGTAGAGAGTGGGTCTTACTATGTTGTCCAGGCTGGTCTCAAACACCTGGCCTCAAGAGATGTTCCTGCCCAGCCTCCCAAGTAGCTGGGACTGCAGGCATGCATTACTACACTGGCTAACTTTTTTTTTTTTTTGAGACAGAGTCTCGCTCTGTCGCCCAGGCTGGAGTGCAATGGCATGATTTCGGCTCACTGCAAGCTCCACCTCCTGGATTCACGCCATTCTCCTGCCTCAGCCTCCCGAGTAGCTGGGACTACAGGCGCCCGCCACCATGCCTGGCAAATTTTATTTTTGTATTTTTAGTAGAAATGGGATTTCACTGTGTTAGCCAGGATGGTCTCGATCCCCTGACCTCGTGATCTACCCTCCTCGGCCTCCCAAAGTGCTGGGATTAAAGGCGTGAGCCACCGTGCCTGGCCCATTCTGGCTAATTTTTAAAAATTTTTTTGTAGAGCTGAGGATCTCCCTATGTTGTCCAGGCTGGTCTTGAACTCCTGGCTTCAGGCGATCCTCATGCCTTGGCCTCCCAACGTGTTGGGATTACAGGCGTGAGCCACTGTGCCTGACCTTTGTTTTTTTTTTTTTAAGTGGAGACAGGGTCTCTCTATGTTGCCCAGGCTGGAACTCCTGGCCTTAAGTGATCCTCTGTCTTGGCCTCCCACAGTGCTAGGATTACAGGCGTGAACCACCTCGCATAGTTCTATTATTATTATTCTTTTTAAATGAAGTGTAACAAACATACAGAAAAGACCAGGCATGGTGGCTCACTCCTATAATCCCAGCACTTTGGGAAGCTGAGGCAGGAGGATCACTTGAGCCCAAGAAATTCAAGACCAGCCTGGGCAATACAGTGAAACCCCCGTCTCAATTAAAGAAAAATAAAATAAAATTTAAAAAAATACAGAAAAGCCCACATGTATATGTAGCTTGATGAAATTTCACAAAGTAAATAAACCAGCTAATTGCTCCCATTTCAAGAAACAGCATATCACCAGCCAGTCTCTCTGAAGACACCCTAATGCTGCCCGTCAATCACTAGCCCACCCCATCTCACTGTGGGGGTTGTGGGGAGTTCCTCCCAGATCATCTGCTTCCTAAAACTGCGGAGAGGCTGGTGTTTACTTTACTAAGCTATGCAGGTAGTTTAGATGCATGGTGAGGTTTAGAAAACATTCCTGGAAGCCTTACAATCTCCTTGGTCATAAGTAAAACTAGAGGATGCTTTGCTCTCAGCCTGGAACACAGCACAGCTGTCTGTCTGGGTTTCCCTATGGAGCAGTGGACATTTCCTGAATCTGGGGTCTGCAGAGCACATGGTGGCAGCTCCCGGGTTCAGGAAGCCCAGTTGGTCGGCTCCAGCCTGGGCATGTGGCCCTCTCTCCCTGGCAGGAGTTGCATGAAGAGGTATTTTTGGAAGGTGCAGGAATTCTGTAGCCACTTGGAAAATGCCTGCTCATAGGCTGGGCTGAATTTTCATTTTCAAATGATGATGTGGCTGAGGGGCCTGACCTGCCCAGTTTTCCAGGATCTAGGGGTGGAGAAAGTCAGGAGTCCTGCTCACATTTTTCTTTTTCTTTAAATTGTATCACCCTTTTCTTTCTGCCTTAAATCCCTGTATCCCAGAAGCTTCAAGAGAACTGTGAGGTGCTTCCCGCAGGCCATTGACTCTCTGATGCTGTATGCAGGTAAGTGTTTCATCTCATCCCAAATTAGCCAGGGCTTTTAGGTCACTTTAGGTGGAGTGAAAGCTTAACTCTCAGTTCTCCGTCAAAGATCTTTGGCTCTGGAGTCCTCTCCTGGAGTCTCCCTGGCCTTTCCTGGCAGGACCCTGAGTGACCCAAGTGTCCTCCTGTTCTCCCTGGGTCCCGGCTCCTGGCTCCCGTGCCCTGCTGGCCTTCTTTGACAATTGCAGTGTTTGCTGTTCATCTAGCCATTCATTACCTGTCCATCCGTCCATCCAAACATCCATCCAGTGCCAGGCCAGTTGCTGCTGGTTGTGACAGACACATTCATCTCCTTCTTTTTTTTTTTTTTTTTTGAGATGGAATCTTGCTCTGTCTCCCAGGCTGGAGTGCAGTGGTGCAATCTCAGCTCACTGCAACCGCCACCTCCTGGGTTCAAGTGATTCTCCTGCCTCAGCCTCCCGAGTAGCTGGGATTACAGGTGCCCACCACCACACCCAGCTAATTTTTGTATTTTTAGTAGAGATGGGGTTTCACCATGTTGGCCAGGCTGGTCTCGAACTTCTGACCTCAAGTGATCTGATCGCCTCGCTTCTTGAAATTCTGGGATTACAGTCGTGAGCCACTGCACCTGGCCTCAAATTTTTCATTTCTGAGGGACTCCCCATCTCTGCCATTTCCCACCTCTGCCACCATCTTCCCTCCGTGCCAGACCCGAGAATGAAAATGCCATGAAGAGAGCTTTGCTGCATTTGTGTCCCTTTTTTTTTTTTCTGAGACAGAGTCTCGCTCTGTCGCCCAGGCTGGAGTGCAGGGGCACTATCTCGGTTCACTGCAGCCTCTGCCTCCTGGGTTCAAGGAATCTGACTGCCTCAGCCTCCTGAGTTACTGGGACTACCGCCGCGCGGCACCATGCCCGGCTAATTGTTGTATTTTTAGAGAGGAGGTTTCACCATGCTGGCCAGAGGTTTCACCATGCTGGCCAGGATGGTCTTGATCTCCTCACCTCGTGATCTGCCCGCTTCGGCCTCCCAAAGTGCTGGGATTACAGGCATGAGCCACTGCGCGGGGCCTGTGTCCTTCTTAAGAGCAAAGCAATCCAACAACCCCCAAAGGAAAAGTGCTGGAGGACAATGCTGCCTTTTCAGTTCTCAAAGCCTGCACATTCCTAGGTATGTTGCATAGACTTTCCCTCCAGGAGGTGAGGTTGCTGTAGTAAGGAGTCCTCACTCATCCTTGGCCAGGTCTTCTCTAGAGGTGAGTTCCCAAGGTAGAAGCGGTGCAAAGGCTGACCTAGAGGAGAGAGACTCGCAGCTCTCACTGGGATGGCAGCAAGCACTGGCCCATTTTCTCCTCTTCTGGGCTCTGCCAGGGTTGCGTAGGCTGTTTGGAAGAAAACAGGCTGTGAGCCCTTTGAATTGCCTGAAGATGGGGCAAAGCCATCTATACACAGGTGAAGTTATCTTTTTTTTTTTTTTTTTGAGATGGAGTTTCGCTCTGTCACCCAGGCTGGAGTGCAGTGGCGCAATCTCGGCTCACTGCAAGCTCCGCCTCCGGGATTCACGCCATTCTCCTGCCTCAGCCTCCCGGGTAGCTGGAACTACAGGCGCCCGCCAGCACACCCGGCTAATTTTTTTGTATTTTTAGTAGAGACGGGGTTTCACCGTGTTAGCCAGGGTGGTCTTGATCTCCTGACCTCATGATCCATCCGCTTCGGCCTCCCAAAGTGCTGGGATTGCAGGCGTGAGCCACCGCGCCCGACCGAGGTTATCTTTTTTTAATTTTTTTGAGACAGAGATTTGCGCTGTCGCTCAGGCTGGAGTGCAGTTGCACAGTCTCCGCTCACCGCAGCCTCCACATCCTGAGTTCAAGCGATTCTCCTGCCTCAGCCTCCCGAGTTGCTGGGATTACAGGTGTGCCCCCACCACACCTGGCTAATTTTTGTGTTTTTAGTAGAGATTGGGTTTTACCATGTTGACCAGGCTGGTCTCGAACTACTGATCTCAAGTGATCTGCCCTCCTCAGACTCCCAAAGTGCTGGCATTACAGGTGTGAGCCACCATACCTGGCTGATGCTCTCTGGTGAGGTGATCTAATTCTGGGCTGATCACCTGGAAAGGTAAAGCCCGGGAGAGAAAATAGAAACGCAGAAAGAGTGTTCAGAATCTATGAGGCTCATTAAATTACACAGAGGAATAGAAATGTGGTGTGAATCAGATGTGCATACAGTCTTGGACAGTTTTTCAGGAACAAGTTTTCCTTTAAAAAAAAGTTATGTATTCATTCCTTGTAAATAGGTAATCCAGGCCAGGCGTGATGGCTCATGCCTATAATCCCACCACTTTGGGAGGCCAGCGTTGGAGGACTGCTTGAGCCCAGGAGTTCAAGACCAGTTTGGGCAACATAGCAAGATCCCATCTCTACCAAAAAAAAAAAAAAAAAAAAAGTAAAAGGCTGGGCACGGTGGCTTACACCTGAAATCCCAGCACTTTGGGAGGCCAAGGTGGGCAGATCACATGAGGCCAGGAGTTCGAGACCAGCCTGGCCAACATGGTGAAACCCTGTCTCTACTAAAAATACAAAAATTAGCTGGGCGTGGTGGTGGGCACCTGTAATCCCAGCTACTCGAGAGGCTGATGCAGGAGAATTGCTTGAACCTGGGAGGCAGAGGTTGCAGTCAGCCGATATCATGCCACTGCACACCAGCCTGGGCAACAGAGCGAGACTCTGTCTAAAAAAAAAAAAATTAGCAGGGAGTGGGTGGCGTGCACCCGTAGTCTTAGCTACTCAGGAGGCTGAGGTGGGAGGATCACTTGAGCCCAGGCGTTTGAGGCTGCAGTGAGCTATGACTATGCCACTGTACTCCAGCCTGGGTGACAGAATGGGACCCTGCCTATTAAAATAAGAAAAAAAAAAAAAAAAGGTAATCCAAGCATATAGCACATAATTTTTAAAGGTGCCCAAGAGTACATAGCAAAGAATTAGTCTCTTTCCTATTCCTGTGCCCAAGTCCTTCAGTTTCCCTCCCAGAGACAACACTGTTACCAATTTAATGTGTGCATCTTTCTTGATATTTCCTCTGAAAATAACAAGTGTGTGTGTATGTGTATTTTAAATATATACAAATGGGTATATTATACACACTGTTTTGAACTTTGTTCTTTTCACTTGAGTATATTTTGGAGTTTTTTTTCCTTCTAGCACATATACTATATGTGTTGGGGCAGATTTAGAAAGCAGGAAAAGTTCATCTTGTTCTCAATAACCCTGAGCTTTGCTTCAGATCAAGCTGTTTCTTACTTCTGCCTCAGAGGCTGGACCCTGTCAGAGGCTGGACCCTGCTTCTTACTTCTGCCTCAGAGTGTAGTCCCCGGATCACCTGAAGCTGTCCTGCTCAGTGAGACATCCTGCCGTATGACAGGTTTCACTGAAAGGATCGTGTCCTTTCTTCTTACTGAATTCCCCACATCTAGAATTCGTTCTCACAGTTTAATACGTGCTAGGAGGACCAGTGTCAGCTCCCTATGTGGCTACTCAATTCTTTTTCTAGGTCTTATAGGTGGGGGAAGGATTTTCTGGGCAGTGTGGGAGGTTATCTCAGATCTCCATCTCTACTTTGTGGAAAGAGCCTGGCAGGGGCTGTGCACCGGTGGTGGCTTCCGTATTACTGAGGCCATGGTGAGTCCTTTTCCTGAAGAGGTCTGAAATGTAGAAAGCAGAATGTAACTTGGCCCTTGCTTAACATTAAAAGACTGGTTAGAGGATCGCTTGAGGTCAGAAGTTCGAGACTAGCTTGGGCAACATAGTGAGACCCTGTCTCTAAAAACAAAACAAAAGGTGGGCGCGGTGGCTCACACCTGTAATCCCGTCACTTTGGAAGGTGGAGCCGGGCAGATCATCTGAGGTCAGGAGTTTGAGACCAGCCCGGCCAACATGGCAAAACCCTGTCTCTAATAAAACTACAAAAAAATTAGCTGGGCATGGTGGCAGGCGCCTGTAATCCCAGCTACTGGGGAGGCTGAGGCTGAAGAATCACTTGAACTCGGGAGGCGGAGGTTGTAGTGAGCCAAGGTCATACATACCATTGCACTCCAGCCTGGGCAACAAGAGCGAAACTCCATCTCAAAACAAAAACAAACAAACAACAAAATTGCTGTCTACCATCTTATAGTCAGTTTTCTTATCTATCTCTGTGTGTGTGTGTGTATACACCCACACACATATATACACACACACACATATACACACAAACACACACACACACACACATATATATAATTATTATTTTTTTTTTTGGGTGAGAGGCAAGGTCTCAGTCTGTCACCCAGGCTGGAGTGCAGTGGTGCCATCATGGCTCACTGCAGCCTAGAACTCCTGGGCTCACGGGACCCTCCTGCCTGGGTTTCCCAAACTGCTGGGATTACAGGCGTGAGCCACCACACCCAGTCAGCTGATTATCTGTAGAAGGAGATATCATATGTACCTTAGACAGTTGCTGTAAAGATCAAATGAGGTCCACACAAAAACTTCTTTTTTTTTTTTTTTTTGAGACGGAGTCTCACTCTGTTGCCCAGGCTGGAGTGCAGTGGCACAATCTTGGCTCACTGCAACCTCCACCTCCCGGGTTCACGCCATTCTCCTGCCTCTGCCTCCCGAGTAGCTGGGACTACAGGCGCCAGCCACCATGCCTGGCTAAATTTTTGTATTTTTAGTAGAGACGGGGTTTCACCGTGTTAACCAGGATGGTCTCGATCTCCTGACCTTGTGATCCGCCCACCTCGGCCTCTCAAACTGCTGGGATTACAGGCGTGAGCCACTGCACCCGGCCACACACAAAAACTTCTACACAAATGTTCATAGCAGCATCATGTATAATAGCCAAAAAAGTAGAAACAGATGTCCATCAATGGATTAATGGATAAATAAAAGATGATGTCCAGCCAGGCACGGTGGCCCATGCCTGTAATCCCAGCACTTTGGGAGGCCAAGGCAGGCAGATCACTTGAGGCCAGGAGTTCAAGATCAGCCTGGGCAACTTGATGAAACCCCGTCTCTACTAAAAATATAAAAATTAGCCAGGCATGGTGGCACATGCATGTAATTCTAGCTACTTTGGAGGCGGAGGCATGAGAATCACTTGAGCCCAGGAGGTGGAGGTTGCAGTGAGCCAAGATCACATAACTCCACTCCAGCCTGGGAGACAGAGTGAGACTCTTCAAAAAAAAAAAAGGTGATGTCTGTATAATGGACTATTATTCGGCCGTAACAAGGAATGAAGTGCCGATACATGCTACAACATGGATGAACTTTGAAAATATTATACTGTGTGCAAAGGAAGGTAGTTACCTTCCCGGGTTCAAGCAATTCTCCTGCCACAGCCTCCCCAGTAGCTGGGACGACAGGCGTCCGCCACCATGCCCGGCTAATTTTTGTATTTTTAGCAGGGACGGGGTTTCACTATGTTGGCCAGGCTGGTCTCGAACTCCTGACCTCAGGTGATTCACCAGCTTTGGCTTCCCAAAGTGCTGTGATTAGAGGCATGAGCCACCCCACCTGGCCTAGCAGAGAGCAATTTTGAATACAGCTGTTAGATTCTGCACTCATGCCTTCTCTAATCCATGTCACTGGAGTAGAAATAATTGCTTTGACAGAACCTGGTGTAGATGTGTCTGTAGGAAGAAACTGTAAAATGAATGGATCATTTTGTGAAATATCTGCCCTTTCCCCACCTTTCTTTTGCTTCTTTGCCTTTTTCTCCCTAGTTTTCATTTCTTTCTTTTAGGGCGTCAGCCCCCCACCTCTGTGGTTGGGAGGGACTATTGCACGTCTACACTCTCGTGGGGATGAAATAGTGTTTGAGTTCGTTATTTGCATTTGCGCGTTATCTCCCCGAGGAGATGACAGCTTCTCTGCCAGCAGCGGGCAAAGGTGGGCTCTGAAGCAGAGGAGAGGAATTATCAGGAAAAGCTCATTTTCTTCTCCTGTCCTAGGGTTTCACTGATGAAGGCCTCTGGGACACCCACGTTGGGGGTGGGGGCGGTGAGGACCGCCACCTGCCCGCGGCTCCCCTGCAGCCAGGCCACGCGCGCTGTTGCTAGGGCAACCACCCGGCCAGGCCTGCGGCTGCCGGGAAGCCCCCTCGGGAGCGCGCACGGGAAGGGCTGTGGGGGCGCTGGCCGGCTGCGACGTCAGACCCCCGCCCCTCGGCGCCTGCCGGACCCAGCTCCATTCCCAGCCGCGCCTCCTTCGGTGGGCAGCCGGCCGGAACTCACGAATCAGAGCAGCCGACACATCGTCCGCTCAGCCAATCGTAGCAGATGTGTGATCCCGCCACCTCCCCGGACCCTGGCGGTTGTCGCTGAGTTGGCGACCGCGGGAGACGCTGCTGAGGCGGCTTCGGTTGCGGGTCGGAACGGCGCTGCTCTGCGGGGCCGGTCCAGGCTGGCAGCTGCCGGCGCTTGGCGGTGAGGGCGGGCTCCCGAGTGGCCCCCCACCGAAGGCGGTGGGACCAGCGGCTGAGGCCAGGATGCCGTCCAGGCGGCGCGGCGGCTCCTCACTCATCCCAGGTAAGGGGGACGCGGCGCTCGCTGCGGCTCCGCTCCCCTCTCGTCTCCTCACACCCGGCCCTGTGCCCCGTCCTGGCATCCCTTGGCCCCTTGTCGCCTTCTGCTCGGTGCCTCCCGGTTGTCCAACCCCGCCCCCGAGCGCGGAGCCCCGGGTCTGGCCCGTCCGGCCCCTGCTCCCACGCCCCTTCCCCCATCGCCGGCATTTCCCGGGCTCGGCTTCGCCCCGGCCGCCGGGGCCTCTCCCCTCTGCCCTTTCTCTCCCTTCTCGCAGCCCTGGGACCACGTCCTAGCCCCGCAGTCCCCTGGGATGAGACCCTCGTCTCGCCGGGATCGGACATTTGCCCCCACGTCTACCCCGGCTGCGCTTCTTGAGCTCATCGCCCCATCATCCTACCCGTTGTACGTAGTCCTGTCTGCATGGCAGTCGCCCGCCCCGCTCCAGGTGTCCCTGGGTCTTGCCCTTTTGCTCCTAAGCACCTTCCTTTCCCAACTCGCCTCTTCTCCCCTCACTTTGACCACCCACCATCGCAATCTCCTCTTCCTTCTCTTACTCTTAAACCTCCAGACACTTTCCCACTCTCTGCAATGCCGGATTCATCGCTTTTTTTTTTTTTTTTTTTGAGAGATGGAGTCTCTATGTTGCCCAGGCTGGCTTCGAACTCCTGACCTCAAGCTATCCTTCTGCCTCGGCCTCCAAAGTGCTGGGATTACAGGCGTGAGCCACTGCGCCTGGCTCAGATCCATAGTGTAATATCTTCATTCGTCCTTACATGAGCTGCACCCCATAACATGTAAAGTCCCTTGCCCAGAGTCTAGCACACAGTAGGCCTGGCACATGGTGGGTGGTCACGCATGTTAGCCTCTTCCTCCTTCCAGGCGTTTTGTACTTTCCAGATGATGGTAGCAAGAAGTCCAGTGTCCACAGGGATTTGACTCTGCCTGAAGAATGGTATGGGAGATGGCAGGAGAAATTGGTGAACTCCAGTAAAGCGATTAAATGGTCAATTACTGCATTCATTAAGAAGAAACAATTCTGCTATCCGTGCCATGTATTGTTTTATGTTAATTGCCTTTGTAAAGGATTCTTAGGCTGCTAGTCAGCAGGCTTTGCGGTGTAATTACTCCCCATCCCCTCTCCATCCCCATCTGCAGTGTTTGGGTAACTTTCTTTTTAGGAAAGAAAGAGCCCCTACCTCCCAGCTAAAGTGGCATAGTATATAAGCAATGTGGTACGTGTTTATCTATTAGCTGGATAGTCCAGGGAGCTGCAATGAATTTTCATCTTTTAAGATCCAGGAGGAATCAGGATTTGGATTTCCTGGAATCAGCTGCTGTACAGACCAAATATGCTTAAGAATGAAACTTCTGACAAGTCCTCTAAGAGTGAGAGAGGAATTATCCACCCCTCTCCCTCCCCCTCTCCAAACACTCGCTCTTGGAGGAAATAGCGAGTCGATTTTTAAAAAAGAGTAAAATACGTTTGACTTTTTAAAATGATAAAAGCATTGTCATTGGCCCTGTACTATTCTTGCCACCTTTGCTCTGATGGTCTCAAGCCTGGACGAATCAGTCAGCTTTTTCTGCTCCTGGGCTCCCAAGGCAGACTGGCAAAAATCATATAACTAAACTGCTGGGTGCTGTTTCTGCACTTCTGGATCCTGGAGATCCTTTGACTTAACCTCTAGATTCCTCTTATGTCCTAAAATCTAAATGGCTGTTTATGGATCTTTACCATTTTTCTCTGACTCTTTGTCCTACTCTTGCCTTCTCTTCATTGCTTATTTTGCCACTTAACTTCACAGAATAAATTGGTGGGCATCAGCCCTGAACTCTTAAGGAGAGGTCATTTTTGTCTGTGCCTGTCTGTACCTGATTTCTAATATCCTTTCCTCTGATCTCAGAAGAAGAGGGGTCTTACTTTCGAAAGCTAACGTCTTTGATCTCTTCCCATATTATTATTTTTTCTGTTGGATGGTATACATCCTCAGGTTTCCACCATTCAGACCAAAACAAAGCTTTTCTTGATGCTTCCCTTTTCTTTTTTTATTCTTCTCAGATTAACGTGGCATTCCTTAGGGTTTCATTTTTGTTCTTTTCTCTAATTTCCTTGTGTGATTACACTTCCTTTCATGGCTTCAAATAGCACCTATATATTTATGGTTTTCAAAGACGTCTATTTAGTCCCCGTTTCTCTTGAACCTCAGGTTCTAATTTTCATCTGCCTACTGCATAGCTGTATGTGGATGCTTGATTACTTCAAATGTGGTTACCTTTTCCTTCCCTTTCTCTCCACCCATAGCCCCCTTTAAGCACATATACAAACATTACTATTTTAAGATCTTTACTCTAGAAACCTTAAAATCATCTTCTTTTCTCCTCACATTAAGTCTAGCATAGATCCTATTGTTGTTGCTACCTCAGATCTTTTTTTTTCCTCTCTTCATAACATCTTTTTTTTTTCTCTCTCTTCATTGCCAGAAGACTGGTTCAGACCTTGGTTATGCTTTTTCTGAACCTCTGGGTCCTGTAGTCTACTTAATCCTCCACGTTGCTGCTGGAATTGGTTCCATTTCTGAACTATCAATCTGATCATGCTGCTTGTTTTCTTTAAAAATTCTCATCAGCTCCCAAACCCTTAGCATGTTGAGCCAGTCCTTCCAAGCCTTCTGTAGCATGGGCGCATCCCCTTCCTGGGCCCTTTGTGATCCAGAGAAAAAAGCAGTAAAGAAACAGACCATTCACTACCGTAAAATCAAGACTGTGACAGAGATGACTACAGGGTGCTCTGGGAGCATCACCCTGGTGAGAGTGAGGACAAGTTTCTGTCTACAGGCACCTAGGACTTTTTCTGACTACCCCTCCTCCTTAGTTTGGGTTAGGTGACTTTTCTTTGTGTTTCCACAGCACCCTGTACATACTTCCATCTCCATTTTTACCACTTATACCATTTTTAGTTTTTTTTTTGTGACACAGTCTTGGTCTGTTGCCCAGGCTGGAGTGCAGTGGTAACATCTTAGTTCGCTGCAACCTCTGCCTCCAGGGTTTGAGTGATTCTCGTACCTCAGCCTTCCGAGTAGCTGGGATTACAGGCGCCTGCCACCACACCCAGCTAATTTTTGTATTTTTAGTAGAGACAGGGTTTCATCATGTTGGACAGGCTGGTCTCAAACTCCTGACCTCAAGCAGTCTGCCTGCCTCAGCCTCCCAAAGTGCTGGGATTACAGGCGTGAGCCACTGTGCCCAGCCCATTTTTACTATTTATAATGTTCTGTTTTCTTATTTTTCTCACTGACTTGAGAGTGAACCCTTTAAGAGAAAGAGTTGTGTCATATCTCATTGTATCTCCAGTTTCTAGCAAATTGCCAAGTACATAGTGCTCAGTAAACTAAGTTTTCAGAAGAGCTGAATCTAGACAAGGAAAGGTAAGGGGAGATGGGCAGTTTGGAAGAGAAGGTAACATATGGAAAAGTGTGTCTTAGGCTAGGCGCGGTGGCTCACGCCTGTAATCCCAGCATTTTGGGAGACTGAGGCAGACGGATCAAGACCATCAAGACCAGCCCGGCCACATGGTGAAACCCCATCTCTACTAAAAATACAAAAATTAGCCGGGCGTGGTGGTGGGCGCCTGTAATCCCAGCTACTCAGGAGGCTGAGGCAGGAGAATCGCTTGAACCTGGGAGGCAGAGGTTACAGTGAGCTGACTCCAGCCTGGGCAGCAGAGTGAGACTCCATCTCAAAATTAAAGAAAAAAGAAAAATGTGTGATAACCTGGTGCTTTTGGGAAAGAACTGGTAATTTGGAAAGGCTGGAGAATGGGCATAATGAGCAATGAGGCTGGGAAGGTATATGGGAGCCGCTCATGAATGACCTTGTGTGTCCTAACACATAATCCTGATGATAGCGAGGAACCTTTGAAGGATTTCTTCCTGGGCAGATCTTACAAAGTCTGGCTTGTTCCCATCTCAGGCTTTGTGTCTTGCTGCATGCCTTGCCTTTTGCCTCAGCCATATAAAATCACCTCTATTACCTGAACATGCCTAAATGGCTTTATGTTTCTCTTTCTCCGTGGAATGCGTTTTCCCACTTAGCCACCTGTAGATTATACAGGCTTCTGGTTATCTCTGCAGTAAAGCATTCCCACATCTGCCTGCAATCCATGTCTCTTCATCTCTACTGTCATTTACTTGTTTACATGTCTTTCTCTACTCTAAGGGTAGGGCTTTGAAATCAGGATGGGTTTTGATTCATGTCTGCATCCCCTACTCTGGCAGGTAACATGAATGAGTATTGTGACCAGGTATATTTTGATTATGTTTATTTATTTTTCTAGAGATGGGAGTCTTGCTATGTTGCCCAGATTGGTCTTGAACTCCTGGCTTCAGGTAACCCTCTGCCTTGACTTCCCAAAGTGTTGGGATTATGGGTGTGAGTCACTGCGCCTGGCCCCAGGTGTATTTTCAGAAAAATTACTCTGATCTCTGGTAGCATTGTAGAGAACAGGTTAGAGAGGGGCAAGACTAGGTGCACAAAGACCAATAGGTGGTCATTATAGGAATGTAGGTGAAAGATAATGAGGCCAGTGAGGCTAAGGGGTTAGATTTGGGAGTGAATTTGTGGAGTAAGGAGAACTGGTTAGGTGTATAGGTGAGAGAGAGGGAGAAGGAAGGGTCAAGGATGACATACTGAGTTCAGGCTTGGGTGTCTGGGTAATGGTGGTTCTGTTCATCCAGGTAGGAAATACAGGAAAATAAACAAATTTTGAGGGAAAAGGAGGAAGCCAATGATAACATCTTGATGCCCAGGAAATCGCCTGAGAGAGCAGTTGGCCCTAAAGATGGAGATATATATGGAGGGTCTGTGCTAGAATTGAAAGTGAAGTCATCAGAAGTAGGTGAGATTGCCTGGTTCAGTGATTTTCAACATAGGCACTACTTAAAAACCACCTGGGGAGCTTTTAAAGAATGAGGATGGGGGATCGAGGCATCCACAGGGATTCTGTATCATTTGGTCTGGTGCAGGGCCAGACCTTGTTACTTTAAAGATGCTTCCCATGAGATGGTGATAGGTATCTAGGACTGAGAACTGGGCTGAGAGCCCAAAGAGGGAGTGATAGAACCCTGAAGAACAATAGTAGTAACTCATCCTTTAAATATCAGGACAGCTGGGTGTGGTGGCTCACACCTGTAATCCCAGAGTTTGGGCAGATTGAGGTGGGAGGATTGCTTGAGACCAGGAGTTTGAGATCAGCCTGGGCAACATAGCAAGATCCCTGTCTCTACAAAATAGGAAAAAACTAGCCAGGCACATGTGATGGCACATGCCTGTAGTTCCAGCCATGTAGAAGGCTGAGGCAGGAGGATTGCTTGAGCCCAGGAGTTTGAGGCTGCAGTGAGCTATGATCATGCCATTGCTCTCCAGCCTGAGTGACAGAGTGAGACCGTCTGTCTGTCTGCCACACACACGCGCGCGCACACACACACACACACCAGGATAAATATTGCCTTTGTTGACATAGTTTCTTGCTTTCCTGGTACTGTGTACATTTACCTATTAAAGGAGTTATCACATTTTATTTAAATTATATCTGCTGGGTCCATTTTTATTTTTATTTTATTTTTATTTTTTTTTTGAGATGGAGTTTCGCTCTTGTTGCCCAGGCTGGAGTGCAATGGCGCGATCTTGGCTCACCGCAACCTCCGCCTCCCAGGTTGAAGCAATTCTCCTGCCTCAGCCTCCTGAGTAGCTGAGATTGCAGGCATGCACCACTACGCCCAGCTAATTTTGTATTTTTAGTAGAGACGGGGTTTCTCCATATTGAGGCTGGTCTCGAACTCCTGACCTCAGGTGATCTGCCCACCTCAGCCTCCCAAAGTGCTGGGATTACAGGTGTGAGCCACCACGCCCGGCTGGTCCATTTTTATAGCTAAGGAATTCCTTGAAGTCTGAAACCATGCCTTATTTATCTTTTCATCACTGCCTTGCACAGTACTTGATACATTTTAGAAACTTGATAAAAGTTGGTTGAATAAATCAGTTGATAAGTGATATAAAACAGAGCTTGAACTCATGATTTTGCAAACTGACCAGCTGTTTCTTTCTTTCCTGCTTAACAAGTCACTGGTCAAATATGCGTAGTCATTCTTGTTTTAAAAACACACAGTCTTGCCGGGCGCAGTAGCTCATGCCTGTAATCCCAGCACTTTGGGAGGCCAAGGCAGGGGGATCACGGGGTCAAGAGATGGAGACCATCCTGGTCAACGTGGTGAAACCTGGTCTCTACTAAAAATACAATAATTAGCTGGGCATGGTGGTGGGTGCCTGTAGTCCCAGCTACTCTGGAGGCTGAGGCAGGAGAATCCCTTGAACCCGGGAGGCGGAGGTCGCAGTGAGCCAACATTGCACCACTGCACTCCAGCCTGGCGACAGAGCAAGACTCTGCCTCAAAAAGAAACAAACAAAAAAACCCCGAAACAATCTTTATAAATTAGAGTGGATTAATATAAATATTATTTGCTCTGTAATGTCTTGGCTTTTAAGGTGGTTAAGCTGTGACAGTTACTACAGAGGTTTATTCAGGCTTTGTCTTTAGAAGATACTATTTAAAATAGACTTTATTTCATACGATTAAGGTATATCGATCTTGTATCTTTTTAAAACAAATAGCTCTTGATTTTAGGCTCATGAGCTTTGGAATTTTTAACTAGAACAAAAACTGTCAATTTGATAAAAGATCTTGAACAGTGGCATAACAATTTCTTTTTAACTAAGAAAATTAAGGAAGTAAGGAATATGCCTTAAGCAAGCCCTATACCTAAATGAATCTCACTGGGATTGGTGATGGGTAGGAAGAAATAAATAATTCCCATGTATTTAAGCACTGTTGTAGGAAGCACCTGTGATTGCTCATATATTGATATCAGTGTATTTTCTTTTCTTTTTTCTTTTTTTTTTTTTTGAGACAGAGTCCTACTCTGTCGCCCAGGCTGGAGTGCAATGATATGATCTCGGCTCACTGCAACCTTCGTTTCCCGGGTTCAAGAGATTCTCCTGCCTCAGCCTCCCAAGTAGCTGGCATTACAGGCTCCCGCTACCAGGCCCAGCTAATTTTTGTATTTTTAGTAGAGACGGGGTTTCACCATGTTGGCCAGGCTGGTCTCGAACGCCTGACCTCAAGTGATTCCCCCACCTTGGCCTCCCAAAGTGCTGAGGTGTGAGCCACTGCGCCCGACCTCAGTGCATTTTCTATTTTCTGATTTCTCAGGGCTTAGATATAAACCATGGAATCTTTTGTTCTTTGTTTTTTCTTAAGATTTTGTCAGCTGTTTCTTTTTATAGGATTTGTGGTTGACAGTTCTTTGCTTTTAACATTTGAGAAATGTTGAGAAACTTTTTTCAGATAAGAAACCCTGTCATTAGAATTCATTTTCTTATAGGTAACATCCTTTCTCCCCAACTGCTTTAGAGGTTTTTTCTTTGTCTTTAGTTTTCAGAAGTTAAATTATGATGTGTCTGCACGAATTTCTTTGGGTTTTTCTGTTTGGAGTTCTCTTAATTTCTTGAGCTGCAGATTTGTCTTTTACCACATCTGAGAAGTTTTCAGTCACTTCTTAGAATAATTTTTCAGTACCACTCTCTGTCTCCTTTCATTCTGTGACTGAATGTTAGATCTTTTGTTACTGTCTCACAGGACGTAAGGCACTATTTTCTTTTAATTTTTTTCCAGTCTTATTTTTTTGTCTGTTGTTTAGATTGGGTAATTCTTGTTTCAAGTTTATTGATTCTTACCTGTGTTATATTCATTCTGCTGTTGAGCTAACCCACCGAGTTATTATTTTGGTTGTTTTTCAGTTCTATAATTTTTATTGGGTTTTTTGTCTATTCTACTTCTTTGGTGAGATTTTCTATTTTGTCATTTGTTTAAAGAGTGTATGTAATGGCTTGTTAAACAATAGGCTGGGCGCGGTGGCTCACGCCTGTAATCCCAGCACTTTGGGAGGCCGAGGCGGGCAGATCACGAGGTCGGGAGATCGAGACCATCCTGGCTAACACGGTGAAACCTCGTCTCTACTAAAAATAAAAAAAATTAGCCAGGCTTGGTGGCGGGTGCCTGTAGTCCCAGCTACTTGGGAGGCTGAGGCGCGAACCCAGGAGGCGGAGCTTGCAGTGAGCGGAGATCGTGCCACTGCACTCCAGCCTGGGAGACAGAGTGAGACTCCATCTCAAAAAAAAAAAAAAAAGAATAATGGCTACTTTAAAATCTCTGTCAGATCATTCCAACATCTGATTCATCCTGTTGTTGGCATCTGTTAATTGTCTTTTCTCATTCAAATTGTGGTTTTCCTGGTTCTTGCTACGATGAATGACTTTTGACTGTATCTTGGACATTTTGGATATTAGGAGTTATAGATCATATTTAAACTTTATGTTTTAGTAGACAGTCACCTGAGAAGGAGCATGTAGCTCCCAGCCTGCCTTTTGTTTCATAACAGCTTTATTGAGATATAATTCACATGCCACATGTTCAACCATTTAAAGTGTAAAATTCATTTACTTTTAGTATATTCATATAGTTGTACATCATTACCACAATCAATTTTAGAACATTTTTACTACCCACAAAAAAACCATACCACACACTCCTTAGCCATTATCCTCAACTCTCCTACTCTTCATCCTCTCCATCCCTAGGCAACCACTAATCTATTTTCTGTCTTTATAGATTCATATTATATAGAATAGAAATATCTATTTTGAGCACATAATAAAGACAATCATATATAATATTGTCCTCCTTTATTTCATTTTTAGAGTAATATATACTATTACCCTATATTAACTATTAATATTTACTAATTTTTTTGTAATTTTAAAGTATTTATAAGTATAAATATAAATTATATTTATTTATAAATAGTGAGCTGCAATTTATTTTTGTAGTGTTTTTGGTTTCAAAATCCAACTAAAATTGGCTGTATATGTAATGAGTTCGGAAGTGTCGTTAAGAATTGGTGTTGCTGGTGCAGTGACTGATGCCTGTAATTCCAGCACTTTGGGAGGCTAAGGCAGGCAGATTGCTTGAGCCCAGGGGTTCAAGACCAGCCTGGGTAACATGATGAAAGCCCGTCTCTATAAAAAAATATGAAAATTAGCATGGCATGGCGGCACACACCTGTAGTACCAGCTGCTTGGGAGGCTGAGGCAGGAGGATCTCTTGAACCTGGGAGGGGAGGCGAGATCCTGCCACTGCACTCCAGCCTGGGCGACAGTGTGAGACCCTGCCTAAAAAAAAAGCCACCAACAAAAATATATATATAAATATATAATATGCATTTAATATGTTTTTAAATATGTATTATATATTTATATGTATATTTTTATTGGTTAAAATATATATTTTTATAGATATACATTTTATATAATATATATTATATATTACACTAAATAATTTATAAGATATATGCATTAACTATATAAATATTAATATGTTTTAAATATATATTTAATATATTAATCTATATTATATTAAATATATTTATATATATATGTTTTTTGAGATGGAGTCTCTCTCTGTCACCAGGTTGGAGTGCAGTGGCGCGATCTTGGCTCACTGCAACCTCCGCCTCCCGGGTTCAAGCCATTCTCCTGCCTCAGCCTCCTGAGTAGCTGGAACTACAGGCACGTGCCACCAAGCCCGGCTAATTTTTGTATTTTTAGTAGAGACGGGGTTTCACCATGTTGGCCAGGATGGTCTCCATCTCTTGACCTCATGATCTGCCCACCTCAACCTCCCCTCCCAAAGTGTTAGGATTACAGGTGTGAGCCACCATACCTGACCCTAATATTATATATATGTATATATATATATTTTTTGAGATGCAGCCTTGCTCTGTCGCCCAGGCTGGAGTGAAGTGGCGCGATCTCGGCTCGCTGCAAGCTCTGCCTCCTGGGTTCACACGATTCTCCTTCCTCAGCCTCCTGAGTAGCTGGGACTACAGGTGCCTGCCACCACGCCCAGCTAATTTTTTGTATTTTTAGTAGAGATGGGGTTTCACCATGTTAGCCAGGATGGTCTCGATCTCCTGACCTCGTGATCCGCCCGCGTCGGCCTCCAAAGTGCTGGGATTACAGGCGTGAGCCACCGCGCCCAGCCTCCTAATATATATTTTTAAGAAGAATTAGTGTCAATTTTTTTTTTTAACTTTTGATAGAATTTACTAGTGAAGCCATCTTGTCCTGGTTTTTCTTTTTCTTTCTTTTTTTTTTTTTTTGAGACGGAGTCTCGCTTTGTCGCCCAGGCTGGAGTGCAGTGGCACGATCTCGGCTCACTGCAAGCTCCACCTCCTGGGTTCACGCCATTCTCCTGCCTCGGCCTCCCAAGTAGCTGGGACTACAGGCGCCCGCCACGACGGCTGGCTAATTTTTGTATTTTTAGTAGAGACGGGGTTTCACCGTGTTAGCCAGGATGGTCTGGATCTCCTGACCTTGTGATCCGCCCGCCTTGGCCTCCCAAAGTGCTGGGATGTGAGCCACCGCGCCCGGCCAATGTCCTGGTTTTTCTTTGTGGAAAATTTTAAATTACTCTTTCACTTGCTTTGTTATAGATTTATTCAGATTTTTAATATTTTCTTGAGTCAGTATTAGTAGTTTGTATCTTTTAGAAATTTGTCCATTTTATCTAGATTACTTTGTTGGATTATGCTTGTTTATGATCACTTTTATTTTTGTAGGGTTGGTAGTTACGTCTCCTTTTCATTACTGATTTTCATAATTTGAGTCTTCTCTCTTTTGTTATTGGTCGGTCTAGCTAAAAGATTGTTAATTTTGCTGATCTTTTCAAAGAACCAGTTTTTGGTTTTGTTGATTTTCTCTGTTCTATTTTCTGTTTTATTTATTTCACTGTAGTCTTTATTATTTCCTTCTTTCTGATGGTTTTGGTCTTGTTTGCTCTTTTTCTTTTTTTTTTTTGAGACGGAGTCTTGCTCTGTCGCCCAGGCTGGAGTGTAGTGGCGCGATCTTGGCTCACTGCAGCCTCCACCTCCCAGGTTCAAGTGATTCTCCTGCCTCGGCCTCCCGAGTAGCTGGGATTACAGGTGCCTGCCACCACGCCCAGCTAATTTTTGTATTTTTAGTAGAGACGAAGTTTCACCATGTTAGCCAGGATGGTCTCAATCTCCTGACCTCGTGATCTGCGTGCCTCAGCCTCCCAAAGTGCTGGGATTACAGGCGTAAGCCATTGCACCCAGCCCTGTTTGCTCTTTTTCTAGTTTCTTAAGGGAGAAAGTTAGGTTGTTGATTTGCAATCTTTTTTAATACAGGTGTTTACGCTATAAATTCCCTCATAGCACTGCTTTTGCTGCATCCCATGAGTTTTGTACTTTCAACTCAAAGTATTTTGTAATATTCCTAATGTTTTCTTTTTTTGCTCATTGGTTATTTAGGAGGGTGGTATTTCATTTCCACATATTTGTAAATTTCCCAAACTTTTTTTTTGGTTATTGTTTTTTAATTTTATTTCATTTTGGTCAGAGAATATACTTTATATGTTTTCAGTGGTTTAAATATATTGGGACTTGTTCGAAAGCCTAACACATGGTCTATCCTAGAGAAAGTTCCATGTCATTTGAGAACAATATATATTTTGCCATTGTTGCTTGGAGGCTTGTATAGATATTTGTTAGATCTAGTTGATTTGTAGTATTGTAGTCTTCTATTTCCTTGCTGATATTTTGTCTAGTTGCTTTATCCATTAGTGAAAGTGGGATAGTGAGGCCTCCAACTGTTATTGTTAAATTGTCTATTTCTCACTTGAATTCTGTCAGTTTTTGCTTCATGTATTTTAGGGCTCTGTTGTTATTTGCATATATGTTTATAATTGTATTTTTTTGATGAATTGTTGGATTTTCCCTCTTATAAAATGTCTTTTTTGTCTCTTTTGTGGTAACAATTTTTGTCTTAAAGTGCATTGTATCTGACATTGTATAGTTTGCTGTTTGCATGATATATCTTTTCCCTTTGTTTTGCTTTCAGCCTGTTTGGTCTTTGAATCTAACACATCATTTATTTATTTATTTGTTTGTTTGTTTGTTTGTTTGAGATGGAGTCTTGCTCTGTCGCCCAGGCTGGAGTGCACTGGTGTGATCTCGGCTCTGCCTCCTGGGTTCAAGCAATTCTCCTGTCTCAGCCTCCCGAGTAGCTGGGACTACAGGCGTGTGCCACCATGCCTGGCTAATTTTTTGTATTTTTAGTAGAGGTGGGGTTTCACCATGTTGACCAGGATGGTTTTGATCTCCTGACTTTGTGATCCGCCCGCCTCGGCCTCGCAGAGTGCTGGGATTACAGGTGTGAGCCACCGCGCCTGGCCTTTTTCTTTTTTTTGAGATGGAGTCTGACCCTGTCGCCCAGGCTGGAGTGAAGTGGTACGATCTTGGCTCACTGTAACCTCTGCCTCCCGGATTCAAGCAATTCTCCTGCCTCAGCCTCCTGAGTAGCTGCGATTACAGGCACCCACCACCATGCCCAGATAATTTTTGTGTTTTATTAGAGACAAGGTGTCACCATGTTGGTCAGGCTGGTCTCAAACCCCTGACCTCAAGTGATCTGCCCGCCTTGGCCTCCCAACATGCTGGGATTATAGGTGTGAGCCACTGTACCCGGTCCCCCTTAAGATTCATTCTAATGTCATTTTCTTCGTGTAGCCTTTTCTGAGCCTATGGATGTGATCCTTCCTTGAAATGCCTGTATGTCTTTGTTCATGCCTTTTGTATGCTCTTTTTATTATTTTATCATGGCATATATGGTTAGTTTCTTTTCTTCTCTCCTTGCTAAGCTACTAGTTCTTTGAAGGCAGATGATAAATCATACTCATTTATATGCTCATTTAATGTATGTAACATTTAATTGAAATGTATGAGTAAGAATTTTCTACCCTGTAAAAATTAAATAACAGTACATGGTTGTACATGTGATATGTTTTTATAATTATTGGAAAGGTATAACAAGACAATGAAAGTTCAGTTTTGCCCACAGAAATTGCTATTATAGGGCTGGGCGCGGTGGCTCACGCCTGTAATCCCAGCACTTTGGGAGGCTGAGGCGGGGAGATCACAAGGTCAGGATATCAAGACCATTCTGGCTAACACAGGTGAAACCCCATCTCTACTAAAAATGCAAAAACGTTAGCTGGGTGTGGTGGCGGGCGCCTGTAGTCCCAGCTACTTGGGTGTCTGAGGCAGGAGAACGGCATGAACTTGGGAGGTGGAGCTTGCAGTGAGCTGCGATTGCACCACTGCACTCCAGCCTGGGTGACAGAGCAAGACTCCATCTCAAAAAAAAAAAAAATTGTTATTATAGTGTTTTATTTTATTTTATTTTATTTTGAGGCAGAGTCTGGCTCTGTCATCTAGGCTGGAGTGCAGTGGCGCAATCTCAGCTCACAGCAACCTCTGCCTCCCCGGTTTAAGCAATTCTTTTGCCTCAGCCTCTTGAGTAGCTGGGACTTCAGGCATGTACCACCACGCCTGGCTAATTTTTTTTTTTTTTTTTTTTTGGTATTTTTAGTAGAGACAGGGTTTTGCCATGTTGGCCATGCTGGTCTCGAACTCCTGACCTCAAGTGATCCACCCGCTTCAGCCTCCCAGAGTGCTGGGATTACAGGCATGAGCCACTGCACCTGGCCATAGCAGTGGTTTCTGATCAAATATTTGATGCCCAGCTTTTCATAGAGAACATCACAAAATTCCAGCTCCAAGTAATTTTGGGCTAGAGGCATAATTTCCCACAACAAACATGGGAAACCTACTTTCATATGAGAGTGACTAGGCTAAAGCAAAACTAAACTGGAAAATATACAGGAAAGGTAGAGCTATTTGCCAGGCTACTTTCTAGCCTCCGTATATATCTGTTATTTCTTGAGTCCAAATCTAGTTCTCCATTCTTAATCTCTCCCAGATGAAATCTTCAGGGACTTGCAGAAAGTGTGCAAATATGCATCCTGCTCATTTTTATAAGTAAAGCATAATGGCTACATGGATTTATAGTTTTCTTCTGTCATTCTAATTAGATCTGAGGTGGTCATGATAGGACAATTCTGGAGAAAATACAGTTCAAAAGCTGAGTATATTTTTAAAAACTATTTGCTAATGAAAGCCTTATAAATAATAGCAGATGGTCTTAAATTTACTTCATTTGCACCATAATTGTTGCATACCTGGCTTTTTGTTCATGCCAAGCCTAATAATGACTGGGACGTACCATGGTATACAGTCAGACCTGGGTTCCAGCTTGGCAAATAATTTGCCATGTAGCAGTATATTAAGGAAGTTTTTTATTCCTTCTGGGCCTCAGTTTCCTTATGTGTAAAATTCTAGAACAGAAATGTTCCTTTACCTTATTTTTCGTTGCAGCAATGTAAGGGATTGCAAAAAAGATTTTGATTCATTCATCAACAAGAGTGCAAAGTGATGATAGAGGCAGATGAAATAGACTGATCAATAAAGGGAGTGGATTAGAAGAGCAAGGGTCAAAGGAAAAAAAAAGGAGGTGAACTCTGTATTTTTAGTTTTTTTTAAATGTAGTCAAACCATATTATAACACTGGAACCAGAAGAAAAAAGTAATGTTCTAATCCTAGGAAAGCATTAGCTGTCTGGGCTTTTATTGAGAAAGTTTTAGCAGGATCAGTCAATGCACATTTATCAAGTGCTCAATATGCTTGTAGTATATTGTTATATACTATGGAGAAACTGAAAAAGATAAGATATAGTCAATATGTCCCAAGAACTCACAACTAATTATACTTATAGAATCTAATTACAGCCATAATTACCTTATTGGCAATCTAAAATTCATTAATTCATTCAAAAGGCTCTAGTTTCAAGGAGCTCACAGCCTACTGGAAAAACAGACAAAGTAACCATGTAGTGTGAGATGTGATATAGGGTAAATACAAGGGCACTAGGAAGGACACCTGTGTCGTATGTGGCAGAGAGCTTTCAGGAAAGCTGCGCAGGAAAGATGGCATTAAAGTGGAATGTTGAAGGATGAGTGAGAGTCATCAGGCAGAGAGACACGCAAAAGCTGCAGTGCATGCGGAGGCTCAAACAAGGAAGGGATGCTTCAGGTGGATGACAGTGGCACTGGGTGAGTGTGTGGGGGTGGTGGGTGGGTGGGTGGTGAAACAGGCTGGGGAGCAGACAAGGGCTGGGTCAGGAACGGCCTTGTACTAACGTTATGGTGAGGACTTAATTTTTTTGAAAAAAGTAGAAAGTTGTGGAAGAGGTTTAAGCAAGGGAGCATCATAAGTATATTTGCATTTTAGAAAGGTCGTTCCTGGCTGGGAGCGGTGGCTAACACCTGTAATCCCAATGTTTTGGGAGGCCAAGGTGGGTAGATCACCTGAGGTCAGGAGTTTGAGACCAGACTGGACAACATGGTGAAACCCCGTCTCTACTAAAAATGCAAAAATTAGCTGGGTGTGGTGGCACATGCCTGTAATCCCAGCTACTCGGGAGGCTGAGGCAGGAGAATTGCTTGAACCTGGGAGGTGGAGGTTGCAGTGAGCCGAGATTGTGCCACTGCACTCCAGCCTGGGCAACAGAGTGAGACTCCGTCTTAAAAAAAAAAAAAAGCTAATTCCTGAGACAAGTTAGTGATTCAACTGATGGAAAGAAGTCAGAACTCAGACCATTTAGGAGGCTGTGGAGTTCATATGAGAAAGGAAGAGGGTGAGGATTAAACTGATTTTTTTTCCGTAATTATCAGCAGGGAAAAAAATTGAGGGAAATCAAGTAAAGGGAGATGAAGGAGGAAGAATTGACGGGACTTTACCAGTTACTCATGGAGAGGTTAAGGGAGAAACTACATAAAGGTTCCCTGGTTTTAAGCTTGAGAATCAGAGAGAAAGTGGTTCATTGACCAATGGAGGAAAGGGAAGAGTAAAAGAGATTTACTAGGGAAGGTAGGTTCCATTTAGTGTTCGTTGAGTGTAACATGCCGGTGAACATCCAGATAGAATTGTCCCTTAGCCTTTAAATGATCAAGTCTGAGATTGGGATAGAAGTCTTGGTTGCAAATCGATTTGAATCATTACAGTGTAAGTGAGAGCTGGCTGCAGATGAAGCAGGGTGAGTGTAGGAGTGTGAGTAAGGGAATGCAGTGCTGTAAATTAATCTTTGGTCACTGCTTTGTGATGTTGCTTTTGAAACATAAGTTTGAATACAGAGTTGACTTTTTAAAATCTGGGCTTTTCTTTTTAGTGTCATTGATTACTGTTAGTATTCTAACAGTTAATATCTGTAGGACTCTTTCTTTCCAAAGACTTGGAAAACTGTTTTTCCTCTCTGCTATGAATTTTGTAATTATTTTATTGATTGCAGAATATCTTTTTGAGGCAATGATTGAAATTGCAAAGTTTTTTTCATCAGTTCCAGATTACTTTCTTTCTGTTTATTCATAGTTCCTTGTTTCATTTTCGATGTTTATTTGTTGACTATTTGCTTTATATCAGATGACTTTATAGGTATTTTAAGGGGATTTAAGAAAGATATCACTAGTTACCTATTCGTCTATAAATTCCTTGCTTAGGCCAAGTGTGGTGGCTCACGCCTGTAATCCCAGCACTTTGGGAGGCCGAGGCAGGTGGATCACAAGGTCAGGAGATTGAGACCATCCTGGCTAACACGGTGAAACCCTGTTATTAAAAAATACAAAAAAAGAATTAGCTGGGCGTGGTGGCAGGCACCTGTAGTCCCAGCTACTGGGGAGGCTGAGGCAGGAGAATGGCATGAACCCCGGGAGGTGGAGCTTGCAGTGAGCTGAGATCGTGCCACTGCACTCCAGCCTGGGCCACAGAGTGAGACTCCGTTTCAAAAAAAAAAAAAAAATTTCCTTGCTTTGTATTTTATCTGGTGTTCATGTATCTGCTGCATATTAAATAATGAATGGGTTTTAATTTGTGATTTAAAGGAACTTAAATAGTCTAGTGAGGTAAACTAACCACAATACAGTGGTATGTGTGCTTTGAGGTTACAGAAGAGGGAACAATTGATTTTTGTGCAGGAAAGACGAAAAAAGGCAGTCAGGGACAGGTTGACTGAGGAGATATGTGTAAAAGAGAGAAAGCGGCATGGTACTGGAGGCAGCACCATGAGCAGAGGCCAGGCGTGGAGGGGTCTGATGTCAATGGGGAATGATTCTCAGGGGGTCAGGCTGCATGGGAGGAGTGCTGGGAGGTGAAGGTAAAGGTGGAAGATGAGCAGGAGACAGTGAAGGAAGGGTGCCCTGGGCCCCTGTTCTTTAAAAGCCCCTTCACATGTTTCCATGTGATTGCCCCAGCAGTGCTGTGAGAGAGAACTTGCAGGTGTCCCTTTTTCCTTTGCATTTTGTCTCCAGTCTGTCTTCTTCCTTTTGTAATTTCTACTCTAATTACTTGTGAAGAAGGGTTTGATTATCATTATCTCTATTTTGTGGATGACAGAACTGAAGCTTAATGATTTATCTAGTGCCATGTGACTAAGAAAAAACTGATTCCAGACTAGAGCCCAGGTCTTCTGACTCTAATACACCAGGCTTCTTTTACATTAATTCAATGCCATCTTCTCTTCTACTTTTTCTATTCAGTTACTTTTCATTCTAAAGGTTATGAGGGGCTGGGTGTGGTGGTTCATGTTTGTAATTCCAGCACTTTGGGAGGCTGATGTGGGAGGATCACTTGAGGCCAGGGGTTCAAGACCAGCCTGGGCATCATAAGGAGGCCTTGTCTCTACAAAAAAGAAAGAAAGAAAGAAACAAAAAATTAGCCAGGTATGGTTTGCATGCCCCTGCAGTCCCAGCTACTTAGGAGGCTGAGGTGGGAGGATCACTTGAGCCCAGGAGTTGGAGGCTGCAGTGAGCTATATGCCATTGCACTCCAGCCTGGGTGACAGAGTAAGACCCTGTCTCAAAAAAAAAAAAAAAAAAAAAAAAGTTACAAGTTTGGTAGAAAAATGGCATAAACTTGAGTTACCGAATAAGAATATATAATTTGAAGAAATTTGCTTTCTTTGTTCCTCATCATGGGTGGTCTAAACAGATTATAAACATGAACTTGATGAATCTAAAAGATAAATAGTTTAGCCAACAATGATTTCCTGATTTATAGGTCTGAGAAGTTTGGAACTTGGTAACTTCAATTTTTTATTTTGTTTTATTTCATTTTAACTCTTTATTATGAAAAATTTCAAACATATCCAAAATAGAGACTGCTATATTGAGCCCTCAAGTGCCCATCACTCAGCTTCAACAGTGAGCTCATAGCAGTCTAATTTCATATATACCCTCCACACATTCCTGCTCTCAGATATTTCTGAAGCAAAGCCGAGACATCATTTCATTTAACTTGAACCTTTACAGATGTTTTGCTTTAGTTTAACTTGTGCTCCTGTCTCCATTTGTGTTCTAGGCATTAGGTCCAGTTCTTGGTATGGGTTTTTTTGAAGTTCACTGCTCCTTTAAGTAGTGAGTATCAGCTGACTTTCAAAGATTGTCAGCTGTGTATACCATATTCTTCTTGCCATTTGCTACTCGTTAGTGGGTCTGGTGCCAGCCCCTAACGTGCAGCTAGGAAAAGGTGTTCCCATGTTGATGCTCTGACCATGAGCTGACATAAGAATGGCTCTTGCAACAATGGTTTCATTTAGGTCAGATTTGAAGTCTGTACTGCATGGCAAAGCTGTCATTCAAAATCAGTCTCTGTGCATTTATTCATTGGCAAGTTCAAGCATGTGATAAAATTATTTTTCCTTTTGCTAACAGGCTAGAAGTAAATGGAGAAACCAGATACAGACTGGACTTTAGTCAGCAGGCACAGTGGTATTGGCTGTTGCTGTTTGCCACGTTGGTTGGCATCATGAATGGGTATGAGAGGCAAGGAACTAGTGATTAACAAAGGAAAGACAGCTTTTAGGGGCGTTGTTACATTCCTGTAATTTATCTTTTGCTAGGACATGTCCCCAGCATCTCTTTGGACCTAGAATATAGCCATGTTCCTGATTATAACAGCAGGGTGTGGTGAATGTGCTCTTGAGTGTGTGTACCTGGGCCTGTGTGTGTGCACTGGGTGTTGGGCATGGCCTTGCTGGCTGCTGACCTCTGTATCTCTACTTTTGTTGACTGATCCTGTTTTTGGTTAGCAATCTTAGTTTATAAAATTTGCAAATATGTAAGTATAGAAATGTAATGTCAGCACTCTCTTCTCTAAGGCATTATTTCTAGGAGTCTATTTCATTTGGCCTGCTGGGAAAGAGCAGTTCTATTAATAGTGATTCCTCAGATACGTTTATTGCAGTGTTTCAGTGCTTTTTCTCTCCCCTGGAGATAAAACTGAGCCTGAACATTCTGGTATTCTTTTTTTTTTTTTTTTTTTTTTTTTTTTTTTGTGAGATGGAGTTTCACTCTTGTTGCCCAGGCTGGAGTGCAATGGCACGATCTTGGCTCACCACAACCTCCACCTCCTGGGTTCAAGCGATTCTCAAGCCTCAGCCTCCTGAGTAGCAGGGATTACAGGCACGCGCCACCACGCCTGGCTAATTTTGTATTTTTAGTAGAGACGGGGTTTCGCCATGTTGGCCAGGCTGGTCTTGAACTCCTGACCTCAGGTGATCCGCCTGCCTTGGCCTCCCAAAGTGCTGGGATTACAGGCATGAACCACCGCACCCGGCCCATTCTGGTATTCTTTTTAGATCAACCTTAGCTCTATAAATGTCCTAGTTGAGAAAATATTGATCTGCTGTCTGAAAATACAGCAAAGTGGAGTTTAAAAGTAATGGAAAGAGGGCCTGGCACAGTGGCTCACGCCTGTAATCCCAGCGCTTTGGGAGGCTGAGGCGGGCGGATCACCTGAGATCAGGAGTTCAAGGCCAGCCTGGGCAACATGGTGAAACCTCATCTCTACTAAAAATACAAAAATCAGCTGGGCGTGGCGGCACATGCCTGTAATCCCAGCTACCGGGGAGGCTGAGGCAGGAGAATCACTTGAACCCAGAAAGCAGAGGTTGCAGTGAGCCGAGATTGTGCCATTGCACTCCAGCCTGGGTGACAGAGACTCAGTCTCAATAAATAAATAAATAAAAAGAAATAAAGTAACGGATAGAGGCCATGTTTGTGTGTGTGCATGCACACGCACACGTGTGTAAACACACATGCACACAGTGTTTTAGTATATAAGGGTAATGATCAGGCCAGCTTTTACTGTACTTCTTAAATCAAAGGACTACCTTTTTTTAGAATTTGAGAAGAATTAGTATGAAGGTGTGAGTGGAGCCTCAAACACTATAGTCTCTTATCTAGAAAAAGGTACTTCCCAGTTTGGTTAGGTACCTGTTTTGTTTTTGTTTTTGTTTTTGTTTTTGAGACGGAGTCTTGCTGTTTCACCCAGGTTGGAGTGCAGTGGTGTGATCTCGGCTCACTGCAAGCTCTGCCTCCCAGGTTCACGCCATTCTCCTGTCTCAGCCTCCCGAGTAGCTGGGAATACAGGCGCCTGTCACCACACCTGGCTAATTTTTTGTATTTTTTAGTAGAGACGGGGTTTCACCATGTTAGCCAGGATGGTCTCGATCTCCTGACCTCGTGATCCGCCCGCCTCAGCCTCCCAAAGTGCTGGGATTACAGACGTGAGCCACTGTGCCCCGCCAGGTACCTGTTTTTTTGTAGGTTCAGTATACACTGTGAGCTGGTGCTCTGCTAAGTATGCTCTGGTAGAGGATGGGACATAGGCAAATCTCTGGGCTTCAGGCATTCAACATCTTTTGGACTAAGTAAAATATATATGATTTGATGAATAGTGACCTTTGAAGAATAGGTAAGATTTAGAGAAGTCACGAGGAGAATGTGCTACTTGGGCCTCAGTTTGTACATCTATAAAATGAGAGCATTATACGTAGATGATCTAAAGACCCCTCTTAGGACTGATTCTGCAAGTTAAGAAACATCCAAAGAGAGAAAATTAGGCTTCACAAGCGTAATGAAAACTAATGAGAATGTTTTTGGAGAAGCCAAAATCCCTTTGTTTTCCCTTTTTGGTATCCCTTACAAGGCCTTTGATCATTTACTTGTATTCAGATATCTTGAAGGGCTATGGAACATACTCTCCCCCTATTAATTAACGTACATTTAGCGAATGCCTTTTAATGTTTAATTTAAAATACAGCAAAAATTAAAACTTGAAGAGAATCACTCAAATTTGTGTCCGTTGACAACTAACAAGTATGCTTGAATATATGGCAAGGTATTCTTTGCCCTAAATTATCCCTTAGTAAAGAGGGAGTTGCCTTCATTTGAGTCCTTATGAAATCTCTGAAGGTGAGGGGTGCCTTCTCAATTACTTTGAACAACAAACTACTGTTTTGGGATGATAAGCTATTATCATCAATTAGTGCTACTTTTTGGATGCCTATAGGGATTTCCTGACAGAAGCAGTGGAAAAACAGGCGGAGAAATTTAACACAGTTTGGTGTTGGATGCCTTAAAATAAGCTTTTTTTTTTTTTTTTTTTTTTTGAGATGGAGTCTCACTCTGTCGCCCAAGCTGGAGTGCAGTGGTGCAGTCTCAACTCACTGCAACCTCCGCCTCCTGGGTTCAAGCAATTTTCTGCCTCAGCCTCCCGAGTAGCTGGGATTACAGGCACCCGCCATGATGCCTGGCTAATTTTTGTATTTTTAGTAGAGACGGGGTTTCACCATCTTGGTCAGGCTGGTCTTGAACTCCTGACCTTGTGATCTACCCGTCTCGGCCTCCCAAAGTGCTGGGATTACAGGCGTGAGCCACTGCGCCCAGCCCAAAATAAGCCTTTAAGTGACCATTTGGAAAACAAATACCAGGCTTTCAGCAGAGGAATGGCACAATCTTTTTGTTTAATTAATTAATTAATTAATTTAGTTAGTTTTTAGAGCTGGGGTGTGGCTCTGTTGCCCAGACTGGAGGGCAGTGGTGTGATCATGGCTCACTGCAGCGTCGACCTCCTGGATATCAGCAATCCTCCCACCTCAGCTTCCCCAGTCCTTTTGTTTTATAAAAACAAGGACCCCTCTGGATGCCGAGTTGAGAATAGACTCTAATGGGCAGCAGTAGAAGTAAGGATACCTGTCAGTAATCCTGGTGCAAGATGCTGGCAGTGGTAGTGGATGTGTTGAGAAGTAGTCTGATTCTGACTGTATTTTGAAAGTAGAGCCAACAGATTTTTTTTTTTTTCTCAGATTTGGATGTTGGGTATGAGAAAGAGATGAATCAAATATTTATTAAATCCTTTATAATCAAGCACACTTCACCCTCCCTTACCTAACAATTCCTCTTCTAAAATTTAGTTTAAGAAAACAATCGTGTGTAAAGATGTTTGTAAATACAAGAATAGTTATCATAGTAATATATCACAGTAATGAAGATTTAAAAACATGCAAATAATAATGGAGAATCAGCCAAATAAATGCTGGTAAATCCTTTCAGTAGAGTACTATGCAGGCATTAAAATGATCTACAAGTATGTTTTTGGACAAGGAAATGCATTACAAGTATATTTCCAGGTTTAGTTTTTGTATGTATTTTGCTGGGAATTTGAGGTTTCTTTTTTTGTTTTTCAAAATTAGTTTTCAATACTGGGAGTATTTTAATGGGAAGTCATTAGAGGGTATCAGAAACTATTGGTTGCTTCTTTAGTAATGTAGAAGGCTTTCATGTTAACTTTTGATTGGTGAATATTTTGTATCTCTACTTTCAAAGGTAGTTACCTTGTTTTCCTACAATCAAATTGTTGTTAAGGAAATTTTATTTTCTTGCTCTCTTTCAGCAAATCAACTAAGGTAATTTTTGAAAGAAGTTGAATCATTTATTACCTGTTGCATTCTGACATGTATCAGAAGTTGGCAAGTTAAGTGTAATTTAAAATAGTACAAAATTTTATCAAAAAGCTTTGCCATTTCAGAGTAGTTATTTATCTTCCCTCATGTATCATATATGTAACCCCCTAAATAAATGGAATATACTAGAAGAATCATTCCTGTATAACTGTATAAATGGTTGAAATGAAATCAACCATATTGGATCCATAAGCTTATTGGATCCATAAGAACACTTCTCTTTGGTTCACTGAGTGAGTTTGGTTTGCTTTGTTCAGATTTTAAATCAATTTTTATTTAAGTGTTCATAAGATGGAAAATACAAGACTTTTTCTAGGATCATTCCTCTGCTATAAATTATTTGCTTCATATATTTCTATCACACCGAATCTATTATCTGTTCAATCACAAACATTAATTGGAAAATTGAGGATCAGAAACTCCTGTTCTTGGTTCTCTCCTGCCATCTGTCTTCCTCCTTCCCCCAGTGTTTCCCCTCAAATCTCTTGTGATTAAAAAAAAATTTTTGAAATTACTACATAATAAAATAGAATTTTTTATGCACAGTTCTGTGACTTTTGATACATATATTGAGTCATGTAACAGTTACAATACAGAATAGTTCCATCATCCCAGTTATATCCCTTTATAGTCACACAGTCCCCTGGCATCCACTGATCTATAGTTTTGTCTTTTTGAGGATGTTTTATGAAAGGAATAATTTTGAGACTGGCTTTTTTTTTTTCTGAGACAGTCTCGCTCTGTCACCCAGGCTGGAGTGCAGTGGCACGATCTCGACTCACTGCTAGCTCCGCTTCCTAGATTCACACCATTGTCCTGCCTCAGCCTCCGGAGTAGCTGGGACTACAGGCACCCGCCACCACGCCCAGCTAATTTTTTGTATTTTTAGTAGAGACGGGGTTTCACTGTGTTAGCCAGGATGGTCTCGATCTCCTGACCTCGTGATCTGCCTGCCTCGGCCTCCCAAAATGCTGGGATTACAGGCATGAGCCACCGCACCCGGCTGAGACTGGCTTCTTTCACACAGCATAATGCCTTTGAGATTCATCCAAGTTGTTGCACATATCAAGAGTTTGTTCCTTTTTATTGCTGAGTACTATTCCAGCAGTGAATATGTCACACTTTATTCAGATTAACTCATTGGATAATTTCCAGATTTTGGTGATTATGACTAGAGCTGCTATAGACATTTATGTACAGGTTTTGGGTGAATAGGGTTTCATTTACTAGGATAAATGCTCAGGAATGCCATTGTTGTATGGTAAGTATATATTTACATTTATTGGACTCTGCGAAACTCTTTTTCACAGTAGATATATCTATCATTGGGCATTCCCAGTAGCAAAATGTGGGAGTTCCAGTTGCTTTTTATCCTTGTCAGCACGGTTCAGTATATTTTAGCCATTCTGTTAAGTGTTTAGTGATTTTTTAAAACAGTATTATTGAGATAAAATCCACATACCATAAAATTCCCTACTATCTAGGTTTAGAGTATTTTATCACTTCAAAAAGAAACCCCATACTCATTACTAGTCACTTCTTGGGAGGCCGAGGCGGGCGGATCATGAGGTCAAGAGATCAAGAGCATCCTGGCCAATATTGTAAAACCCCGTCTCTACTAAAAAATACAAAAATTAGCTGGACATGGTGGCACGCACCTGTAGTCCCAGCTGCTCGGGAGGCTGAGGCAGGAGAATCACTTGAACCTGGGAGGCGAAAGTTGCAGTGAGCTGAGATTACGCCCCTGCACTCCAGCCTGGGTGACAGTGCAAGACTCTGTCTCAAACAAACAAACAAAAACTAGTCACTCTTCATCTTCCCCCACCCTCCAGCTCCAGGCAACTATTTTACTGTCTACAGATTTGCCTATTCTGGACATTTCATGTAAATGGAATCATACAGTATGTAGTCTTTCATAAGTGACTACTATTGTGTCTGGAATTGGTGGGTTCTTGGTCTCACTGACTTCAAGAATGAAGCCGCGGACCCTCGCGGTGAGCGTTAAGCTCTTAAGGTGGTGCGTCTGGAGTTTGTTCCTTCTGACATTCGGCTGTGTTCGGAGTTTCTTCCTTCTGGTGGGTTCATGGTCTCGCTGGCTCAGGAGTGAAGCTGCAGACCTTCACGGTGAGTGTTACAGCTCTTAAGGCAGCGCGTCTGGAGCTGTTCGTTCCTCCCGGTGGGCTTGTGGTCTCGCTGGCTTCAGGAGTGAAGCTGCAGATCTTCGTGGTGAGTGTTACAGCTCATAAAAGCAGTGTGGACCCAAAGAGTGAGCAGTAGCAAGATTTATTGCAAAGAGCGAAAGAACAAAGCTTCCACAGTGTGGAAGGGGACCCGAGCGGGTTGCCACTGCTGGCTTGGGCAGCCTGCTTTTTATTCTTTTATCCGGCCCCACCCACATCCTGCTGATTGGTAGAGCCGAGTGGTCTGTTTTGACAGGGCGCTGATTGGTGTGTTTACAATCCCTGAGCTAGATACAAAGGTTCTCCACGTCCTCATCAGATTAGTTAGATACAGTGTATCGACACAAAGGTTCTCCAAGGCCCCACCAGAGCAGCTAGATACAGAGTGTCGATTGGTGCATTCACAAACCCTGAGCTAGACACAGGGTGCTGATTGGTGCGTTTACAAACCTTGAGCTAGATACAGAGTGCCGATTGGTGTATTTACAATCCCTGAGCTAGACATAAAGGTTCTCCAAGGCCCCACCAGAGCAGCTAGATACAGAGTGTCGATTGGTGCACTCACAAACCCTGAGCTAACCACAGGGTGCTGATTGGTGTGTTTACAAACCTTGAGCTAGATACAGAGTGCTGATTGGTGTATTTACAATCCCTGAGCTAGACATAAAGGTTCTCCACGTCCCCACCAGACTCAGGAGCCCAGCTGGCTTCGCCCAGTGGATCCCGCACCGGGGCTGCATGTGGAGCTGCCTGCCAGTCCCATGCTGTGCGCTCGCACTCCGCAGGCCTTGGGTGGTTGATGGGACTGGGTGCCGTGGAGCAGGGGGTGGCACTTGTCAGGGAAGCTGGGGTGGCACAGGAGCCTATGGAGGGGGTGGGAGGCTCAGGCATGGCGGGCTGCAGGTCCTGAGCCCTGCCCCGTGGGAAGGCAGCTAAGTCCCAGCTAAGGCTGGCACTGCTGGGGGACCCAGTACACCCTCTGCAGCCGCTAGCCTGGGTGCTAAGCCCCTCATTGCCCGGGGCCGGCAGGGCCAGCCAGCTGCTCCGAGTGCGGGGCCCGCCAAGTCCACGCCCACCCGGAACTCCAGCTAGCCCGCAAGCACCACGGGCAGCACTGGTTCCCGCTCGCGCCTCTCCCTCCACACCACCCTGCAAGCTGAGGGAGCCGGCTCCAGCCTTGGCCAGCCCAGAAAGGGGCTCCCACAGTGCAGCGGTGGGCTGAAGGGCTCCTCAGGTGCCACCAAAGTGGGAGCCCAGGCAGAGGAGGCGCCCAGAGCGAGCAAGGGCTGTGAGGACTGCCAGCACGCTGTCATCTCTCACTATCACTTAACATCTTTAAGTGATAGAAGTGGATGCAAGGTTTATCCATGTTGTAGCATGTATTTGTTCTTTTTTATGGCTGAATAATACTGTATTTTGTGGATATACCACATTTTGTTTATCCATTTATCAATTCATGGACATTTTGGTTGTTTCTACTTTTTGGCTATGAATAACAATGCTGTGAACATAGGTGTACAAATTCTTATGTGGAGATGTGTTTCAGTCCTCTTGGGTAGAACTGCTTGATCACATGGTAACTATTTTTTAATTTATTTTGTTTCTTATTAAAAAAAATTTTTTTTTTTTTTTTTTTTTGAGACAGGGACTCACTCTGTTGCCCAGGCTGGAGCTATGGTGTGATTATGGCTCACTGTAGCCTCAACCTCCCAGGCTCAAGTAATCCTCCCACCTCAGCCTCCTGAGTAGCTGGGACCACAGGCACGTGCCACCATGCCTGATTAATTTTTTGTTTGTTTGTTTTTTGAGACAGAGTCTCGCTCTGTCTCCCAGGCTGGAGTGCAGTGGCGTGATCTCCACTCACTGCAAGCTCTGCCTCCCGGGTTCACGCCATTCTCCTGCCTCAGCCTCCCGAGTAGCTGGGACTACAGGCGCCCACCACCATGCCCGGCTAATTTTTTTATGGGTTTCACCATGTTAGCCAGGATGGTCTCGATCTCCTGACCTTGTGATCCACCTGCCTCGGCCTCCCAAAGTGCTGGGATTACAGGCATGAGCCACCGCGCCCGGCCCATGCCTGAATAGTTTTTAAATTATTTTTTGTAGAGATGAGGTCTCATACTGTGTTGCCCATGCTTGTCTCACACTCCTGGGCTCATCTCCCACATCAGCAGTAACTCTCTGTTTAGCCTTCTGAGGAAAACTGTCAATGTGTTTTCTAAAGTGGTTGCACCATTTTACAATCCCTTCAGCACTGTATGAGGGTTCTAATTTAACCACATTTTATCAACATTTGTTACTGCCCATGTTGTCATCTAGTGGGTGTCAAGTGGTATCTCATTGTGATTTTGATTTGTATTTTCCTAGACTGATGATGTGGAGCATCTTTTCTTGTGCTTATTGACCATTTGCATATATTCTTTGGGGAAATATGTATTCTGATTCTTTGCCCATTTTAAAATTGTTATTTATCTTTTTATTGTTGAATTGTAATAGTTTTTTACGTGTTCTGGACACAAATCCCTTCTCAGGCATATAATTTGCAGATATTTTCTCCCATTTTTTGGTTTGTCTTTCACTTTCTTGGTGGTGTCCTTTGAAGCACAAAAATTTTTAATTTTGATGGAGTCCAGTTTATCCATTTTTGGTGGTGATGTTTGTACTTTTGGTGTTGCGTCTAGGAAACCACTACTTAACCCAAGGCCATGAAGATTTACACCTTTGTTTTGTTCTAAGAGTTTTATGGTTTTAGCTTATACATTTAGGTCTGATTCATTTTGAATTGATTTTTGAGAACAGCATATGGTAGGTATCCAACTTCATTCTTTTGCATGTGGATATCCAGTTGCCTGAGCACCATTTGCTGAGAAGACTCTTATTTCCTCACTGAATTGTCTTGGCACCCTTGTCAAAAATCACTTTCCCATAAACATCGTATTTCCAGATAATTCTGTTCTATTCATTTATGTGTCCATTTTTATGCCAGTACTACATTGTCTTACGATTGTAGCATTTAGTTTTGAAATTGGGAAGTGGGGGTCCTCCAACTTTGTTCTTTTTTAAGATTGTTTTGGCTAGAATGAGATTTTATAAACATAAATTGGAGAAAGTAACTCCATGCATGAAATATTCAAATCAGTGATACCTGACTACGTCTATCATAAAATTCATATCTTTAACTTGACCTACAAGATTTGTGATCTGACCTCTGCCCAGTTTGACCTTTCACCCACTTTCCCTCTTGGTCACTGCCTTGCAGCTTCATTGGCCTACTTCCTGCTTCTTTTTTTTTCTGAGACAAGAGTGTCTCTCTCTCACCCAGCATGGAGTGCAGTGGCGTGATCTTGGTTCACTGCAACCTTCGTCTTCCAGATTCAAACAATTCTCCTGCCTCAGCCTCCGGAGTAGCTGGGATTACAGGCATGTGCCACCACGGCTAATTTTTGTATTTTTAGTACAGACAGGGTTTCACCATTTTGGCCAGGCTGGTCTCAAACTCTTGACCTCAGGTGATCCACCCGCCTTGACCTCCCAAAGTGCTGGGATCACAAACGTGAGCCACCATGCCTGGCCTACTTCCTGCTTCTTGAATGCGTTAAAACGCCTTCCCGTTACATGGCTTTTGCATATCTACGTACTTTTTCTTGGAATGCTCTTCCCTTCACTAATTCCTACTCATTCTTCAGGTCTTAGCCTAAATGCCATTTTAAAAGAAAGACTGTTCTTTTTATTTTTAAAATATTGCTTTATCTTTTCCTAGTTAGAAAAGCAACATACAAGTTCTTTAAAGCAAGCTTGAAAAATAAAAGCATGGCTACACACACACACACACACACACACACACACAGACACACACACACACACGGAAACCATAGGACAAGCATTTAATGTTTCAGTGCCATCAAATGTCAGCTTGTTATTGGTCGTTTGGGTTTTTCATTTTTTCTGTTTGGAAGCCTGCAGAATTTTTCGTGCTTGGAATTGCCAAGATGTGTCCAGATTGGGTCTGTTACCATTTGTTTTGCTCTATGGATGTATAGATCCTTACATCTATAGTGTCTGTTTACATTCAGGGAAGTTTTGTTTGTTTGTTTGTTTGTTTGTTTTTTGGAGACGGAGTCTCGTTCTGTCTCCCAGGTCGGAGTGCGGTGGCAGGATCTCAGCTCACTGCAAGCTCCACCTCCCGGGTTCATGCCATTCTCCTGCCTCAGCCTCCCCAGTAGCTGGGACTACAGGTGCCCGCCAACACGCCTGGCTAATTTTTTGTATTTTTAGTAGAGATGGGGTTTCACCGTAGCAAGGATGGTCTCGATCTCCTGACCTCATGATCTGCCCACCTTGGCCTCCCAAAGTGCTAGGATTACAGGTGTGAGCCTCCGCGCCCAGCCGGAAGCTTTCTTTTTTTGAATCTGTAATATGGTTTTACTTTCTTTAACCAAAATGTTATTGTATAATAGGATCGACTCTTCTCTGTTTTCTACATTATTCTCTTTTCTTGCCATTGTTTCCTTTTCTTTCTACCTGGCTCCTTTTGAATTGAACATTAGGATATCATCTTAAGTGTGTCTTTTAACATAATGGATGCAATGTTCTGCATAGATTTTTTTTTTTTTTTTTTTGAGACAGAGTCTTGCTCTGTCGCCCAGACTGGAGTACAATGGCGCGAACTCGGCTCGCTGCAAGCTCCGCCTCCCGGGTTCACGTCACGCCATTCTCCTGCATAGACATTTTAATGCTATATTGCCACCAATTATCTTAATACTTTTTTCTTTGCAGTTTTTTCTTATTAAGCTGATATTTTAATCTCAACCTAGTCTTTGTGATTCTTTGTTGAAGCTTTATATAGTGCCTGGCACAAAACTATGTGCTCAAACATATATTGAATGAATGATTAAAAGAGTATACACATGAATAAATAAGAACCAGTTCTTAGTTGGTGTATTCTACTGAGACTGTCAAAGTACTTCTCTAGTAATGAATTCCTTTTTTAAAAAAAAGCTGTATTGAAGTGTAATTTATATATATAGTATGTGAACTTCCAAAATCTGAGACAGGTATCAGTTAGTTTAGAAAGTTTATTTTGCCAAGGTTGGGGAACACGCCTGTGAAGCAGCCTCAGGAAGTCCTGATGACGTGTGCCCAAGGTAGTTGAGATACAGCTTGGTTTTATACATTTTAGGGAGACATGAGACATCAATCAATATATGTAAGAAGTACATTGGTTCCGTTTGGAAAGGTGGGACAGCTCGAAGCAAAGGCAGGAAGACTTGAAGCGGGGAAGGGGCTTCCAGGTCACTGATAGGTGAGAGACGCACAGTTGCATTCTTTTGAGTTTCTGATTAGCCTTTCCAAAGGAGGCAATCATATATGCATCTATCTGTCTGACTGAGACTGATACCTGTCTCAGACTTTGGAGGTTCACATACTATATATATAAATTACACTTCAATACAGCTTTTTTTTAAAAAAAGGAATTCATTACTAGAAAAATACTTTGACAGACAGTGAGCAGAGGGATGACTTTGAATAGAATGGGAGGCAGGTTTGCCATAAGCAGTTCCCAGCTTGACTTTTCCCTTTAGCTTAGTGATTTGGGGGCCCCAAGATTTATTTTCCTTTCACAAGTATGAGGGTGTAATTCAATAATTTTTTAGTAGATTTTATAGGGTTGTACAACTATGACAACAGTTCAGTTTTAGAACAGTTCAGTCACCGCAAAAAGTTCCTTCATGTAAGCTTGCACTTAAATCCCTGCTTTTTCACTCTGTCTCTATAAATTTGCCTTGTCATTTAAATGTGTGCTTATGTTGCTCTCATATATATATGTATATACACACACACACTTTTAGGATTGTTTATATCTAAACAACTTTAATGAAGTATATATAGTGTAAGGTATATGTACTTTATTTAAGTATATATACTTAATGTATATATACTGCCTTTGCTTTGAGCTGTCCCACCTTTCCAAACGGAACCAATGTACTTCTTACATATATTGATTGATGTCTCATGTCTCCCTAAAATGTATAAAACCAAGCTGTATCTCAACCACCTTGGGCACAGGTCATCAGGACTTCCTGAGGCTGTTTCACAGGCGTGTTCCCCAACCTTGGCAAAATAGACTTTCTAAATTAACTGATACCTGTCTTAGGTTTTGGAAGTTCACATACTATATATAAATTACACTTCAATAAAGCTTTTTTAAAAACAAGTGTGCACACACTTTATAATTGTTTTCATTTTTAAGCATGGCTTTCTAGGAGTTGCCTTCCTGTCTGCATAGCTTAGTGATCAGTGGTCACCCAGTGCTTGGACAGTGGTTGCCTCAGACATCTTGAGCCAGTAAGGCATTTGTCCTCTGCCAGTAGATCTCTGTGGGTAGGGAGCACATACAAAGTTTAGGCTTTTTCAGATCTGCTGTCTTTTACTTTCCACCCAGTCCTTTCATGTCTCCTCTGTGCCTGCATGCCACTTCTGGGTTGGCCAACAAATGTGCCCCACCCAGACTGCAACCTCCACCTTCTAGAGCTGTTCACCCTCTCACTCGCCTCCCACCTGCTCCATCACTTACTCTGACAGTGCAGGTGGTCATGTGCGTTCTTCCCCACTCCAAACTCAGTGAACTGTCAGTCCTAATGGTTTGCCTTGCCCTGCTCTGCCTTGCAGAACCTCTGTACCTACTGAATGAGTAGATGAGGTGGGAGTAACCTTACACAGACCCTCATTGTTCTTACCCACCTTTTAGCAGTTTTTCAAGCATAAATGCTTCTCAGGTTGTTGTATTCTTCTGGTGGATTTCCAGAGCACTGAAAGGGTTGTTTTGCCCATTTCACCCAGCTTTATCATTGGTTTTTGGGGAGAGGAATTAACTACCTTCTCACTAGGCTGTAGCTGGAAGTCTTCCCTCTCAGAATGTATTTTTTAGTGTAGTTAGTCATTTCCCCAGGTATATTTACTGTATCCTTAGGGTTCTCCAGAAAAACAAAACCAAACCCCTGTGTTAGGGTTTTACAGAAAAACAACCAGTAGTCAGGGTAAGGCAAACCATTAGGACTGGCTGCTTTGCTAGTGGGTTGGAAGGGATCTCACTGAATTTAGAGTGGTGGGTAACGCGCATGCCCACTCTGTATATGGGGAGGGGTCGGGGGTAGGGAGAGAAAGAGACTGATTTTAAGGAATTCACTTATGCGATTGTGGGGCTTTCAAGTCTGAAATTCACAGGGCAGTTGGGCAGAGATGAGTTGATGTTGCAGTCTTGTTCCCGGACCAAACTGAGGGTCGGGTTGCTGTTTCTTGTGGCCCAATAACGAGATGCAGATGAACTGGGGAGGAAGAGAGTTTTTATTTCTGTAACTGTTACAGGGAGGCCTGGAAATTATCACCAGACCGACTTAAAATTACAAAGTTTTTCTGAGCTTATGTACCTTCTAACCTATATGTCTGCATGTAAGTGTGCATTCATCTGAAGATGTAAGTGATTAACTTCTTTTAATCTGTAACTAAAGTCTGAGTCCTGAAGCCCTTCTTCTGGAGCCTCAGTAAGTTTACTTCATCTAAGTGGGTCTAGGTTCTGGGGTGATTACCCTTATCTTATCTCCTGCTAAATCACGGAGATTTGGAGAGTTCCTTCAGACCTCCAATAAACTTGTTTGTGGAGGCCTGGGGAGTTTCTTCAGACCCCTAATAAAACTTGTTTAATCCTAAATGGGTCCTGTTAAGAATTCCTTCGTTATTTTGTCATGCTTTAAGGCCCAGGAAAGGCCTGGGCAAAACTCTTGGTGCGCTTTTGTTACATTCCAGCCTTTGTATAACAGCACTGGCTTTTTTTTTTTTTTTTTTAGCTTTTAATATTTAACTTAACCACTCAGTCAGTACTGAAACAGTTGTTATGGAGGCCTGCGTTAGTGAGACCTGGCCTGCCACAGTCTTAACTCCAGATTCTGCTCGGTAGCAGGCTGGACACACAGGCAGGGTTTCTATGTTGTAGTTCTTTTCCAGGAAACCTCAGTCTTTGCTCTTAAAGCCTTTACCTGTTAGATGAGGCCTTCCTGTATTATGGAGGGTAATCCACTTTACTAGAAATCTGTTGATTTAAGTGTTAATCACATCTAAAATATACCTTCACAGACATATCTAGATTGGTGTTTGATCAAACAACTGGACACCAAAGTCTAGCCAAGTTGACACATAAAATTAACTGTCACACTTGCCTTCTGAGGATTCAGGGTAAATTATTTTGGTGTACATGTAGTCTGGTTGCTGTCTGTTTCCCACTGTATACCCTTGCTCTAGCTAAACTAGCAGCTCCAGCTGTTTCATATACATGCTTCTGCTTTTGCACATCCATGTCTTTGGTCATAGTGTACCTGCAGCATGGAGTGCTTCCTGTGTCCAGATCTTACCTGTCCTTCTGAGGATTAGATCACAGATACTTATACATACAATTTTGTTTGCAGCCTATACACTAGCTTTCCTAAACTTCTTCCTGTCACCTAATTATGCTGTGTTCTGTCTTGCCATTGTGCTTTTGCACACAAGTTCCTTTGGTTTAGAATATCCCTCCCTCTGTCTTTTCTTTCTTAAAGAGACAGGGTCTCAGTGTGGGCTGGTCTCGAACTCCTGAGCTCAAATGATCCTCCCATCTCGGTCTCCCAAAGAGCTGTGATTACAGGCGTAAGCTGCTGCACCTGGTCCTTCCTTCCTACTTTCTGTAAAACTTTTACAGCTTCCTCAGGTCAATTACATGCTCCTTTTCATTATGCTCCCATTGTCCCTTTGCGTATTTCCACGGAGGCACTCATCACATTTTATTGTTATTGTTTACATATCTGTCTGTCAAAAGGCTTTGTTTTCCAACAGCAGAAGTTACTATACTGTTTTCCTTTTCAAAGTTGGTCCTCAGTCGAGCCTATCTGGTCTGTAGTACCTAAATAAATTGTGGGATAATAAACTGAATCTCTGTTAAAGATTTGGAAGTTGTTTCATATTTCTTCTATAATTTCTCATTGTTAGAATGTGGAGATAATGACTGCTTGGAGGTAAAGCAAGTCTGAATAGCAGAGATCAGCCTTGGGTTGGACTCCAGACATTCTTGGGCTTATTAAATATTTGGTTGACTCACTGATAGAAATAGTTTTATTTATTTTCCATTCTTTACCAGGTACATAGCTTCAAAATTACTTCATTAACAAAAGCTGTTTCTGATTATAAACATTGATTTATTTTTACTCAAATTTGTATATACTGTATATACTGAGTAAAACAAATTTTACTCATTTGTTTTTGTTTTGTTTTGTTTTGTTTTGTTTTTTTGAGACAGAGTCTTGCTTTGTTGCCTAGGCTGGAGTGCAGTGGCATGATCTCAGCTCACTGCAAGCTCTGCCTCCTGGATTCATGCCATTCTCCTGCCTCAGCCTCCCGAGTAGCTGGGACTACAGGCACCCGCCACCATGCCCAGCTAATTTTTTTTGTATTTTTTTTTAGTAGAGATGGGGTTTCACCGTGTTGGCCGGGATGGTCTCCATCTCCTGACCTCGTGATCCGCCCGCCTCGGCCTCCCAAAGTGCTGGGATTACAGGTGTGAGCCACCGCGCCCGGTCTCAATTTTGTTTTAAGAATATCAAAGAATCCAAGACTGTTTCAGCTTCTTTCTACCTAAAATGCAGTGGTGATAACTGGTGACTGATTTGTAAGCAATCTCAATGTAATGATAAATAACCTTTTCCTTTCTCTACTAGATGTTGGTTATCTTTCTGAAGTAGACTGTCCATGGCCTGAACATTTTCCGAAAATCATTTTGAGCAAAATATCTGTTTAATAACAAGATAACCACATCAAGATGGTTGGAAAGCTGAAGCAGAACTTACTATTGGCATGTCTGGTGATTAGTTCTGTGACTGTGTTTTACCTGGGCCAGCATGCCATGGAATGCCATCACCGGATAGAGGAACGTAGCCAGCCAGTCAAATTGGAGAGCACAAGGACCACTGTGAGAACTGGCCTGGACCTCAAAGCCAACAAAACCTTTGCCTATCACAAAGATATGCCTTTAATATTTATTGGAGGTGTGCCTCGGAGTGGAACCACACTCATGAGGGCCATGCTGGACGCACATCCTGACATTCGCTGTGGAGAGGAAACCAGGGTCATTCCCCGAATCCTGGCCCTGAAGCAGATGTGGTCACGGTCAAGTAAAGAGAAGATCCGCCTGGATGAGGCTGGTGTTACTGATGAAGTGCTGGATTCTGCCATGCAAGCCTTCTTACTAGAAATTATCGTTAAGCATGGGGAGCCAGCCCCTTATTTATGTAATAAAGATCCTTTTGCCCTGAAATCTTTAACTTACCTTTCTAGGTTATTCCCCAATGCCAAATTTCTCCTGATGGTCCGAGATGGCCGGGCATCAGTACATTCAATGATTTCTCGAAAAGTTACTATAGCTGGATTTGATCTGAACAGCTATAGGGACTGTTTGACAAAGTGGAATCGTGCTATAGAGACCATGTATAACCAGTGTATGGAGGTTGGTTATAAAAAGTGCATGTTGGTTCACTATGAACAACTTGTCTTACATCCTGAACGGTGGATGAGAACACTCTTAAAGTTCCTCCAGATTCCATGGAACCACTCAGTATTGCACCATGAAGAGATGATTGGGAAAGCTGGGGGAGTGTCTCTGTCAAAGTGAGTAGAAGATACGTTTTTTATTTTGACTCTATATTTAGCTAATAATGATCTATACATATGTATGTATGTGTTTTATGTATATATGTGTGTATGTTCCTGTGTGTATATATAGAAACTGAAGACCTTTTCTGGAACAGATACAGCTTCATTGATGAGGTTTCTTTTTTTATTAATTCTCTACTAGTTTATTACAGATGTTCACTTATTTATACTTCATTTTTTCATTTATATATCGTGGCCCTCTTTATTTGTTTGATGGATACAAACCCACCTTACAGGCGGTGAAAAGCCTTCTTCAGGGTCTCAGACCTTAATGCCAATCATTCAGTTTTAGTGGCTTCTGATTTCTAATTTCTAGATATTGTTGTTAATGAGGATAGTTGGCTTTTGTGTGGATTAAGGTTAAAATCAGGAAGTGCATATATCATGTTAATGAGCACATAGTGAATTATAAGCATTTTGAAATTTTTAGTGGTAGAGAAAAATAAAAGCTTCGTCTAACCTAATCTCTTCATTTTATGGACAAGAAGACTGAGTCACAGTAAGATTAAAACGATTTGTTCAGATTTAGATGGCAAGGCCAGAATTCGAATCTGTGCCTTGGTCTCAATGAGGTCGTGCTTTTCTCCGTGGCATTTTACTACGTGTTGTGCTTCCTTTGTCATCTGAAGGATATAACCTCTCTTATTTTTTACAAAAGGCTAGAGAATCTCCAAAATTTGGAAGCCTAATCCATACAAGAAGTTCCTTGGATTCAAAACTTCTCAAATGATGATTTTTAGCATTTTGCTTCTTTTCTTATGAAGTGACAACTAGTATACCCTCTAACCTGTCTTGATGACTTATATACCTGGAATGAGGATATAAAAATGGAAACTACTATTAAATTCAGGTAGCATCTCTTCATGAAGAAGAGTTGGCTATAACTAAATTTTATTTTTGTTTTTTTTCTTTTATCAAAGTAATATATAACACCTGTAAAAAAGAAATATATAAGGTGTTATATATACATATATAAAAAGAAATATAAAAGGTGTTATATATACTTTTTATCAAAGTAATATATAACACCTGTAAAAAATACTTTCCTTGTGTGCCCTTCTTACTTTCACCAAGGAATATCTGCTTAATTTTTTTTTGCTGTATAGAACTTGTATAGTAAATAGATTTCTTATGTAGATAATCTCAAAGGAACAGCTGCCTGCCTGTACCAAGCTTTCAATTATTGATTATAAGTTATGACATACCATCATTGTAGTGGCTCTAGGTTGTTTTTATTGATTCAAAGAAAATTTCAGCTCTGGCTACTCTGATTGCAGTTTATTATTATTTCCAGATAATAGACTATAATTGATTTTTAATCACCTGTATTAGGTATTTCAGTCTTTGTGCTTGTATGTTGGCCCGGCACCGATGCCACCTACATCTGCTAATATAAAAGGAGGCCATTAGACCACCAGCCTCTTCAGTAGGGATTAAAGAGATATGCTTAAGTTAAATTTTGGTGCTAATCAGGAAGAGAACATTTTGTGTATATACTTGCTATGTTTAAGGTAAACATAAAGGCCAAGAAAATTCATAGAAATTATATTATGAATTAATGAATTTTAGAAAGTAAAGAGATGTTACTTAGCATTTCAGTATGTGGAATGGAGGCCCTGTAAGGCTCTATGTTTTTTCAAAAATTAACATGTCACAATCATGAGTAGAACCTACCATGCTTATTCCAAGATTTTTGCATTTGGGGTCTTTCTAGTTTGGGGCTATTATGGATCAAAGTTGCTAAGAACGTTCTTGTACATTACTTTTGGTGGATATAGCATTCATTTCTTTTAGGTATATACCAATGAATAGAATTGCTGGATGACAAGGGGTGTGTGTGTGTGTGTGTGTGTTTGTGTGTGTGTGTGTGTGTTTAACAGATACTTTCTAACAGTTTTCCAAAGTGTCTCTATCATTCATGTATGGCTGTACTGTAAATGAACATGTTCTAGTTGCCTCACATCTTTACCAACACTTGGTATTTTAGTCTTTTCTGGTAGGCTACAATTGTTTTTTAAAACTTAAAAGCAAAATAATATTTGAACCCCTTTTTGAAAGAAAATCTTACCCAGAATTCCAATATAAAACAAGAGCTGCTTTGGTTGAGGTGAGTCTAAACTAGACCATATTTCCTTCTTTTGTTTTTGAGATGGAGTCTCTCTGTGTCATCCAGGCTGGAGTGCAGTGGCATGATCTCTGCTCACTGCAACCTCCATCTCCCAGGCTCAGGTGATCCTCCCATCTCAGCCTCCCGAGTAGCTGGGATTACAGGCACGCATCACCATGCCCAGCTAATTTTTTTTTTTTTTTTTTGTATTTTTGGTAGAGCCCCATGTTGGCCAGACTGGTCTCAAACTCCTGAGTTCAGGCAATCCATGTACCTCAGCCTCCCAGAGTACTGGGGTTACAGGTGTGAGCCACTATGCCTGGCCAGCCATACTTCTTTTTTAAAGATTGAATCCCTACTCTCAAAAACTGCTTTTTGGGGAATAAGGCAGAAAATACAAAATTATTACATAGTGCCAAGTTGTAAATATCCCATGTTCATTATAATAAAGAATTTATTGCCCACAGTCAGTCATCCTGTGTGCTTTTCGTTTTATTTAAACATTTTTATTCTGGGAAATTTTTTTTTTTTTTTTTTTTTCTTCGAGACGGAGTCTTGCTCTGTCGCCCAGGCTGGAGTGCAGTGGCATGATCTCGGCTCACTGCGAGCTCGGCCTCCCAGGTTCACGCCATTCTCCTGCCTCAGCCTCCTGAGTAGGTGGGACTATAGGTGCCCCCCACCACGCCCAGCTAATTTTTTTATTTTTATTTTTAGTGGAGACAGGGTTTCGCCATGTTAGCCAGGATGGTCTCGATCTCCTGACCTCGTGATCTGCCTGCCTCGGCCTCCCAAAGTGCTGGGATTACAGGCGTGAGCCACCGCGCCTGGCCGAAAATTGTTTAAAGTAAATATTTTAATACTTAGTTCAGTATTACTTAGTATTACAATACTTAAATATTTAGGCAGCCTTGAAGGTTTGAAGATGTCACCAGATGGCCTAGGGATACTTGTAGAAGCTGTTGAAAATAGAGATATCAGGAGACCTTCACAGTTCTGCCTCTTATCTTGTTAATTTTTGAGAGTTAACCTTTACTTTGCTTAGAAATTTCCAGTTATTTACAGTCAGGGTGGCATCTCTTGCGTCTCTGGGCTGTTCCAGTTACAGAAAAGTCAGAGGCTCCTGCTCAAGTATCTTGAAAAGAAAGCAGAAGTAAAGTTTGAGGCTATTTACGTTGCCCTCTTCTCATGGTTTGTGGAATTTTTTGTGGAATTTTAGTTGTCTCCATCAGGGAACTTTTGGGAAGTTACAAGAGCGTACAGTTACTTCTGTTATTAAACTCATTATGATACCATGAAATTACGTGGAACAAATAAAAGTCAAGTTTGCTAGGTCAAAAGAGCAAATCCAGAAAAGCAGATTAATGTAACAGTGACGCTTAGACAACAAGTACAGGAATCACAACTACAATTCAGAGACGAGTTCTTATCTACACTTAGGGCAGAAAGAGAATATAGCAACTATTAAACACAAATAAATTAGAATGAAAAAGATAATAGTAGTGATAAGTACAAGAGAACAAATAAGAACATGAAAACTGACACCCTACAGCTTCTAATAAGTAAAGCAGACAAAAAATCCTCTAAATCAGATCAAAAGCAAAGAAAGACTGAATAAATGAGTGAAAATAATGTAAAAAGGTTTTTGGAAATGGAGACATTTTTGAGGAAGTAGGAAGAATAATTAGTAATTTATTAAATTCATAACTTTCTTTTTAATATAGAAAGTGAAATTTAGTTTTGTTAAAGAAAAAATTATTCAGTGATACCTGCTAAGGCATGAGGCAGTGTTTATTTAGCACCACTGCAGGAGGTACAGGGACCACTGCAGTCGGGTCTTGCAGTGGGGAATAGAGATTGGACTTAACTCTGAATACAGCATGGGCAAGTGAGAATTTGTAGCCAGAGAGTAAGGTGAGGGTCAGTGGATGGAAAATTACTACGAGGAAACATCAGGGGTCAGGGGCATTCTGGCTAAATTTACCTGATAGGATTCTCACTGAAGACAGGCCGGGGTGATCAGACATCACCTGGAGGGTGGTGGAGGATGAGAAACCCGATCAGATCCTGAGAGTGATTAGATATCAAGGGTAGGAGGTTCTTGCTAAACTGCCTTAGCAGGGTTCTTTGCTAAAACTGGATTTTATAAAGAAGTGCACAGATGGTCCTAGGAGAAGGTTCAGGAGCCTGACTGAAGTTTGGTCACACAAAGAATCTTTGTCAGTTTGGAAACTTAAAATTCTTATGTCTTATGGGATTAACAGAAAGATAACTCAATAGCCACTTGAAATTCTTCTGAAATTTAAGGATAACAAGAATATTTTGAGCAAGTGAAGAGAATGACAGACCATATTCACAAAGATATGAGCATTAATAGCATGGAAAATTAACAGCAGGCAAATTAGGATCACCTGAGCTCTACTAGCTCAGTCTGAAATATCCCAGAAGAATTTTATAAATATTACATGTGGTGTTTTGTTTTTGTTTTTGTTTTCATGAAGCTATCAGAGAACAAGTCTGTTTATTTGTGAAAACTTCTCCTTTGTGAAGGCACTGCCTAAGGATGCTATTGGGCTATTGGGGTTGTGTCTTTTTTGGTTTTTTTTTTGGAGACAGGGTCTTGCTCCATCACCCAGGCTGGAGTATAGTGGCAAGATTGTAGCTCACTGCAGCCTTGAACTCCTGGGTTCAAATGATCTTCCCACCTTAGCTTCCTGTTAGTAGCTGGGATTACAGGTGCATGCCATCATGCCTGGCTAATTTTTTTTTTTTTTTTTTTTTTTTTTTTTGGTGGAGACAGGGTCTCACTATGTGTTACCCAGGCTGGATTCGAACTCCTGGCCTCAAGCAGTCTTCCTGCCATGGCCTCCCAAAGTGCTGGGATTACCGCTGTGAGCTGCCATGCCCAGCCTCCTTTTACAAGCTATATTGAAGAGAGAAGTGACTGAGACATCTTAGCTGGAGAGGAGGAATTGAATAAACAAGGGATACAAGTGACAGAGTAAAATGGGCTGTGAAAGGAAATCAGAGAGCTGATGAAACATTGCATTTCAAAGTGTGTCAGGGAAAGATTGAGAAGAAGCAGAACCAGAACATGAATTAATAAGGCAACATTTGTACTTTTCTTGGAGAATATAGCAATTGGTAGCAAAAATTAGAAGTTGGATATCAGATCATTTATTAGTTTGATTAGATTTCTCTACAAATAGTAGAGATCCAAAATAACAAAGATTTCCAAATAATGACTACTATGTAGAAGGCAGACCAGGGCTGCTTTGTCAGCTTTGCAGTCATCTGGCATTTAGGCTGCTTCCAGCTTTTGTCTCCATCATCCCCAGGATCCAAGTTGGAGCGCCAGTCATTTCATCTACATTCTAAGCAGCACAGCAGGGGTGGATGTGTGTAAAACAAATGGCGTTTAGTATTTTTTGAGGATATTTCTTAGAAGCTTCCAGGTAGTACTTCTTGCTTTTCACTGGCCATAACTGGGGTTCCTTTTACTAAGAAAAATCAATTGGATATTGGGATAGGCAGATAGTAGTCTCTGCTACATTATTGAGCACCTACTATGTGCCAGACACTGTGTTAGCTCCTTGAGATAAAAGGTCTTTGCCTTAAAGGAACATATGATCTAATAGAAGACTTAGATTCATATATAATGCAGGGTTAAGAACTATGGTCACCACTGCTTCTTCATTGGTGAATAATTAAAAACAAACAAAAAGAGGCCAGGCACAGTGGCTCACACCTGTAATCCCAGCACTTTGGGAGGCTGGGGTGGGCAGATCACCTGAGGGCAGTAGTTCAAGACCAGCCTGACCAACATGGTGAAACCCCATCTCTACTAAAAATACAAAAATTAGCCAGGGGTGGTGGCCCATGCCTGTAAACCCAGCTACTCGGGAGGCTGAGGCAGGAGAATCACTTGAACCTGGGAGGTGGAGGTTCCAGTGAGCTGAGGTCGTGCCACTGCACTCCAGCCTGGGTGACAGAGCAAAACTCTGAACAACAACAACAACAACAAAGAACTATGGAAAACCAAGGAGAGGTGCCTAACCCAGTCTGAGGTGTTCAGAGAGGTCATCTTGGGCAATGTGTCATGAAACTGAGCCCTAAAGAAGGGTTTCCTCAAGCTTGGTATGACATTTTAGTCAGATAATTATTTGTTGTGGCAGCCATCCAAGATGATCAACAGATAAAGGGAAGCGCATTTAGTTTTGACTTAGGGAATATTGTGCTCCCTGGGTGACCCATGGTTAAGGCGCTGTAGTTCTTCCTTGACTGTCCAGAATGTCTTTCCTTTTCCTTAGCCAATGAGCCACCCAAGAAATGTTACTCCTGGGAGAAGCCTGTGCCTAACTGTGGTTTACAGAATTCAAAGGGAAGAGGTAGTATGGAGGACTCCTTGTGGCTTCACTCCTGGCCCAACCCAGGGCCTCAAAAGGACCTAAGGAACAACTACGCCCTGTTATGCCTGACCTATGGACCCTACCCTCTTGACCATATAATGGAAGTCAGCTAAGCTTAGTCCCACCTGGACCTAGAACATGGTGTTTGTTTCCCATAGGTGAATATATTTTTGAAAAATATATTTTTGAAAAATAAGTAAAACAAAACCAAATCAGGAAATAATCATTGAGAAGTTACAATATGAACACCTTAACAAAGATGAGTAACAATGTGGTGTTTTTTGCTAGAGAGTTCATTTCCAGGCAGGAAGTAGTGTGAAACAAGGTTTGAGAGAAATGATGCGGACCAGGCTTTGGAGGGCCTTATATTTTAAGCTAAAGATATTGAATTTTAAGCCAGTTGCCTTCAGACTTCTCTTATTAGTGGAGCACCCTTTTTTTCAAGTGAAATCTTGTTCGGAACCTTGGTAGATGATGTACTTGGAAGTGAAGTGGCCCTCCTTTAGGCAGCATTTAATTTTGGTTGGATTTAACAAAGAAAACTGAAGTGAAGCTCATGGAATTGCAAAACTACAATTTTGTTTTTAAAAGAAAAACATTGATTGTAATGTGTAAAATTTACAAAACTGATACACTTTTAATTGGGATTATATTGGTTTATAAAAACATTTAGTGTTTTTTTTTTTTTTTTTTGAGACAGAGTCTCGCACTGTCTTCTGGGCTGGAGTGCAATGGCATGATCTCGGCTCACTGCAACCTCTGCCTCACGAGTTCAAGTGACTCTTCTGCCTCAGCTTCCTGAGTAGCTGGGATTGCAGGTGCGTGCCACCACACCCAGCTAATTTTTTTTTTGTGTGTGTGTTTTTAATAGAGATGGGGTTTCACCATGTTAGCCAGGATGGCCTTGATCTCCTGACCTCATGATCCGCCTGCCTCGGCCTCCCAAAGTGCTGGGATTATAGGCGTGAGCCACCGTGCCTGGCTCAAAACATTTAGTTTTAATAGGCATTTTAGGGTATGTCTTAGTCCATTTGGGCTGCTATAACAAAATACCACAAACTGGGTTCTTACAAACACAGAAGTTGATTTCTCGCAGTTTTGGAGGCTGGGATGTCCAAGATCAGGCACTGATGGATTCAGCATCTAGTAAGGGCCTGCTGTCTGGTTCATAGATGGCACCTTGTGTCCTCACATGGTAAAGGAGGTGAAGAATCTCTCCCTGGCCTCTTTTGTAAGTGCACTAATAAGGACACTTCCCAAGTTCCCATCTCCTAATACAGTCACATTGGTGATTAGGTTTTAACATGAATTTGGGGGGACACAAACATTCAGTCCATAATGAGGTATAAAACTTAGAAGATTCCTGTTTTTTTTAAAAAAATTCTTTTTTTTTTTTAAGATTTAAAATGTAAGCCTAGTTCAGAGTATTTTGCCAAGATGAAGTGTAGGGCAAATTGGATCTTTAAGTAGAGTAACCTATTACATTGATTAACTACTGTCAAAGAAAAGCCAAGCACATCAAGGGAATTATGGTTGGTACCCATCCAGATATTATACATGAATTCATGGTTCCTCCTTGGTCCTTTTCTGAATTACCTGTCTAATGAAGAATTATTTCATTGTTTTTGAAAACATCCTTACATTTCCTCATTGCTGAAAATCATGTTTTCAAACATCAACCATTCATCACAATCACATACAGAACCTTTAAAAGACCTAAAATTTCTGATTCAGGAGGTCTGGGATAGGCCCAAGAACTTGCGCTTCTAACAGGTTTCCCGGTGATGCTAATGTTCCTGGCCTGATTTCACTTTGAGAACCACTGCTTAAAATCATGCTACGTTTTGTTTGCTTCATTTGTGGACTCAGACTTTCTTGCCCCTACAGCCTGGGCTGCAGCCACACTGAAATAATTGTAGCTACAATTATTGCCACACCATTTATTTAATCAGTTCCTTTGAATGTGTTGTTTCCTGTGCCTGCAACACCTTTCTCTCACTTCATTTCTTCATCTGACCAACTCATGGTTGTATTTCAAGATTTAGTTCAGGTTTCCTTTCCCTAAGGAAGATCTCTCCAAGGCCCCCCTCTGTCTGGGATGTACTTCCTATGCTTTCATGAGACACTTGGCAAATGGAAAAGGGTTGATACTTTGAAGCTGGCTAGACTTTGTTTAAAGTCTTTCATTGACACTAACTGGTTTTGTAACATTGCATCAAATACTATCTCTCTCCGTGTCTCCATTTTCTTATCTATAAAACAGGGAAGATGGTGATGATGGTAATGATACCATCCAACATCTACTGAACATTTGTTATGTGCCAGGCAGTATGCTGAGCTCTCTGTGTGCCTTATCTCATTTAGTTTTTATATTTACCCTTTCACACTCACCCATAGGTGCCTTAAACATCTTAATTTTATAGATGAGGGACTTGAGGCTCCCAGAAGTTGAGGAGCTTGTCCTCCGTCCCACAGTTGGAAGATGGTAGAGCCAGGCTGTGGACTCAGGTCTTTGTCTTCATCTATACTTTTAGCTCTTGTTGTATATACTTACAGCATTTATGAAGACAAACTAAAACAGTGTGACAGTGGCTAAGCACACGTTTTAGAGTCAGACAGACATAGGTTCAAATCCTAGCACTGTCCTTTATTGATTATGTGACCTTGAGTGAGTTATTTGGTTTTGTCTAGTCTTGGTTATCTCATCTTTCCTTTAGTTTTCTTATCCTGGAAATGGGAATGATAATATGTTAGATCCCCCTTATCTGCAGATGATATGTTCCAAGACCCCAGTGGATGCCCGAAACCCCACTGATGGTACCGAGCCCTATATATACTATGTTTTTTCCTGTGCATATATACCTGTGGTTAATTTATAAATCAAGCACAGTAAGATTAACAGCAGTAACTAATTATAAAGTAGAACAATTATAACAATATGCCAGTATTACTACTTTTGAGCTTTATGGCCATGATTAAGTTAAACAAGAGTTACTTCAACGTAAGCACTGCGATACTGCTACAGTCCATCTGATAACAGAGGGCTACTAAGTGACTAATGGTGGGTAGTGAGTGTACATTGCATGGACGTGTTGAACAAAGGGATGATTTACATCCCAGTCTAGACAGAGTGAGACAATGTTAGATTTCATCATGCTACTGAGAATGACATGCAATTTAAAACTTATGAGTTGTTTATTTCTGGAGTTTCCCATTTAATGTTTTCAGACCACAGTTGACTGCAGAGAACTACCTGAAACTGTGGATAAAGGCTTACTGAAATAGTATCCATTAAGGATGATAATAATAACTATCCATAGGGTTGTCGTGAGGATTTAGTTAGAATGACTATAAAGCCCTTAGCCAAGTGCCTGGTATATAATGAGAGGTTGAAAATGTTACCTGTTGTCTTTATTATTATAATAATAAGGATGATAATAATACCGATTGCAGATGATGGTAAGTAGTATTTATAGAGTTGTGAGAATTAAATTACTACAAAGCCTTTAGAATAGCACCTGGCACATAGAAATTGTTCAAAGTGGTACTTATTAGTATGTTATTTTTATTGTCGAACGCTTATGCACTGTTCCCCTCCCTCTCCCCATCCCAAAATAATGAGTGTGAAACACCTAGGTTAGTAGCAAGTGCACCACAGGCTTTTGTTAATGTTCTTACACATGCTCCTGTAAGCTTGTTTAGGGCAAAGGTAGTCTTGAAGTCATGAAATGTTTGTCTCAATGAAGCAAAGTAAGCACCCGATTTGAATAGCTCTAGTAGGAAACTAACATGGCAGGTTGGGAATGCTGGCATTACAGTAACAATAATCTCTGAAACTACTTGGAGGTGACCTTTGATATTTCATTGTCATGTTTTCCCTTTTTCCTTTGTTTCTTTGTTTAGTTTGCCTGTTGGTAAACTTTATATAAATGGGATCATGGTCTGTGTTTTTTTCGGTCAGGTTCTTTTTTTTTTTCTCTGGCCTAACATTTTCTTTTGAGATTTACCTGTGTTGTGGTATATAGCTATATCATCAGTTTTAATTGCCAAAATACTATTCTCTGGTATAATATAGATTATTTATACATTTTTACTATTGATGAACATTTGGATTGTTTTTAGTTTGGAGCTAAGGACATTTTTGAAGGTGTTTCCTTCAAGAGTTTCTCTAAGATATACACTTTGGATTAGAATAGCTGGATTATGAGCAGTATGCATATTCCACTTGTTTTTCTTTTTTGTTTTTTGAGATGGAGTCTCGCTCTGTCGCCCAGGCTAGAGTGCAGTGGTGCGATCTCGGCTCACTGCAAGCTCCGCCTCCCGGGTTCACGCCATTCTCCTGCCTCAGCCTCCCAAGTAGCTGGGACTACAGGCGCCTGCCACCACACCCGGCTATTTTTTTGTATTTTTTAGTAGAGACAGGGTTTCACTGTGTTAATCAGGATGGTCTCGATCTCCTGACCTCGTGATCTACCCGCCTCGGCCTCCCAAAGTGCTGGGATTACAGGCTTGAGCCACCGCGCCCAGCCTTTTTTTTTTTTTTTTGAGACGGAGTCTCGCTCTGTCGCCCAGGCTGGAGTGCAGTGGCGCGATCTCTGCCCACTGCAAGCTCACACCATTCTCCTGCCTCAGTCTCCCAAGTAGCAGGGACTGCAGGCGCCCACCACCATGCCCGGCTAATTTTTTGTATTTTTAGTAGAGACGGGGTGTTAGCCAGGATGATCTCGATCTCCTGACCTTGTGATCCGCCCACCTCGGCCTCCCAAAGTGCTGGGATTACAGGCGTGAGCCACCGTGCCCGGCCAGTAGCTTATCTTTTAACTTCCTTTTTAATATCTTTTTTGTCAATGACCTCACTTTAACAGAATTAAGAAAAATAAGAAAAATCTTTTGATGAATTTAAGTTTTAAACTTGTATTTACCAATCTTTTTCTTTAGAATTTTTTGTAAAAAAATTCTTCCATACTCTGAGGTCATAAAAATAGTTTCCCATGTTTTTTCCAAAACTTAAAACAAATTTCTTTTCATGTTAATCTGGAATTTATTAATCAATATGGAATTTATTTTCTTGTGTGAGGTGCAGATTCATTTTCATATTTTTTCTATAAAGATGACCAGTTTCCCGGAACCATCTATGGAAATACAGTCAGTACTTTGGATCCATGGGTTCCACATCCATAGATTCAACTAACCTCAGGTCAAAAACATTCAGGGGGGAAAAATTCCACAGAGTTCCCAAAATTACAACTTGAGCTTGCCATGTGCTGAATACTACATTGAATCTACGTGAATGAAGTGATGTGTGGGCATCGTTAGGTTAGGTATTATAAGTAATCTAGAGATGATTTAAAGTATAAGGGAAGATGTATGTAGGTTATATGTAAATACTGTGCCATTTTATATGAGAGATTTGGGCATCTGTGGATTTTGGCATTTGTGGGGAGTCCAGAAACCTAGGGGATTGTCCTAATGACATGCAGTACCAGCTAGGTTAAACATCAGGTTTCCATGTATGCATTATTCTTTTAGTGAGATCGCTTTCTTTTTTTTTTTTTTTTTTGAGACAGAGTCTCACTCTGTTGCCCACGCTGGAGTGCAGTGGCACGATCTCAGCTCACTGCAACCTCCGCCTCCTGGGTTCAAGCGATTCTCATGCCTCAATTCTCCCGAGTAGCTGGGACTACAGGCGTGTGCCACCATGCCTGGCTAATTTTTTGTATTTTTAGTAGAGACGGGATTTCACCGTGTTAACCAGGATGGTCTCTCTCTCCTGACCTTGTGATCCGCCCACCCTGGCCTCCCAAAGTGCTGGGATTACAGGCATGAGCCACTGCACCCAGTCAAGAAATCCTTCTTCACTTAGTCTATCCTAATGCCATATACCACTCTATTTTAATTACTGCAGTTTTAGAAAATGTCTTCGAGTTAGCCAGGCGCGGTGGCTTATGCCTATAATCCCAGCACTTTGGGAGGCTGAGGTGGGCGGATCACTTGAGGTAAGGAGTTATACCCCAGCCTGGCCAACACGGTGAAACGCCATCATTACCAAAAAATAAAAATTAGCTGGGCATGGTAGCGGGCACCTTTAGTCCCAGGGAATGGAGGCAGAAGTTGCAGTGATCCAAGATTGTACCACTGCACTCCAGCCTGGTTGACAGAGTGAGACTCTGTTTCAAAAAAAAAAAAAAAAAAGAAAGAAAGAAAATGGCTTAGAATCTAATAGGGTAATCTCCCTGCTTAGTTCTTCTCTAGGAATGTCTAGGCTGTTTTTAAACCCTTTGGTCCTCCGTATATATTTTAAAATCAACTTGCCTGATTTCATGAAAAATCAGACTAAATTTACATTGAACCTGTAGGTAATTTGGGGGAGGATTGCCATTCTTAAAATATTAAGCCATTCTATCCATAATACAGTGGGCCTCTCCTTTTATTTAGGTCGTCTACAATATCCTTTGATGGTATTGTATTTTATAATGTTCTTCATAAAAGTATTGTACTTTATTTGATAAGTTTATTATTCAGTACCTTCTTTTCATTGGTAATGTAAATATGTGTATTGTTTTTATTTATTTAAGTTATTCATTTATTCTTTTGGGATGGAGTCTCACTGTGTTGCCCAGGGTAGAGTGCAGTGGTGCGATCTCAGCTCACTGCAACCTCCGCCTCCCGGATTCAGGAGATTCTCCTGCCTCAGCCTCCCGAGTCGCTGGGATTGCAAGTGTGAGCCACCAAGCCTGGCTAATTTTTGTATTTTTAGTAGAGACAGGGTTTTGCCATGTTTTCCAGGCTGGTCTCAAACTACTGAACTCAGGTGATGCACTCGCCTCAGCCTCCCAAAGCGTTGGGATTATAGGCACAAGCCACCATGCCCAGCCAGATATGTGTATTGTTTTTAAATGTTCTTTTAGTTGCTGGTGTATATAATTGTAAATGACTTTTGTATATCTATATCCCGCAGCTTTCCTAATGTTTTGTGGTTTTGCCTAGGCTAGGACTTCTAATAGTAGTAAGCAACCTTATTTTAAAACAGTTGTTGTTGCCAGGCGTGGTGGCTCACGCCTGTAATCCCAGCACTTTGGGAGGCCAAGGCGGGTGGATCACTAGGTCAGGAGATCGAGACCATCCTGGCTAACATGGTGAAACCCCGTCTCTACTAAAAATACAAAAAATTAGCCGGGCGTGGTGGCGGGCGCCTGTAGTCCCAGCTACTCGGGAGGCTGAGGCAGGAGAATGGAGTGAACCCAGGAGGCGGAGCTTGCAGTGAGCGGAGATCATGCCATGCACTCCAGCCTGGGTGACAGAGCGAGACAACGTCTCAAAAAAAAAAAAAAAAAAAAAGTTGTTTTTAAGTGGGGACAGTTTGTTCCCTAGGGGACATTTGGCAATGTCTGGAGACTTTTTGGTCATCACAGTTGGGGAAGTGGAGGTGATACTGCTGGCCTCAAATAGAAAGAGGCCAGGGTGTTGCTAAACATCCTGCAATTATAGGACAGCTACTACAACAAAGAATTTATTCAGCCCCAAATGTCAGCTGTGCCAAGGTTGAGAAACTGTATTTTAAAGGGAATGCCTTAAACAATATTTTATTATTATGCAGAATTCCAAACACAAAAATAAATTGGTAAACAGAATTCCCAATACCAACAGTTAACTATTGTAGGCCAGTATTTAACTCCTTTCCTTCCCCCAACTTCTGCTGAATTATTTTAAAACAAATACAAGATATCACATCATTCCATCTGTAAATACTTCTCTGTGTGTCACTAAAGTAGAGGTTCCCAAATTATGGTTTCAGAATACCCAAAAAATCCTTCAGACCCTCCCAGAAGATCTCCAAGGCTAAAACTATTTTCACAATGGTACTAAGATGTTATTTGAATTTTCATTCTGTTGACATTTGTGCTGATAGTGCAAAAGAGTTGAAAATTGTGGATGCCTTAGCACAAATCAAGGCTCTGGCACCAAACTGTACTTAGTGGTCATTGTACTTTTAGTACTGTCAAATTCTCTTCTGCTTAAAAAAAAAACCAACTAGATTTAAGTAAGAATGTGATTCATGAAGCAGTACAGTTTTTTTTAGTCTTCTACCTAATGGTTTTAGTGATCATTGATGAATCATTGCCCAGACCTACTATTTTATTAAGTCTGGCCAAATGGTGGTAGTCTAATTTAAAATTTCCTTCTGTATTCATTAATGATATTTTTCTATAAAGAAGACTGTGCTTATACCAACTGTTTAGTTACTCCTAAATATCCTTTGTGTAGGAAATGGAGGAAAATGATTTATTTATTTTTTCCCAGAACAGAGTTCACTCTAAAGGGAATATGTTTAATGAATTTTGTTGTATTTATTTTAATGTACATTATTGGTATATGCTGTTAGTTTTCTTTCTCTTTGTTGATATCTTTTATCAAGTTAAAGAATTTCTCTTCTATTTCTAGTTCACTAAGAGTTTTCAAAGTTAATGGATATTGTATTCATTTTCCATTGCTGTGTAGTAAGTTACCCCAGAATTTAGTGGCTGAAAACAACAAACATAAAAGTTTCTGTGTGTCAGGAATATGGACACAGCATAGCTGGATCTTCTGCTTCAGAGTCCCTCACAAGGCTGCATCAGGGCTCGACTGGGGAAGGAATGATTTCCTAGTTCATGTGGTATTTGGCAAGATTCAGTTCCTTCTCTGTCTTAGGTGGAGGGCCTTAGTTTCTTGCTGTGTGTTTCTGTATATGGCTACTTAACATGGCAGCAGGCAAACAAGAAGAGCCAGAGAAAGTAAAGAAGATGGAAGTTACATCTTTTCCAGCCTTATCTCAGAAGTGACATCCTATCACTTTTGCCATATTCATGAGAATCAAATTCCTAGGCCCAGCTAAAATCAAGTAGACGGGATTACACGAAGGTAGGAATATCAGGAGTTGGGAACCATCAGGTGCTATTTTAGAAGCAGCCTTCCAGCCTGCCCTGTGGCCCCCAATGACTCATGTCTCTTGCATATGGCCCTCTTAATTTGCCCCTTCCTCCAGGTCTCCAAAAGTCTCATTCTGTTACAGCATCAGCTCAAAGTCCAGAATCTTGTCATCTAAATCAGGTCCAGTTGTGAGTGAGGCTTATGGGTGAAGTTTCTTTTTTTTCTTGAGACAGCATCTCACTCTGTTGCCTAGGCTGGAGTGCAGTGGCGCAGTCATGGCTCACTGCAGTCTCAACCTCCTGGGTTCAAGTGATCCTCCTGCCCCAGCCTCCTGAGTAGCTGGGATTACAGTTGTGTGCCACCACACCTGGCTAATTTTTTTATTTTTAGTGGAGATAGGGTTTCGCTATGTTGCCCAGGCTGGTTTCAAACTCCTGGGCTCAGCCCCCCAAAGTGCTAGGATTACAGGTGTGAGCCACTGCACCTGGCCAAAGTTTTTAAAATACAGTTCCTTGTGTACAGTTCCATTCAGTCTGTAGAAATGTGACATTAAAGATACAAGTTATCCTCCCTTCCCTATATCCAGTATACAAGGGTGGAACAGGCATGGGATAATAGACATTCCTGTTTAAAGGAGGGAAAATAGGAGGCACAGAAGTGTTACTAGTCCATATCAATTCTGAAATCCAGCCAGGATGTTAGAAGTTCCTTGATTCCACCTCTGAGTTATTCTTCCTTTTTCATGAAAGGTAGCATGTGTTAGCAGCTGTGTAGTTTTTTATTAGTCTGCTTCCTGCCAGTAGAATTTTGGGAGTCTAGTGACCTCTTTTCGTGTTATACTATTTCTGGGTTTTTTTGGTCCAGCCTGGCAGTGTTGCTGCTGATATAATTTTCTCAAAAACTTTGTCAGTCCTTTGTGAAACTCACTGGTGTTCATTCCATTGGGTAATAGTCACACCCACGAATCTAAGGTACACCCTTCTTTACTTTGTGATCTTTCTCAGATGGCTGAGGGACAATGTTCTTAAGTTTCCTAGAGCCCCTGTTGTTGAGTCGCGAGGACCTATTAGGCACACCCTTAATTTCTTTAAAGAGCCCTTTGTATGACAGAATTACTGGGAACCATTTTCCAAGTAGCCCACCACAAAGGTTGTATTTTGTCAAATTGAAGGAGTCATCTGACTTTCCTTAATCATAAGCTACAAATATAATAAGCTACATTAATAGATTTTCTAATATTTATTTAACTTTGAATTTCTGGAAAAAACCCAACTTGGTAATGATTTATCATCTGAGCTTTGTTTTTGGCTTTGGTATGCTAATTTTTGGCTTAGGATTTTTATATCTATTTCATGAGTGACACTGACCTGTAATTTTCCCTTTTCTTACTCTCTATGTCTGTTTTTTTTTAATATAGTTATGCTTCCCTTACAAATTACTTTTGATTGTCTTTTCCCTCAATTTTGGATCACATTTTCCTGATGCTCTCATTTGAGTAATTTTGGAGTTATATTTTGTGTTTCTAAGTCCTGTTAAAATCCTTGGAAGAATGCTGATTTTATTTTTGTTTTGGTAGACTGTCAGGCTGGTTAGGTTCTAAACCACAAGTTTTCTCACCTGTGAATAGTATTTCCAGTATCAGTTCAAAGACTGTGCTATGCTACTTTGGGTCTTTCCTATCCACAGACCATTTATTAGTTAGTTTGGAGCTTTGGCAACAGTTTATATTTTAATTTATTCTCAGAGCCTTTGCTGTGCTTCCCTGAATCTCTCTTATGTGTGAGCTAGAAGTTGTGCTGGTTCATGTGCAAAATTACGGGAAACCCTTTCTCTGGCTCATCTTTTCCTGGATTCCCCACATCTCTCTGGCTCACAGAGGCTCCTTTCATTGTTATTCTAGTCAGACGTTTGGATTTCTTTCAGAGCTTTAGCTGCCTGCGATGCGTTTCTGTATGGCTGGTGCCACCCTTAGGGTGAAGAGCTCAGAAAAAGTGTTAAAAATAATGAGAATGATTCTTACGCTCCTTAGACCACTGTGGTCTTTCCCAATTATTTTTGCCTGAAATGAGGGGTTTTGCCCAGAGTTTTTGCTGCTCACATTTGTGCATAGTGTGGACTTATGGTTCTAATTTTATTCTAAGGATCTTTATATTTCTCAGGGTTTTTTGTTTTGTTTTTTGAAAAAGTCTTAGTTTCTTAGCAGGTTATTTTTGGTTTATTTAATTCTGGGTTGGCAATAATTTTCTCTTAGTGTTTTGAAGATATTATTCCACCATCCACTAGTTGCAGTGGTTGCTGTTGAAAAACCTGCTGTCAATAATTGTCAGGCCTTTGTTATATGTCATTTCTCTGACCACTTTAAGCTCTTTATCTTTTGTGTATTTTGTTTTTATTACTGTATTTTGTGAGTAGGTGTGGATTCCTTTTTTTGTTTAGCTTGGTAAATGCTCTTCTTGTAAATATAATTTTAGTTTCTTTAGACAACATAGGGCTATTTAAATTGTTTCTTAAGTGAGCTTTGGTAGTTTGTCTTTCAAGGAATTTGTTCATTTCCTCTAAGTTGTTGAATTTATGGGCATAAAGTTGTTCATAATCCTTATTATCATTTTCAATCCATAGAATCTGTAGTGATCTGTAGAACCTTGCATTCCTGAAATCAGTAATTTTTACTTGGAACGTGTTGAGCTCTTTGGATCAGTGAGTTTTATAGTTTATATAAAATTTGGAAAATTGTGTACTTTTTTTTTCCAAATTTTTTTTCTCTTCTTTCTCCTTTCCTTCAGGACTCCAATTACACATATATGAGACTGTTGGAAATGTTTCCATAGTTCACTGATTTTTTTCAATTTTATTTTCAAAAATAGGCTTTGTTTTTTATAGCAGTTCTGGATTCATGGCAAACTTGAACAGAAAGTGTAGAGAGTTCCCATATATGACTTATCCACACACATGCACTGCCTCCCCCAATATCAGTATCCTACTGGTATATTTATTACAATCGATGAATTTATATTGACACATTATTATAACCCAAAGTCCATAGTTTACATTAACGTTCACTCTTGGCATTGTATATTCTGTGGGTTTTGACAAATGTATACTACCATATATCTACCATTTTAGTATCATACAGAATATTTTAACTGTCCTAAAAATCCTCCGTGTTCCCCCTATTTATCCTTTCCTTTTTCAGCCCCTTGGCAACCACTGATTTTTTATTCTAGCCATAGTTTTGCCTTTTCCAGAATGTCATGGAGTTGGAATCATACAGTATGTATTCTTTTCAGATTGGGCTCTTTCACTTAGTAATATGCTCTTTACTCCATGTCGTCTCATGTCTTGATAGTTTATTTCTTTTTAGCACTGCTGTCAATACAGCTTAAGTATCTCTTATCCGAAATGCTTGGACTAGAAGTGTTTCCAATTTTGGATTATTTTGGATTTTGAAATATTTGCATATACCTGATTAGATATCTTGAGAATGGGATATAAGTCTAAATATGAAATTCATTTATGTTTCATATTACACCTTATGCACATAGCCTCAAGGTGATTTTATACAATATTTTGAATAATTTTGTTAATGAAACAAAGTCTGTGTTAAGTATGTGTGGAATTTCCCACTTGTGGAGTCAATGTGAATGTCACAAAATTTCGTATTTTGGAGCATTTCAGATTTTTAGATTAGGGATGCTCAACGTGTACTTGAATGACTGTACTCCATAATAACTGTGGAATAATCTGTGGAATAACTGTTTTAATGCATTTGGTAATTCTAACATCTGTGTTATTTAAAAATGAGTATTTTTCTCATTACGAGTTGTGTTTCCCTGTTTATTTGCATGCCTGATAATATTTGGATGCCAGATGTTGTAAATTTTACTTTTTTGGTTGCTGGATATTTTTTGTTTGTTTTATTTTTGTTTGCTGGATATTTTTGTAGTTCTGCAAATATTCTTGAGCTTTGTTCTGGGATGCAGTTAACTTACTTGACCAGTTTGATCTTTGGGGTTTTTGCTTTTATGATTTGTTAGGTGAGTCTGAAGAAATACTTAGTCTGTGCCTGATTATTCCCTATTACTGAGTCAAGACCTGGCTGAGTACTCTACTAATATCCAATAAATTATGAGTTTGTCCACTCTGGGTGGTAAGAGCAAGCACTATTCCTTGTTCTATGTGAGTTCTGGGCACAGTTCCCTGTAAATTCGTTCTTTCCATTTAGCACATCTCCAGAATTCTCTCTGTATACAGCTCTCTCCTCTTTGATTCTCTGGCCTGAAAACTCCAACCAGGACTTTCAGCTCCATTTCTCAACTTAGAGTCTGCTGGGCTCTGCCTGGGACCCCCTTCTTATACCACAGTCTGGATATTTTCTCAAGGCAGTAAGCTGGGGCAATTATGGGGATCACTTTTTTCCCCATTTCTCGGGAAACAGTCTTCTTCATTGCCCCTAATATCCAGTGTTTTGAAAATTGTTGTGCAACGTATATTGTCTTTTTTTTTTTTTTTTTGGTTCTTTCGGGTTGGATTACTTTGAAGCCTTTCATTTATAGATATTTCAATATGGTCCTTTGAAAGATAAGCACTCTTTACTTTTTTCTGAAACCTTTTATATTATCTGAACTCATCACGTGTGGGCAGCACTGTGTTGCTGTGTTCATGAAACATTTATAAGTTATGTACTAGTTTGCTTTATTTCCCAGTATATCAGTTTTGTTCAGTAACAATCATTTGATAGATTAGTGCTCACCTTTAAATTTTTTAAAATTTTGGGCAGCTGATGGCTATGTGTGTTATCTCCTATTTCTTTATGTTATCCTGGATTCAGAGCCATAGAATACTACCTAGATTCTTTAGGAAAGTCTTTGTGTGCCTGACATTCTGTTTATTCTTTTCATATATTTAAAAAAATATATTTAATACATGTATTTTTCCATAAAATATATGTTGTCATATTGGGTTCAGATCTTGGCTTTACCACTTACTGACTGTGGGACCTTGAATCAGATACCTAACCTTTGTATGCCTCATTTTCTTCATGTGTAAAATGGTGATAGTAATGGCATTTACGTCATAGGGTTGTTAATAAGGTTTAAATGCATTAATAATATGTAAAGAGCTTAGGATAGTATCTGGCATCTAAGTGCTATAAATGTGTGTTAGCTCTTATTATTTTTACCACAACTACCACCACCACTGCATATATTACTGCTAGTGTCCATGCCAGGAGAACCATGTCTGTTCCCTAGGTGGCATATGGGTGTGTGTATGTAAAGATGAGGTGACTGTGTGGTCTTGTGCTGCTCTCTCTGAGCCCTCCTTGGCCTCTGGAGTAATAGTATTGCTGTCCACCTGGTCAATGTGTCCTGCTGATAAGTGCTGTTGCAGTCTGTGGTCAGCAAATGGTCCAGTGGTTCTCCTTGCTTCACTGGCCTCACCTTGGCTCATGCTGACTCTGAGGTTTGGGTGTCATATTCTTTAAGCCCTGGACCTGGGCAGTAAGACAAATAGCCCTTAGTTACTGAATCTCTTTGCCTCCCCTGGGGCAAAACCCTGTCCTTCAGTGATTTTGCTAGCAGAATCCCCACCTCCCTTCCTCTTCTTTCATTGGGCATACAGAAAATTTGGGATGCCTTTTATGCCTTGTGGGAGCCAGAGAACTCTGGATAACTAAATCCATGCCCTCCTTCCTCCTAACCCTTCTATGTTGATGATTCCGCCCCCACATTTTCATTAAGGGTCATCTTGTGTAGCAGTCTCCTCCCAGAACCCCAAATGGGAGATGGATCAAAGATGCCTGTTTTTTTAGCTTTTTCTTCCATCTGCCTAGCATGTCTTTTCCCTTTTGGAACTCTATCCTGGAGAGAGGAGATGAGAACAGACTTGTGTCACTGCTGCTTCCTTCCCACTGTTCTCTTCTCCTGTCATGAAGACACCAGAAGTCTAGGCCGGGTAGACTTTCCATTTCCTCTTCCACTTTCCTTTGGGCATGATGGCAGGTGTGATACTGGGAAGGGGGAATCTGCTTGCTGATAAGGAAATGTGTGTTGGGAGATATTTTAAAAAATATAATCCTTGGCTGGGTGCGGTGGCTCATGCCTGTAATCCCAGCACTTTGGGAGGCCGAGGTGGGCAGATCACCTGAGGTCAGGAGTTCAAGACCAGCCTGGCCAACATGGTGAAACCCCATCTCTGCTAAAAATACAAAAAAATTAGCCAGGTGTGGTGGCATGTGCCTGTAGTCCCAGCTACTGGGGAGGCTGAGGTACTAGAATCGCTTGAACCTGAGTGGTGGAGGTTGCAGTGAGCCCAGATCGTGCCACTGCACTCCAGCCTGGGTGACAGAGTGAGACTCCATCTCCATAAAAAAATAAAAAATAAAAAAATAAAAAAATAAAATAAAATATTATCCTTGTTAAACAGGTTAAAGGGAAAAAGAATATTTTAGGGTAAAGGTGGGGGTGCCAGTTTAGATGGGAATTAGGGAAGGTTTCTCTGAGGACATAACACTTGAACAATTTCAAGGCTGTTTTGTAGTATTGACAAAATTTAATACTAGGATCAAGATTGCTTGTGCACAAAGCCAAAAGATGGGCTCTCTTATGCCCTCTTCTTCCCATACTGCAGTTAGTACATTCTGTTTTCTGCAGTGGTAACTCTTTCTGGCCTAATTGCTCAGTTTCTCATACTAGTCTCTGTAACACATTTATTCTGCTTATCACTATAGAGTCCTAGTATGTAGAGGCTGACAAAAACCTGAGGCAATATTTCTTCAAGCAAGCTACCGGTTTCAGAACCATCTGGAACACTTAAAATTGCTCCTCTCGAACCCACTCCAGTGTCATAATTACTAACAGTTTCATTTGGAATCTGATACTGTTGAATTTATCATATTACTTGAGGACGAGCAGTTTGTTATTGTTATCTTTTTAGCCACACAGCATTGTAAATTCTAAGTAAATGCTTGATAAATTGATTTATTAGGAAGCTAGGAGAGAGGCATTTCAAGTGGTTTAAAAAGTTTTGCTATTTGGGGGTGACATCAGCAAAAGCGGCACAGTAAAGAAGTGTAAAATTTTACCCTTCCATAAGAGCGACAGAAGAACTGGCAACACCTGTCAGAATCAACTTTTTCAGAACTCTAGAAATTAACCAAAGACTTGAAAAAAAGTGTGAAGAGTGCTCATTCACAAAAAATGGCTGAATCTTAGTAAGAATAGTGAGCTTACCCAAGCCCCATTCCCTGTTCCATGTGTCAGCTGGGGCTGAAATAACAGCCTGTGTTTCTGTACTGGAGGGAGCAGAACAGACCTCATTGTAAGTATTTGTTTTGCCTTCTTAGGTGGATCCCTGGATGAATGACTTCAAAACCTTGTCTCTATTTCTCCTGACTCAGAACTGCCCTACTTCTGAGATCGGGGAGGACAGTAGTTATCAAGAAACATTTACAGACAAATAATTTAGTCATTGCTTCCTGAATCAAGAAATAACAATGGGGGCAAACAGTAGACTAACTAAAGAGCCTAGGAGCAGAGATTGGGAATGAGATGTCTATGAGAGCTTTGAAAAGCTTCACATATTCCCAAGAATGTAGAAGGCCACATGCTTGGCAAGGACTGTATGCATGCCCAGGGAAGACTTCTACCTCTCGCTGATCTTGAGGCTCTGTGAAAGCAGGAAGTGAAGCCTAAGGCAGAGTTAGAAGCTACCTGGCTAAGTAGTGAAGGTGTATCCCAAACCTACCCAGAGCCCTTCTGCAAAGACAGACAGGTTTTTTGGTTCCAAGCATTTAAGGCAGTCTGTTCAGTTGTTAGCTGGCCATTAAGCTAACAGAATAGAGACTCCAGTGACTGCACATAACAAGGAATACAGATTTTACAGAATTAGTTTTGATAAGTCTTGAAACAAACAACTACAACAATAAGCAGCAACAAAAAATTCTGGAGAGGGGAGAGAATCTGATTCCCAGAGTTGCCACATTATAAGATTTAAAATGTCTAGTGTTTAACAAAAAAGTGTAAGATATGAAACACAACAAGAAAAAAAGCCATGAATAGAAATTGTCCCTGAGGAAGCCCAGACGTTAGAATTTCTAGACAAACACTTTATATTAGCTATTTAAAATAATTCTTCAAGAGCTAAAGAAAACCATATCTTAAACAAAACAAAACAAAACAAAAAACCCAAAAACCTAACTGAAAGTTTGAGAACAGTGTCTCACCAATTGAGAATATCAACAAAAAGATAGAAATTATGAACTAAACCAGATAGACAAGCATGGTAACTGAAATGAAAAATTTGCTTCTAGGGCCCATCAGGAGATTTGAACAGGAAGAAGAAAGAAATTTGAAGGTAGTTCTATTGACTTTATCTAATTTGAAGAACAGAAAAGGAAAAAAGTAATTAGGAAATATAAATAGAGCCTAAAGAGACCTGTGGGATACCATCAAGTGTACCAACATACACATGACAGGAATCTCAGAAGGAGAGGAGAGATGGTGGGGCAGAAGGATATTTGAAGAAATAATGGGCCAGGTGCAGTGGCTCATGCCTGTAATCCCAGAACTTTGGGAGACCAAAACAGGCAGGTCTCTTGAGCCCAAGAGTTTGAGACCAGCCTGCGCAACAGCGTGAAACCCTGTCTCTACAAAAAATACAAAAATTAACCATACGTGATGACATGTGCCTGTAGTCCCAGCTACTCAGGAGGCTGAGGTTGGAGGATCACTTAAGCCCAGGAGGCCATGGCTGCAGTGAGCTGTGATTGCACTACTGCACTGCAGACTGGACGACAGTGTGGAACCCTGTCTCAAAAAAAAAAAAAAGAAAAAAGAAAAAAAGGGAAAGGGAAGTGAAATAGTGGCTAAAACCCCAAATTTGATGGAAAAGCATGCATTTATGCATACAAGAAGCTCAGTAAACTCCAAGCAGGATAAAACCAGAGATTCACAGCTAGACACATCATAATCAAACTGTTGAAAGCCAAAGATAGAATCTTTAAAGCGGCAAGAGAAAAGCAGCTCATCATGTACAGGGTAACCTCAGTAAGATGAACAGCAGACTTCTCACCAGTAACTATGGTGCCCAGAAGGCAATGGGTTGATGTACTCACATCCCTGAAAGGAAAAAGCCCAGCAAAAACTACCATATCTGGCAAAACTCCCCTTGAGAAATGAAAGAGAAAGAAGATATTCCTCATAAACCAAAACTGTGAGAATTGTAGCTAGCAGACCTGCCTACAACAAATGCTAAGGGGAATTCTTCCAGCTGAAATCAAGATGCACTAGATGGTAACTCAAATCTGCATGAAAGAATAAAGAACATGGGTCAAGTTAACTACATCGGTTAACTTAGCACTGGCCCAAGCTGGTTCCCAGAAAAAGGAGACCGTCCAATAATCAACTGCCAGAGGACAGGAAGGATGAAACCATATTTTTCTCTCCTCTTCACTTTCAGGAGCCCTGCACATTTCCCATATTTCAGTATATAATTTTTGAGTAAATTAGCAAGGTGAGATCTTTTCACCAGTCTAATTCTACTAAAAAAAAAAAAAAGTAGGCTTAGTATTATTAGTCCATAGGGAATGCAGTTTAAAACCACAGTGAGATACCCCTCTATATTCACCAGAATGGTTAATATTAAATGAATGGACATTACAGAGTAATGGCAAGGATAATGTTGGTAGGAGTTAAACTAGTATAACCATTTGGGGAAACTATATATTATGGCTACTTAGCAAAACATGCCTAGCTTATAACCCTACAAATCCACTCCTACATATATTCACAACATAAAGAAGTTATACACTTTAAAAATTACACTAAAAGACTTACAGAAGAATATTTATAGCAGCACTATTCATAGTAATAGCTGAAAGCTAGAAATGGATCCAAGTACCTATCAACAGGGGGATGTATAAATAAAATACATTATATTCATGCAATTAGATATTACTCAGCAATAAAAAGAAGCAAACCAGTGATACATACAACATGGTTGAAGCTCAGAAATATACTAAGTGTACACAGCCAGCTGCAAATAAGTATATACTGTAGGTTTCCATTTATATGAAGTTCAAAAGTAGCTAAAACCAATCTTTTGTGATAGTAGTTAGAATAGTGGTTATTCTAGGGGGCTGACTGGGAGGCAACACAAAAGAGACTGTTGAGGGGCTAGAAATGATCACTGTCCTATCTAGGTGGTGGTTACATGGCTGTATATATAAAATTTTGAGTTACACACTTCAGACAGTGTTGCTGTTAAGATCTGTGTATACTCCATATTATGAAAGATAATTTTTAGGATCTTAAAAAAAATCTTGATTGCTCTGTCAGTGTTATTGAAATCAAGGATGTATAATATTATCAAGTTCAATCATCCTAAAAGGAAATTCAATTATAGTTTCATTTTTGTAACTGTTAAAAGCATTAAGATATAAACATGTTAAACAATTCTCCTTTGAGACATAAACATAAAAACAGGTCTACTGATGAGTCTGTTGATTACCCTATTGCATTTTAGCCAATGTTTAAATATTTGGTCATGTATGTTATTCTTGAAGTGCAGAATGTGCTTAGGGTAATTATTAGCAACATTTAACCAAATTGGTTCTGTTATTTCACGCTGGAGGACCAGAGCAGGATGAGTCAGTAAGGGGACTTTTGAGAAATGAAATGTCAGTGTTTTTGCAACCATTTGTAGGCCATAAAAAAAAAAAATCAGATTTGTTCTTACAAAGAATGCAGGACTGGCCAAACACCAAGATGTTGCTACACAGAGAGAATAAAACAACCAGAGACAAAACCACAGCAGAACTGCTTTCATCCCCAAATTGCAGAATAAGTACTGAGATATGACCGAGAAACAGGGGAGAGAAAGGGTAAACAGTGGAGGAAAGAGATTTTTTTGACCTTATGCTAACTATTAATCTGAAGCTAGAAATGCTGATTTTATCTGAAAAATTAGAGCTTTCCACAGTTATTCATTTATTCAACAAATATTTGTTAAACTTCCATTATGTACCTAGAATCATCCTGGGCGCATAAGATGGAGCAGCAGACAAAACAAAAATTCCTGCCCTTATGGAACATATATTGGGGGAGGGGGTGTGGCAGAAATGCATACACATATTGTACATGTAGCAATGAGGTTAGATTAGATGGCTACTTTTTCTCTTTCTTTCCTTCTTTCCTTCCTTTCCTTCCTTTCCTTCCTTCCTTTCGTCCTTTTTTTTTGACAGGGTTTCCATCTATCACCCAGGCTGGAGTGCAGTGGTACAGTCTTGGCTCACTGCAACCTCCTCCTCTCGGGCTGAAGTGATTCTCCTACCTCAGCCTCCCAAGTAGCTGGGATTACAGGCATGTGCCACCACGCCCAGCTAATTTTTATATTTTTAGTAGAGATGAGGTTTTGCCATGTTGCCCAGGCTGGTCTTGAACTCCTGACCTCAAGTGATCCACCCACCTCAGCCTCTCAAAGTGCTGGGATTACAGGTGTGAGCCACTGCACCCGGCCAAGGTGGCTACTTTTTAAAATATGCCATAGTTTAGCCTTCAACTATATATGCCTTATGGAACCTCCAGTTTAATGCTGCTGTTGATACCCCTCTTAGATTTTCTAATGAGACCTTCCTCAGCACTTTAATAATGAAATCTACTATATGACTCAAGGTTGATGTGTCTTACTCAGTGGCAAAGAACAGAATAAGAAATAGATCCAAACATATCGGAATTTAAGACAGTGGAATGATATCTTACAGAAAGGAGTCAGGGTATTGGGTCCTAAAATCAACACAGATCAAAGCTGAAATTAATAAAATAGAGAAAAATAGAATAGGATAAATAAAAACCAAAATCAATTCTTTGGGATGGTCAGTAGAAATGTAAACCCTTTGCAATATTGATGAAAATAAAAGTGAATATGTATCATAAAGGATGAGGAAAGAGAAATAATCACAACTGTAAACGATTTTTTTTTTTTTGAGACAGAATCTTACTCTGTTGCCCAGGCTGGAGTGCCTGGCTCACTGCAACCTCTGCCTCTCAGGTTCAATTGATTCTCCTGCCTTAGCCTCCTGAGTAGCTGGGATTACAGGCACGCGCCACCACGCCTAGCTAATTTTTGTATTTTTAGTAGAGACAGGATTTCACCATGTTGGCCAGGCTGAACTCCTGACTTCAGGTGATCCGCCTGCCTTGGCCTCCCAAAGTGCTGAGGTTACAGGGCGTGAGCCACCACGCCCGGCCTATAAAAGACATTTTTAAAAAATGATAGGAGAATACAAGAAAGTACATTTGTAATACATTTGAAAGTCTAGAAACAGTGGCTGATTTTTGAAGATAGATGGAGAGCTTCAGTAGGTTGATTAGCACCAAAGAGATTAAACGGTGATTAAGAGATATCATTTAAAAAGGAAGAGATGATACACAACTGAATTATTTCTAATCAGTGGAGAACAGATGAGTCCGATGCTATTTAAGCTATTTTAGTAGATGGAAAACTCCCCATTCATTTTCCAAAGCTATGATTTAATGTCAGAACCCAATAGAAATTACATAAAAGAAAACTTTAGATTAGTTTTCTTATGCATGCAGATGCTAAAACCATAAATAAAATACCAGTAAATAGAATTCAGCAGTGTAGCAAAAACTGATCAGCTATTATGACCAAATAGTTTTTATTTCAGCAACAAAAGAATAGTTCACTACTAGAAAAATCTGTCAACAGAATGTACTACATCAATAAATTAAAGGAGAAAACCATATGATCATATCATTCAGTGCTGAAAAGGCTCTGGGTACAATTCAGTTGTCATTCATAATAAAAGCTCTTAAGAAGGAACAGGAAAAACACTACCTAGATATAGTAAAGACTGCACTCAACATGTTTTTACTAAGCATCCATTATATGCCCAGTAATATTCCAGCAGTTAACAGACAAAACATTTAGAGCCATCTCATTTTTTAAAAAAGAAGGAGTTGAATGTTTAGTTTGTCAGATGGTAATAAGCGCTTTGAAATAAGAAATAAAGCAGGGAATAGGAGGTTGCCAAGAGCTGGGATGTAGGAATTGTCAGGGAAGGACTCATTGGTAAGGTGATATTTGAGTAGAGAACTGTAGGAGAGCAAGTCAACAAAGCAGGCAAAAATTCCAGCCATCATGTATCCTACGGTCTCATGGTGGGGGAGGGGGCAATACAAAAAACATGATAAAAACATATAGCATATTAGAAGGTTATAGTGGAAAAAAGGAAAAACAGAGGAAAGTAAAGGGGACCAGGGCCCAGAGGATTTTGAAGGTCAGATTATAAAGTTAGTAGTCTCATTGAGAAGGTGATATCTGAGCAAAGTCTCAAAGGAGGTGAGGGAGTTAGCCAAGTAGATATTACAGGAAGGAGTGCTCCAGGCAGAGAGAAGAGTCACAGTAAAGTAGCTATCAAGAGACCACGCCTGGCCTAGTCAAGGACCTACAAAGATGTCAATAGGACTGGAGTAGAGTGAACAAGGGAGTGTGTGAAGGTCAGGTTATTTTATGTGGGACCTTGTAGACCACTGGAAGGACTATTTTAAAAATTACCTTAATGAATTTTTATAAGGCAAACACTCTTATAACTATTACCCATGTTAAGAAATAGAACCATATCAGTCAGTCCAGAAGCTTTTTCATGTACCCTATCCCAAACTAAGTCCCCTCCTCTTCTCCCAAACTATCCACTATTTTGGCACCTTTAGAAATCACTTACTCTGCTTCTTTATACTTTTATTACCCAAATGTGCATTTAGACATTGTAGCTTATTCTTACTCATTAAAAATAATTTGACAAGTCTTCTCTTTTAATCGACAGATTTCCAAGTGATCCATTCCTTTCTTTACCATACACTATTTTTTGAAGAACCCAAGCTATTTAGCCTGTAAAGTTATTCACAATCTGAATTTTGCTGATTGGAAAATTGTGCAGTTTTGCAATCGAACTGCTGATTATCCAGCATGTTCTTCTGAATTCTCTACTTCCTGTAAATTGATCGCTGAGCCCAGAGGCTTAATCACACTCAAGGTCTTATTTGGTGAGGCTATATACATTATGTGTGGTTGTCATTTTTCTTGTGATTTTAGCAGCCATTGATCCTCAGTGCCTAGATTCATCAATTTGTTGACTATTGTAAAGTGCTGATATTCTAATTCTGATCTCTTTTCTACATCTTACTTGGAACAATTTTATGAAGAGACATATCCTTGCCTCTATATTTTTTGGTTGCCCAGGGTTACAGCTTTTCATATACAAAAAGCATAATAAATACTTGATTCTTTTGCTTTTTTGGGGCCAGTTTTCAAGATAATGGTTTGGTTCCTTTTCATCTTCCCAAGAGACCAATTTTATATGTTTCTATCTGTTGCAATTAGCATTTTTATTGAGTTCAAATTGTTCCTTCTCTGGCCACTAGATGCTTCTACACATTGCCTCCTGAGTACTTTTGCTGTGACCTCAGTTGTGTCTGATAGCTTCCTTGCTACCTGGTATGATAACATCTGGTGTGACAAGATAGTACATGCTCAGCTGAGCTTAGTGATCAGCTGGGACTACAGGTGCCCGCCGCCACGCCCGGCTAATTTTTGTATTTTTAGTAGAGACGGGGTTTCACCCTGTTAGCCAGGATCATCTTGATCTCCTGATCTCGTGATCTGCCCGCCTCAGCTTCCCAGAGTGCTGGGATTACAGGCGTGAGCCACCGTGCCTGGCTTGTTTATTTTATATCAGTGCAAGTTGGTACCCTTTGACCTACATCTCCCCATTTCCTCCCATTTCTGCCCCTGGTAACCACCATCCTACTCTGCTTTGATGTGTTTTACTTTTTTAGATTCTGCATATAAGTGAGATCATACAGTATTTGTCTTTCTGTGTCTAATTTATTTCACTTAGCATAATGTCCTCCAGGTTTATCCATGTTGTTACAAATGGCAGTGTCTCCTTTTTAAAGGCTGCATAATATTTCATTGTGAGTATATATTAATCCATATATATGTATATATCCATATCCATATCGTATATGTATCACCATTTCTTTAGCCATTCATCCCTACATTTTAGGATTTTTTTTTTTCATTTTAGGACATTTTCAAAGGATTGTAAAAATTCTAAAAAGAGAATACGCAACAGATTATTCTTTGGATTATAGAGCCTAAACTATTTGCTGTCTAGTCTTTTACAGAAAAAATTTGCTGACATACACTCTAGTAGATTCTTCAGAAAGTGTCTGTGGGAACAATATTCTCTGAGTTTGTAACTTTGATAACAGCTGCTCTGTGCCTTTTATACTTTTACAAGTCATTTTTCCTGGATGTAAGATTCTTGGCTTATTTTTCTTCCATATGTATATTAAATAGATTGTTCAATTTCTTCTGGGGGAAAAAAGTATTGATATTCTACAAGAAAAGAAAATTAGAAGCCAGTATTTCTGGTGAATATAGATGCAAAAATCCTCAACAAAATATTAGGAAACAAAATTCATCAGCACATTTATAAGGATCATTCACCATAATCAAATGGGACTTATATTTGGGATACAAAGGTGATTCAAAATAATGCAAATTAATAAATGCGATATACCACATTTACAGAATGAAGGACAAAAATCGTATGATCACCTCAATAGATGCAGAAAAGGCATTTGACAAAATTCAGCATCTTTTCATGATAAAAACTCTCAACCAAATTAGATACAGAAGGAAGGTATGTCAACACAATAAAGACTATCATAAGCCCACAGCTGACATCATCCTCAGTGGTGAAAAGTTGAAAGCTTTTCCTGCAAGATCAGGAACAAGACAGAATACCCACTCTCACCCCAATTCTTTTTTTTTTTTTTTTTCTGAGACATGGTTTCACTCTGTTGCCCAGGTTGGAAGGCAGTAGTGCAATCACAGCTCACTGCACCTCCTCCTCCGGGCTCAAGCAATCCTTCCACCTCAGCCTCCCAAGTAGCTGGGACTACAGGCACATACCCTCATGCCTGGCTAATTTTTGTATATTTTATAGAGTTGGGGTTTTGCCATGTTGCCCAGGCTAGTCTTAAACTCCTAGGCTCAAGCAGTCCACTCACCTTGCCCTCCTAAAGTGCTGGGATTACGGGTGTGAGCCACTGTGCTTGGCCTTACTCTCACCACTTCTGTTCAGTACAGTACTGGAGTCCTAGCCAGAGCAATTAAGCAAGAGACAGAAATAAAAGGCATCCACATCAGAAAGGAAGAAACTAAATTGTCTCTGTTTGCTGATGACATGATCTTACATATAGAAAGTCCTAAAGACTCCACCAAAAATTGTTAGAACTAGTTAATGAATTCAGTAAAATTTCAAGATACAAAGTCAACATTCAAAAATCAGTAGTGTTTCTATACACTAACAATGAACTGTCCAAAAAAGAAATGATGAAAACAATCTCATTCACAATAGCTACCAAAAAAAAGACTTATGAATAAATTTAAAATTTAATCAAGGAGGTGAAAGACTTGTACACTAAGAACTATAAAACACTGATGAAAGAAACTGAACACACTAATAAATGGAAACATATCCTGTATTCGTGGATTGGAATATTGTTTAAATGGCCACACTACCTAAAATGATCTATAGATTTCAATACAATCCCTATCAAAATTTCAATGACATTTTCACAGAAATAGAAAAAGCACTTGTAAAATTTATGTAGAACTACAAAAAGCCCCAAATAGTCAAAGCAATCTTGATAGAAAAGAACAAAGCTGGATGCATCACAGTATTTGACTTCAAAATATACTGTAAAGCTATAGTAATCAGAATAGCATGGTACTGGCATAAAAACAGACATATAAACGAATGGAACTGAATAGAGCGCCCCCAGAAATAAACCCACATATTTATGGTCAGTTGATCTTAAGGGTGCCAAGAATACACAATAGGGAAAAGACAGTCTCTTAAATAATGTTGGGAAAACTGGATATCCACATGAGAAGAATGAAGTTAGACTCTTACCTCACATCATATACAACAACCAACTCAAAATGGATCAAAGTTTTATCTTGGAAAAAAAAAAATTTTTTTTTTCTTTTGAGACAGGGTCTCACTCTGTCACCCAGGCTGGAGTGCAGTGGTGTGATCTTGGCTCACTGCAACCTCCGCCTTCTGGGTTCAAGCGATTCTCTCACCTGAGCCTTCCTAGTAGCTGGGACTGCAGGCATGTGCCACCATGCCCAACTAATTTTTGTTGTTGTTTTCTTTTTTCTTTCTTTTCTTTTTTTTTTCTTTGGTAGAGACGGGGTTTCACCATGTTGGCCAGGCTGGTCTTGAACTCCTGACCTTAAGAGACCCACCTTCCAGCTGGGCACGGTGGCTGACGCCTGTAATCCCAGCACTTTGGGAGGCCGAGGTGGGTGGATCACAAGGTCAGGAGATCGAGACCATCCTGGCTAACACGGTGAAACCCCATTTCTACTAAAAATACAAAAAATTAGTCAGGTGTGGTGGTGGGTGCCTGTAATCCCAGCTACTCAGGCTGAGGCAGGAGAATGGCGTGAACCCGGGAGGTGGAGCTTGAAGTGAGCGTTGAGATCGCGTCACTGCACTCCAGCCTGGGCGACAGAGTGAGACTCCGTCTGAAAAAAAAAAAAAGATCCACTCGGCCTCTCAAAGTGCTGGGATTACAGGCATGAGCCACCTGTACCTGGCCTCAAAATGGATTAAAGGTTTAAATGTAAAACCTGAAACTGTATAACTATCAGAAGAAGACATAAGGGAAAAGCTCTGTGACATTGGTCTGGGCAATGAATTTTTGGATTTGACCTCAAAAGCACTGGCAACAAAAACAAAAATGGTCATATGGGATTATGTCAAACAAAAAAGCTCTGCACAGTAAAGGAAACTATCAACAGAGTGAAGAGACAACCTATAGAATGGGTTGATATATTTGCAAACCATATATCTGATATGGAGTTAATATCCAAAATATATAAGGAACTCAATTCGGCAAGAAAACAAATCTAAAAAAATGGGCAAAGAACCTGATAGACATTTATCAAAAGAAGACATACAAATGGCCAACAGTTATATGAAAAAAATGCTTAGCATCGCTAATCATCAGAGAAATGCAAATTAAAACTACAGTGTACCTCATACCTGTTAGAATGGCTATTATAAAAAAGATAGGCCAGGTGCAGTGGCTCACACCTGTAATCCCTGCACTTTGGGAGGCCGAGGTGGGTGGATCACGAGGTCAGGAGGTCGAGACCATGCTGGCTAACACGGTGAAACCCCATCTCTACTAAAAATACAAAAAATTAGCCAGGTGTGGTGGCGGGTGCCTGTAGTCCCAGCTACTTGGGAGGCTGAGGCAGGAGAATGGCGTGAACCCGGGAGGCAGAGCTTGCAGTAAGCCAAGATTGAGCCACTGCACTCCAGCCTGGGTGACAGAGCGAGACTCCGTCTCAAAGAAAAAATAAAAAAAAATAAAAAAAGATAACAAGTGTTGGCAAAGATGTGGAGAAAAGGGAGACCTATACACTGTTGGTGAGACTGTAACTTGGTACAGCCGTTATGGAAAACAACATGGAGGTTCCTCAAAAAATTGAAAATAGAGCTACCATATGATCCAGCAATCCCACTACCAGGTATGTACCCAAAGGAATTGAAATCAGAATGTGGTAGATATACCTGCACTCACATGTTCATTACAGCACTATTCACAATAGCCAAGATATCAACCCAAGCATCCATTCACAGATGAATGGATAAAAAGAAAATGCGGCATACATACACAATGGAATACTATTTAGCCTTTAAAAGGAGGAAATCTTGTCATTTGCAACATCGTTAATAAACCTGTAGAACATTATTGTAAATGAAATAAGCCAGGCATGGAAAGACAAATACTTGGGATCTTATTTCTATGTAGAACCTAAAAAAGTCAAATTCATAGAAGCAAGAGTAGAATGGTGGTTACCAGGGCCTGGAGGTTAGAGGAGTGGGGATTAGAGATGTTGGATTAAAGGATATAAAATTTCATTTAGACAGGAAAAATAAGTTCAAGAGATGTATACTGTGGTGACTATAGTTAATAACAGTGTATTCTATACTTGAAAATTGCTGAGACTAGATTTTAAATGTTCTCATGACAAAAAAGTGATTATGTGAGGTAATGCACATGTTAATTAGCTTGATTGAGCCATTTCACCATGTATACATATTTTAAAACATGTTATATATTCAGTTTTCATCAGTTTAAAAAACTTAATTTAAAAAAAAAAAGTTTTGATGTTGAAAAGTCTGATCTAATTTTCTTCTCCTATAGGTAATTTGGATACCTATACTTTGCCTAGATACTCAAATATTTTTTCTTTAAAGTGCAATAATTTTAATATGTTTTGTTGGTCATCATATAGCAGATATTCTCAGATATACCATGTGTTCTGTCAATATATAGATTAAAAAAACTTTTTAAAAATAATGTTTTCTTAAATTTTGGTTTTTAGTATTTGCTGTGTTCCCTTTGATTCTCTTCTTCAAAGACTCCTATTTTTCATTAAAGACTTTTTTTGCCTGTTAATATTTTTCACTTTCTTTTGAATTGTTTTATTTCTTCTTAAATTTTAAAAACATTTCATATATATATATATATGTATTTTTTTGAGGCAGAGCCTCACTTTGTCTCCCAGGCTGGAGTGCAGTGGTGTGATCTCGGCTCATTGCAACCTCTGCCTCCTGGGTTCAAGTGATTCTCCTGCGTCAGCCTCTCAAGTAGCTGCGAGTACAGGCATGTGCCATCATGCCTGGCTAATATCTTCTATTTTCAATTAGTTTAAATTGGAAAGCTTTTAAATCTTTGAAGGCATTCTATTTCACTTATAATTTCTTTTAAGATTCTCTTGTATTTATTAACTCTTGTCTTCCTTCTAGTTTAGTTTATTTTTGTAATGATTTTTCCTTCCATTTCTAAATTCCTGAGCTCTATCACCTTATTTCTAATATGATTTATGTATCATTTTCTCAGTGTCTTTTAGCTTGTTTTAAAATAGTAAGTTACAATTTTAATGTTTTGTGGGCATGTCTTTTTTTCTCTATAGGAATGTTCTTCTTCTTCTCTGTTTTCTTTTAACAACTCTTTATGGTATTTGACCAAATACTTTTTTGTCACTCATTTTTACTGAAAAACAGTTTTCTCAAGCTTTTGGGAGGAGGAATAGTTCAAGCTGTCTTTATTAATTTCATAGCTCTCCATCTCCTGTTTTTTGGTTTTGTTCTGGTAAAGCGTTAAATAATATGGTGGCTTGCTTTCTGAGACTTCCTGACTCCATAGCCTCCCCTCGCTTGTATCGGGGCCTTCTCTTTCCTTTGTCTCTGTCACCATTGTAATTAGCCCAATTCTGATTCTCCTCCCAGAAGTTTCTAATTGCGATGTCCTGTCCTGGAAAGGAGCTTTGGCTGGTTGGTTTCAAGTTCATGTTTCCCATCTTTCTCTGGCCCCTTTGAGAACCTACCAGTGGCCCTTATAGTCACTTTTTGGTTTGATGAAACCCTTCCCAATTTCAACTGGTGTTCTCAAATAGATCTGCTCTGATTTTTAGAGTTTGGTTTATGGCTGCTGTGGTGTTTCCCATTCTCAGTTTTCAGATGCGTTGTTGCTTCTTTTTCTTTCACCACATTAACATTCATTCCATGAGGGGATTGTGGTTACTGTTGGTTGTCTCCACGAACTTGTATTTTGGAGTTTGTGAGCTACTTTGTCATCTAGTTTTGTTGTCCATGGTGTTTTAGTTTTGTTATTGGATTACTTTGCATGTTTTTAGGGAATGATTTGGTGAGATGAAAACTATTCAGAATAGTTTTTTCTATTTGGATGATCTCATCAAATCATCCCCTAAATCTATACAAATCAGGAAATCTATTCAAATAGGAAAAACTATTCTGTGATTACTCAGATTCCCTCTCATTTCCAGTGCCTAGTCACTCTGAGTGACTAGGGAGTCATTGCAGGATTTTGAGCAATGGAGTGACATGACCTGACTGGTGTTTTAAAGGCTCTGTCTGGTGATAGACTGAGAATAGACCATAGAAATGTAGAGGAAGAAGTAGGGGGACCTATTAGAAGAATGTTGCAGAAATAGGCTGGGTGGATCACTTGAGGTCAGGAGTTTGAGACCAGCCTGGCCAACATGGCGAAACCCTGTCTCTACTAAAAATACAAAAATTAGCTGGGTGTGGTAGTGGGTGCCTGTAATCCCAGCTACTCAGGAGGCTGAGGCTGGAGAATTGCTTGAGCCCATGAGGTGGACGTTGCAGTGTGCTGAGATTGTGCCACTGCACTCCAGCCTGGGCAACAAGAATGTGACTCCATCTCAAAAAAAAAAAAAAAAAAAAAAAAAAAAATTGCAGAAATCCAGGTGAGAGATGTTTGCTTGGACTTGGGGAGCAGCAGTGGAGTTAATGAGAAGTGGCCAGATTTGCATATATTTTGAGGTATAGTTGATAAGATTTCCTGATGGATTTGATGTGAAGTATGAGAGAATGTAGTTGAAAAATAACTCTGGTTTTGTCCTGAGCAACTGTAAGAATGGAGTTGCTTTTAACTGAGATTAGAAGGCTGAGGCTGCCGTGCGGGTAAGGTAGACTTTAGGGGTGACATAAAGAGCTCAGTTTGGACTATGTTGAGCTTGAGATAGTTATTAGACTTCTGAGTGAAGATACTCTTCGTGATTCTGCGAGTCCCATGACAGCATGAGGTAAAAAAAGAAAGACATTGGGCCGGGCGCAGTGGCTCACGCCTGTAATCCCAGCACTTTGGGAGGTCGAGGTGGGCGGATCACGAGGTCAGGAGATTGAGACCATCCTAGCTAACACGGTGAAACCCCATTTCTACTAAATATACAAAAAAGTAGCTGGGCTTGGTGGCGGGCGCCTGTAGTCCCAGCTACTGGGAGGCTGAGGCAGGAGAATGGCGTGAACCTGGGAGGCGGAGCTTGCAGGGAGCCGAGATCGCACCACTGCACTCCAGCCCACTGCACTCCAGCCTGGGTGGCAGAACGAGATTCCGTCTCAAAAAAAAAAAAAGTTTATCATAGAAAATTGGAAAATATGGATAAGTTAGGTAAGAAAATAAAAATCATGCTGCATTGTAAACATTCTGATATGATTCTAAACATACATATAACATGCATTTAGAACACATCGCTTTTTTCTTTCCAACTTTTAGGTTCAGGGAGTACATGCACAGGTTTGCTACCGGTAAATTGTCTGTCACGGGGGTTTGGTGTACAGATTGTTTCATCACCCAGGTAATAAGCATAGTACTCTATGGGTAGTTTTTCGATCCTCACCTTCCTCCCACCCTCGACCCTTAAGTAGGCCCAAGCGTCTGTTGTTCCCCTTTGTATCTATGTGTGCTCAGTGCTTAGCTAGCACTTATAAGTGAGAACATGCAGTATTTGGTTTTCTGTTCATGTATTAATTCGCTTAGGATAATGGCCTCCAACTCCATCCATGTTGCTGCAAAGGACACTATTTCATTTTTTTATAGCTGTGTAGTATTCCATGGTGTATATCTACCACATTTTCATCATCCAGTCCACTGTTGTGGGCATTTAGGTTGGTTCCATGTCTTAGCTATTGTGAACAGTGTTGCGATGAACATACAGTTACATGTGTCTTTATAGTAGAACGATTTATATTCCTGTGGGTATATATCCAGTAAGGGGGTTACTGGGTCTAATGGTAGTTCTGAGTTCTTTGAGAAATCTTCGAACTGCTGTCCACAGTGGCTAAACTAATTTACATTCCCACCAGCAGATATAAGCATACTCTTTTCTTTGTTTTGTTTTGTTTTAAAACTAAAGCTTATTCTGGCCAATTTACTCTACTATTTTCTAATAACAGCTCATAGATCAGAAACGGTCTTTGTTTTAAACTTTCCTATCCATATGAAACACAATGATGTTGGGGTAAGAGGGGCCTTTTCTCTAAATGAAAATACAATACTTATTCTGTATAATTCTAGAGGGCCCAGAGATGTGGAAATAATGTATTTGTAAGAATTATATTAAACAATCTTTATTTGATAAATAGTACCTTACAATCCTAATGCTATCTATCAAGCTTCAGTAAGAGCAATTTCAGCATCAAGTAATGAACAGTAGCTAAACTGACAAGAGATCAATCAAAAGGGCTTTAAATGGAGCAGCACCAGCTGATGTGCTGCTAAGGCTCTGGGCATTCAGGACTCTCCTATGGGGAAAACGGAATCAAACCAGCAGGTGCTCTGGACCTAAGCCTTCACATCGTGACCTGCCTCCCTCCTGGGGGTGTGGTGGCCCACAGTCCCCCTGGCATTTCTCGGCCCTTGTGGGCTGCAGACGGAAATCCTGGCACCAAAGGACAGCTTGGGAAAGGCTGAAACTTGACCTCACAGTCAGCTGGCTTCTGCCTATTGTGGTCATTTTCTTTCCAGAGCACCTAGAGCACTCGCACAGTGGACGTGGAAGCCACCCAGCATTCTTGGGCTGTTTTCTCATAGAAGAGGACCTTCCTCTAAGCATTGGAAGCGTCTTTCTCCAATTCCTGGGCCAGATCTTGGGCCATCTTCTTGTAGGTCATGGGTCTGACACACATGGTTCAAGTTTTCGTGGCTATTGTGAATGGGATTGTGTTTTTGATTTAGCTCTCAGCTCGGATATTGTTGGTGTATGGAAATGCTATTTTTGTACAATGATTTTGTATCCTGAAACTTTACTGAAGTTGTTTATCAGATCTAGAAGCTTTTGGGCAGAGACTGTGGGGTTTTCTAGGTATAAAGTCATATCGTCTGCAAATATGGAAGATAGTTGACTTCCACTCTTCCTGGATGCCTTTATTTTTCTTACTACTCTATCTAGGACTTCCAGTACTGTGTTGAGTAGGAGTGGTGAGAGAGGGCATCCTGGTCTTATTCTGGTTCTCAATGGGAATACTTCCAGTATGGTATGCTTCCAGCAGCACATCAACTGGTGCTGCTCCCTTTAAAGCACTTTTGATTGATTTCTTGTTAGTTTAGCTATTGTTCATTACTTGATGCTGAAATTGCTCTTATTGAAGTTTGATAGATAGCATTAGAATTGTAAGGTACTATTTATCAAATAAAGATTGTTTAATATAATTCTTACAAATACATAATTTCCACATCTGTGGGCCCTCCAGAACATTTCAGCATGTTCTGGATGTTGGCTGTGGGTTTGTCATAGATATCACTTATTGTTTTGAGGTATGTTCCTTCGATGCCTAGCTTGTTGAGAGTTTTTAACATGAAGGGATGCTGAATTTTATTGAAAGCATTTTCTGTGTCTATCGAGATGATCATGTAGTTTTTGTCTTTAGTTCTGTTTATGTGATGAATCACATTTATTGGTTTGTGTATGTTGAACCCACCTTGCATCCCAGGGATAAAGCCTACTTGATTGTGGTGGATTAGCTTTTGATGTGCTTCTAGTCTCTGTTTCCTAGTATTTTTGTTGAGGATTTTTGCATCTGTGTTCATCAGGGATATTGGCCTGAAGTTTTCTTTTTTTGTTGTATCTCTGATAGGTTTTGGTGTCAGAATGATGCTGACCTCATAGAATAAGTTGGCAAGGAGTCCCTCTTCCTGAATTTTTGGGAATAGTTTCAGTAGGTTTGGTACAAGGTCTTCTTTATACATCTGATAGAGTTTGGTTATGAATCCCTCCTGTCTAGGGCTTTTTCTGGTTGGTAGGTTTTTTAGTACTAATTCAATTTAGGAACTCATTATTGGTCTGTAGAACACATTTTCACAAAGTTGAATTTCTATTGTATATACATTTTAAAATCTTCTTTCACAAGACATGACCTGAGCATTTTCTAATAGTGAAAGTCTTTGAAAACATGGTTTTTAATGGTATTTCATTACATGTTTTACTGTAATAAACCTAACCACTTGGATTATGTACTCTTTCACTCATTCCTTTTTGCATATCTGTTCCATCCCCTATGCTTTAATATGGAGGATTTGGTTTCTTGTAGTAGTTGCTGGGTATCATAATTCAGACCTGTGGTTTGGCAGTCAGCCTGGCTGTAGTGTTTAACTGAGTCTCGTGGAAGATCCATGCTTAAAATGAATGTCGTGGAGAATTGTATTCACCTCAGTCATTCAAGACTTTGGCATAGACCCCATTCCTTGAGGAGGAGTTGCCGCCACTGTGACTGCCACAGACGGAAGGAAGCCTGGGCAGTTGGGACTGGGGAGAACTTGCTGAGTCACAGATATCTTGTCTCAGTGTGCATGGGCCGTGTGTATTGAAATGTACCAGTCTGTGAGGCACTATGTTTTGAGGTCTCAGTAAGCTAAAGGGGTGTAGAATGGTATCTAGTTCATACCGTAGTATGCTTTAGATCTAAGTGTTGGTTAATTCTGTAAGGACTGAAGGAATAGGGGAGATTTAATGAGCTCCTTGCAGTCTGCAGGTTATTATCGAGAAAAGAAAATTAGGCTCTCAGTTCCAGGCCCATTTCCCTCTAATCACTGTGTCCTTTTGAACAAAAGTTGGCAAACTTTTTCTGTAAAGGGCCAGATATTTTTAGCTTTGCAGGCCATATGATTTCTGTTGTAAGCATTGAGCTCTTCTGTTATAGAGCAAAAGCAGCCATAGGCAGTACAGGAACAAATGGCCATGGTTATGTTCTAGTAAAACTTTATTTACATAACAGGCAGCAGGCCAGATTGGAGCAATAGTTGTCAACTCCTGCTTTGAAAATGTTTTGGAAACTGTGTCTCCGTCTGTTAGTGGTCATTATCCTCAGTCTCTTAGGATCAGAGTTTTTCTTAGATTACAAAACTGGATCATACAGACCTGACTTCCAGGTCTGCGTTCTCTCCACTACACTTTGCTGCCTCTTAGAAAAACATAAGCTAAATAACTAGAACCCATGGAAAGAGGGAAAAGTGAAGCCCAGAGAGCTGATGCGGGACTAAGAGGCAACTCTGAGAGTTTCAATGTGGAATGTTTGTGTGGCTCCCCAACCAGACCGTGACCTCCTTGAAGATTGGGACTGCATCGTATCTTGTTCTCATTTTCTATTTTATTTTAATGATCTATCCTTTGGGTTGAACGAATGTGTTTCTTGAACCCGATAAGTGCAACACTGAGTAAACACTTGTTTCTTTTCTCCCTTCCATCCTCCCAACTTAGTAGCTTCAATACATTCTTAGCTCTCCTCACTTGCTATTCTCTAACCATACCACGTGGCTGGGCACGGTGGCTCATGCCTGTAGTCCCAGCACTTTGGGAAGCCGAGGTGGGCAGATCACCTGAGGTCAGGAGTTCAAGACCAGCCTGGCCAATGTGGCAAAACCCCACTAAAAATACAAAAATTAACTGGGTATGGTGGTGGCCTGTAATCCCCAGCTACTCAGGAGGCTGAGGCAGGAGAATCGCTTGAACCCAGGAGGCAGAGGTTATAGTGTGCTGAGATTGCGTCACTGCACTCCAGCCTGGGTGACAGAGCAAGAGTCCGTCTCAAAAAACAAAAACAAAAAAAACCCCAGGTTATCTCCATGAATGTGAATATTGATGTGGTCCTTCTGTCAGGAAGACATCACCTGAGACCACACACAGAAAGCCTATTTTTCCTTAGGATACAGTCCTACATCAGGGTTGACAAAGTTTTTTTGTAAGGGTTAGATAGTAAATATTTTAGATTTTGCAAGCCATATGGTCTCTTCCTCAGCTACTCAACTCTGCCGTTGTACTACAAGAGCAGCCATAGACAATCTATACATGAATGAGTGTGGCTGTGTTCCAGTAAACTTTACTTATGGATATTGATACTCAGATTTCACATGATTTTCATGTGTAATGAAATGTGATTATTTTTATTTAAAACATTAAAAATGTAAAAGCCATTTTTTGCTTGCAGGCCAGACAAAAACAGGCAGTGTGAGTCAATTTAATTTAATGTGTGACTCATAGATGCTAACCCTTGCCTTAGCTGCTTAGTAACTTGCCCTAGTCATGTGTTACCCCATGAAAAGAATGGCCTACTTCTGTCATATTGTCTCTAACCTCTGTCATTTCATTTATGATGCTATGTATTATGTGTACCTTTGTCTCTCTTGCTGGATTCTGAGTATCTTGAGAGGTAGGCCATGGCCTAGTCAGTCATCTTTGTATCCTTAATATCAAACCCACATAGTGGGTATTTAAGAAGTGACTGTTGAATTTGAATTTTATGCTTGATATATATAAAATGTCATTTCTGCTGATCTTAAAGAGAAACACTTGACTGATATGCATAGGTTTCCCATGTTCTTCCCCTTGAGAGGCCATAGTTAACTGCATTTGCTGCTAGCGGCTCTTGTAAACTCAGTGGTTATACAGCAAAGCCTTTGCAAAGTCTTTTATTTTAGAGCTCTTTTTCAGACAAGAAATGATTATACTTTTTCTTCAAATCATTTATTCAATCATAATGATAAATATGGCTTTCACTATTCTGATGAAGCAGAGCTACCATCAGTGTGAAATAATAATAGCCGTTGTTTAGTGAGCATCTACTACATTCCAGTCAATTCAGATTTTTTCTCTAGATTTTTGGTGACCTTCTGATTACTATTAATTTACATTTTTTTTATTGTTCTCTACATGTCAAACAAAACAAAGCAACAATATCAAAAACCCACATGCTTTTTCTTCATACTGTCTATATTATTGAATGACAGACAAACATCTGTCCTTCAAGTCAAATATTAATTAATCATAGACTCCTTTCTCTTTTTCTTCACCCCGCCTTATCTAATTGGCCACTGTCTTAGCTTTTTTTTTTTTTTTTTTTTTTAAAGATGGAGTCTTACCCTGTTGCCTAGTCTGGAGTGCAGTGGTGTGATCTCGGTTCACCGCAACCTCCATCTCCTGGGTTCAAGCAATTCTCCTGCCTCAGCCTCCCAAGTAGCTGGGATTACAGACATGCACCACCACACCTGGCTAATTTTTGTATTTTTAGTAGAGATGGGATTTCGCCATGTTGGCCAGGATGGTCTCGAACTCCTGACCTCAAATAATCCACCCACTTTGGTCTCCCAGTGTCTTAGCAGTTTTAAAAATTATCTTTGGAATTTGTCTCATCTCTATTTCTAATTCATTTAATCTAATTGAAGCCTTAATCATTTCTTTTCTTCCAACATGTTGAGCATCTGTTCTGATTTTCCTGACCCCACTTGCCTCATTCTCCAATTATTCTTCCCATAGTTATCAGCACTGAATGCTAATAATAATACTTTGTTCATATCAGTTGTTATTAAAACTCTTCACTTATTCCTTATTATCTTCAAGGTAAGCCCAGCTTCCCAGTCATGACATACAAGACTCTATGTGTGACCCCAATACTTAACACAGATGTGTTTCAGAATTCAGAATTTTTTGGATTTTAGAAAAGTAATACAGTTTATGCAATACATATATAACATCCTCTGCTCATTCCTGAACACTGATGGGAGTGAATGGCAGGTGCTTTTAATAATTACGCTGAGGTAAATTATGCTAGGTGTAAACTGGACCTGTCCTGGGCAAACGAGGATGTTCTTTACACAGTTTAAGAATGTCAAGCAAAGAACATTAGGGATGAAGCAATACAGGGAGAATAGATAGAGTGAAGGGAGCAGTGGGTTAAGTGGAGTCCTGGAGAAATATTTGAAAAGGGAGAAAGGAATGTGGCTCCTGAGGTAGGAGGGAAACCTGGAGCAGGTAGCCCCACAGAAGCCCAGGGAAGAGGCATTGTTTTTCTATTATTTTGGAAGCAGATCCCCTTTAGGAGACTCCTCATCAGATAATGATTATTCACTAAGAGGTTATATTCTTAATTAAAAGGGCCTTTACCTTTTCTTAGAATACTATGTTTGAATAACTTTTTATGTATTACGATATAAAAGTCTCTTTTAAGCATTTCTGTTTTATAGTCATTTGGCCAAAATCTAATTCAGATCCAGCTTAAATCCAAATGTCATTTGATGCTACATTTTATCCTGAGGTTGCTAGTTATTTAGTCAAATATAGTGAGTATAATCACTACAGGCTTAGAGTAAATTTCCATGTCAAGAGGTAGAACACATTTATTCTGTAATATTGAATCCTGTAATATTGAAAATCAAAAACAGCCCTTTTTTTTCTTCTGTAGAAAATAAGATTTTTAAGGAAGGCAGCAGGAAAATAGAACAAGTGAATATTTTACGTTCTTAGTGGTTTATGGTTGGCAGTTTTCCCCCAACATTTTGTTACGAAAAGTTAAAATGTACAGAAGAATTGAAAGACTTATACCCACCAGCTAGATTGTGCCATTAACATGTTGCTGTATTTACTTTATCACTGTCCATCTCTCTGACCATCTATTTGTCCCTCTTTCCATCCATCAGTCTGTCTTTTTTTTGGTAAGCATTTCAAGTAAGTTGACTGACAATTTTTCTAAGCAGCTGTATCTTTATTTTGTTACTGTTTTTTTCCTGGATGTTGTAATTACAGTGTCAAGACATTTAATAATGCACATGTTTCAGCTAACCCTTTTCCCAATTTCTAGAAATCTGAGATTGCCAATAATCCCTGTCAATCTTAAATTATTTTTTAATTCTGGTAAATAGTGTCAAACCTGATTAGTGCCCTCTTTCTCAATTGTTTTGTAATCCAGACAACTGTTAGTCATTAAAACATAATTTATAGTGGTTTTAAAGCATGATTTTCTAAAAAATTTTAAATAAATATTTATTCATATTATGTTGTTTTCAGAGTGGAGAGATCTACAGACCAAGTAATCAAGCCAGTCAATGTAGGAGCTCTATCAAAATGGGTTGGGAAGATACCGCCAGATGTTTTACAAGACATGGCAGTGATTGCTCCTATGCTTGCCAAGCTTGGATATGACCCATATGCCAACCCACCTAACTACGGAAAACCTGATCCCAAAATTATTGAAAACACTCGAAGGGTAAGTGAGATTTTTTAAAGCAACTGAGAAAACTAGATTTTGAATTTGGGATCTGAATACGTTTTTTTCTTATTTTATTTCTTGCTATTTAATGATCAGAAAAATATATTTTTTTTTTTTTTCATTTATTTTTATTTTATTTTATTTTATTTTTTTTATTATACTCTAAGTTTTAGGGTACATGTGCACATTGTGCAGGTTAGTTACATATGTATACATGTGCCATGCTGGTGCGCTGCACCCACTAATGTGTCATCTAGCATTAGGTATATCTCCCAATACTATCCCTCCCCCCTCCCCCAACCCCACCACAGTCCCCAGAGTGTGATATTCCCCTTCCTGTGTCCATGTGATCTCATTGTTCAATTCCCACCTATGAGTGAGAATATGCGGTGTTTGGTTTTTTGTTCTTGCAATAGTTTACTGAGAATGATGGTTTCCAGTTTCATCCATGTCCCTACAAAGGATATGAACTCATCATTTTTTATGGCTGCATAGTATTCCATGGTGTATATGTGCCACATTTTCTTAATCCAGTCTATCATTGTTGGACATTTGGGTTGGTTCCAAGTCTTTGCTATTGTGAATAGTGCCGCAATAAACATACGTGTGCATGTGTCTTTATAGCAGCATGATTTATACTCATTTGGGTATATACCCAGTAATGGGATGGCTGGGTCAAATGGTATTTCTAGTTCTAGATCCCTGAGGAATCGCCACACTGACTTCCACAATGGTTGAACTAGTTTACAGTCCCACCAACAGTGTAAAAGTGTTCCTATTTCTCCGCATCCTCTCCAGCACCTGTTGTTTCCTGACTTTTTAATGATTGCCATTCTACCTGGTGTGAGATGATATCTCATAGTGGTTTTGATTTGCATTTCTCTGATGGCCAGTGATGATGAGCATTTCTTCATGGTTTTTTGGCTGCATAAATGTCTTCTTTTGAGAAGTGTCTGTTCATGTCCTTCGCCCACTTTTTGATGGGGTTGTTTGTTTTTTTCTTGTAAATTTGTTTGAGTTCATTGTAGATTCTGGATATTAGCCCTTTGTCAGATGAGTAGGATGCGAAAATTTTCTCCCATGTTGTAGGTTGCCTGTTCACTCTGATGGTAGTTTCTTTTGCTGTGCAGAAGCTCTTTAGTTTAATTAGATCCCATTTGTCAATTTTGTCTTTTGTTGCCATTGCTTTTGGTGTTTTGGACATGAAGTCCTTGCCCACGCCTATGTCCTGAATGGTAATGCCTAGGTTTTCTTCTAGGGTTTTTATGGTTTTAGGTTTAACGTTTAAATCTTTAATCCATCTTGAATTGATTTTTGTATAAGGTGTAAGGAAGGGATCCAGTTTCAGCTTTCTACATATGGCTAGCCAGTTTTCCCAGCACCATTTATTAAATAGGGAATCCTTTCCCCATTGCTTGTTTTTCTCAGGTTTGTCAAAGATCAGATAGTTGTAGATATGCGGCATTATTTCTGAGGGCTCTGTTCTGTTCCATTGATCTATATCTCTGTTTTGGTACCAGTACCATGCTGTTTTGGTTACTGTAGCCTTGTAGTATAGTTTGAAGTCAGGTAGTGTGATGCCTCCAGCTTTGTTCTTTTGGCTTAGGATTGACTTGGCAATGCGGGCTCTTTTTTGGTTCCATATGAACTTTAAAGTAGTTTTTTCCAATTCTGTGAAGAAAGTCATTGGTAGCTTGATGGGGATGGCATTGAATCTGTAAATTACCTTGGGCAGTATGGCCATTTTCACGATATTGATTCTTCCTACCCATGAGCATGGAATGTTCTTCCATTTGTTTGTGTCCTCTTTTATTTCCTTGAGCAGTGGTTTGTAGTTCTCCTTGAAGAGGTCCTTCACATCCCTTGTAAGTTGGATTCCTAGGTATTTTATTCTCTTTGAAGCAATTGTGAATGGGAGTTCACCCATGATTTGGCTCTCTGTTTGTCTGTTGTTGGTGTATAAGAATGCTTGTGATTTTTGTACATTGATTTTGTATCCTGAGACTTTGCTGAAGTTGCTTATCAGCTTAAGGAGATTTTGGGCTGAGACGATGGGGTTTTCTAGATAAACAATCATGTCGTCTGCAAACAGGGACAATTTGACTTCCTCTTTTCCTAATTGAATACCCTTTATTTCCTTCTCCTGCCTGATTGCCCTGGCCAGAACTTCCAACACTATGTTGAATAGGAGCAGTGAGAGAGGGCATCCCTGTCTTGTGCCAGTTTTCAAAGGGAATGCTTCCAGTTTTTGCCCATTCAGTATGATATTGGCTGTGGGTTTGTCATAGATAGCTCTTATTATTTTGAGATACGTCCCATCAATACCTAATTTATTGAGAGTTTTTAGCATGAAGGGTTGTTGAATTTTGTCAAAGGCCTTTTCTGCATCTATTGAGATAATCATGTGGTTTTTGTCTTTGGCTCTGTTTATATGCTGGATTACATTTATTGATTTGTGTATATTGAACCAGCCTTGCATCCCAGGGATGAAGCCCACCTGATCATGGTGGATAAGCTTTTTGATGTGCTGCTGGATTCAGTTTGCCAGTATTTTATTGAGGATTTTTGCATCAATGTTCATCAAGGATATTGGTCTAAAATTCTCTTTTTTGGTTGTGTCTCTGCCTGGCTTTGGTATCAGAATGATGCTGGCCTCATAAAATGAGTTAGGGAGGATTCCCTCTTTTTCTATTGATTGGAATAGTTTCAGAAGGAATGGTACCAGTTCCTCCTTGTACCTCTGGTAGAATTCGGCTGTGAATCCATCTGGTCCTGGACTCTTTTTGGTTGGTAAACTATTGATTATTGCCACAATTTCAGAGCCTGTTATTGGTCTATTCAGAGATTCAACTTCTTCCTGGTTTAGTCTTGGGAGAGTGTATGTGTCGAGGAATGTATCCATTTCTTCTAGATTTTCTAGTTTATTTGCGTAGAGGTGTTTGTAGTATTCTCTGATGGTAGTTTGTATTTCTGTGGGATCGGTGGTGATATCCCCTTTATCATTTTTTATTGTGTCTATTTGATTCTTCTCTCTTTTTTTCTTTATTAGTCTTGCTAGCGGTCTATCAATTTTGTTGATCCTTTCAAAAAACCAGCTCCTGGATTCATTGATTTTTTGAAGGGTTTTTTGTGTCTCTATTTCCTTCAGTTCTGCTCTGATTTTAGTTATTTCTTGCCTTCTGCTAGCTTTTGAATGTGTTTGCTCTTGCTTTTCTAGTTCTTTTAATTGTGATGTTAGGGTGTCAATTTTGGATCTTTCCTGCTTTCTCTTGTAGGCATTTAGTGCTATAAATTTCCCTCTACACACTGCTTTGAATGCGTCCCAGAGATTCTGGTATGTGGTGTCTTTGTTCTCGTTGGTTTCAAAGAACATCTTTATTTCTGCCTTCATTTCGTTATGTACCCAGTAGTCATTCAGGAGCAGGTTGTTCAGTTTCCATGTAGTTGAGCGGCTTTGAGTGAGATTCTTAATCCTGAGTTCTAGTTTGATTGCACTGTGGTCTGAGAGACAGTTTGTTATAATTTCTGTTCTTTTACATTTGCTGAGGAGAGCTTTACTTCCAACTATGTGGTCAATTTTGGAATAGGTGTGGTGTGGTGCTGAAAAAAATGTATATTCTGTTGATTTGGGGTGGAGAGTTCTGTAGATGTCTATTAGGTCTGCTTGGTGCAGAGCTGAGTTCAATTCCTGGGTATCCTTGTTGACTTTCTGTCTCGTTGATCTGTCTAATATTGACAGTGGGGTGTTAAAGTCTTCCATTATTAATGTGTGGGAGTCTAAGTCTCTTTGTAGGTCACTGAGGACTTGCTTTATGAATCTGGGTGCTCCTGTATTGGGTGCATAAATATTTAGGATAGTTAGCTCCTCTTGTTGAATTGATCCCTTTACCATTATGTAATGGCCTTCTTTGTCTCTTTTGATCTTTGTTGGTTTAAAGTCTGTTTTATCAGAGACTAGGATTGCAACCCCTGCCTTTTTTTGTTTTCCATTTGCTTGGTAGATCTTCCTCCATCCTTTTATTTTGAGCCTATGTGTGTCTCTGCACGTGAGATGGGTTTCCTGAATACAGCACACTGATGGGTCTTGACTCTTTATCCACCTTGCCAGTCTGTGTCTTTTAATTGCAGAATTTAGTCCATTTATATTTAAAGTTAATATTGTTATGTGTGAATTTGATCCTGTCATTATGATGTTAGCTGGTGATTTTGCTCATTAGTTGATGCAGTTTCTTCCTAGTCTCGATGGTCTTTACATTTTGGCATGATTTTGCAGCGGCTGGTACCGGTTGTTCCTTTCCATGTTTAGCGCTTCCTTCAGGAGCTCTTTTAGGGCAGGCCTGGTGGTGACAAAATCTCTCAGCATTTGCTTGTCTATAAAGTATTTTATTTCTCCTTCACTTATGAAGCTTAGTTTGGCTGGATATGAAATTCTGGGTTGAAAATTCTTTTCTTTAAGAATGTTGAATATTGGCCCCCACTCTCTTCTGGCTTGTAGGGTTTCTGCCGAGAGATCCGCTGTTAGTCTGATGGGCTTTCCTTTGAGGGTAACCCGACCTTTCTCTCTGGCTGCCCTTAACATTTTTTCCTTCATTTCAACTTTGGTGAATCTGACAATTATGTGTCTTGGAGTTGCTCTTCTCGAGGAGTATCTTTGTGGCGTTCTCTGTATTTCCTGAATCTGAACGTTGGCCTGCCTTGCTAGATTGGGGAAGTTCTCCTGGATAATATCCTGCAGAGTGTTTTCCAACTTGGTTCCATTCTCCACATCACTTTCAGGTACACCAATCAGACGTAGATTTGGTCTTTTCACATAGTCCCATATTTCTTGGAGGCTTTGCTCATTTCTTTTTATTCTTTTTTCTCTAAACTTCCCTTCTCGCTTCATTTCATTCATTTCATCTTCCATTGCTGATACCCTTTCTTCCAGTTGATCGCATCGGCTCCTGAGGCTTCTGCATTCTTCACGTAGTTCTCGAGCCTTGGTTTTCAGCTCCATCAGCTCCTTTAAGCACTTCTCTGTATTGGTTATTCTAGTTATACATTCTTCTAAATTTTTTTCAAAGTTTTCAACTTCTTTGCCTTTGGTTTGAATGTCCTCCCGTAGCTCAGAGTAATTTGATCGTCTGAAGCCTTCTTCTCTCAGCTCGTCAAAATCATTCTCCATCCAGCTTTGTTCTGTTGCTGGTGAGGAACTGCGTTCCTTTGGAGGAGGAGAGGCGCTCTGCGTTTTAGAGTTTCCAGTTTTTCTGTTCTGTTTTTTCCCCATCTTTGTGGTTTTATCTACTTTTGGTCTTTGATGATGGTGATGTACAGATGGGTTTTCGGTGTAGATGTCCTTTCTGGTTGTTAGTTTTCCTTCTAACAGACAGGACCCTCAGCTGCAGGTCTGTTGGAATACACTGCCGTGTGAGGTGTCAGTGTGCCCCTGCTGGGGGGTGCCTCCCAGTTAGGCTGCTCGGGGGTCAGGGGTCAGGGACCCACTTGAGGAGGCAGTCTGCCCGTTCTCAGATCTCCAGCTGCGTGCTGGGAGAACCACTGCTCTCTTCAAAGCTGTCAGACAGGGACACTTAAGTCTGCAGAGGTTACTGCTGTCTTTTTGTTTGTCTGTGCCCTGCCCCCAGAGGTGGAGCCTACAGAGGCAGGCAGGCCTCCTTGAGCTGTGGTGGGCTCCACCCAGTTCGAGCTTCCCGGCTGCTTTGTTTACCTAAGCAAGCCTGGGCAATGGCGGGCGCCCCTCCCCCAGCCTCGCTGCCGCCTTGCAGTTTGATCTCAGACTGCTGTGCTAGCAATCAGCGAGATTCCGTGGGCGTAGGACCCTCTGAGCCAGGTGTGGGATATAGTCTCGTGGTGCGCCGTTTCTTAAGCCAGTCTGAAAAGCGCAATATTTGGGTGGGAGTGACCCGATTTTCCAGGTGCGTCCGTCACCCCTTTCTTTGACTCGGAAAGGGAACTCCCTGACCCCTTGCGCTTCCCAGGTGAGGCAATGCCTCGCCCTGCTTCGGCTCGCGCACGGTGCGCACACACACTGGCCTGCGCCCACTGTCTGGCACTCCCTAGTGAGATGAACCCGGTACCTCAGATGGAAATGCAGAAATCACCCGTCTTCTGCGTCGCTCACGCTGGGAGCTGTAGACCGGAGCTGTTCCTATTCGGCCATCTTGGCTCCTCCTCCCCCAGAAAAATATTTTGAATTAGAAAAATTTGGGCCTAGTGGCCTGGCACGCTGGCTCATGCCTGTAATCCCAGCACTTTGGGAGGTCGAGGCGGGTGGATCACAAGGTCAGGAGATCGAGACCATCCTGGCTAACACGGTGAAACCCCTTCTCTACTAAATACACAAAAAATTAGCCAGGCGTGGTGGTGGGCGCCTGTAGTCCCAGCTACTTGGGAGGCTGTGGCAGGAGAATGGCATGAACCCGGGAGGCAGAGCTTGCAGTGAGTAGAGATCACGCCACTGCACTCCAGCCTGGATGACAGAGCGAGACTCCATCTCAAAAAAAAAAAAGAAAAACTTGGGCCCAGCATAGGGCTGACACCTGTAGTTTCAGCACTTTGGAAGGCCGAGATGCGAGTGAGCCCAGGATTTCAAGACTAGCCTGGGCAACATAGTGAGACCCCCATCTCTACAAAGAATATAAAAATTATCCAGGCATGGTGGCACATGACTCTAGTCCCAGCTACTTGGGAGGCTGAGGTGGGAGGATTGATTGAGCCTGAGAGGTCAAGGCTGCAGTGAGCTGAGAGTATGCCACTGTACTGTAGCCTGGGTGACAGAGCAAGACCCCGTCTCAAAATAAGAAAAAAGAATGAAGAAAAATTATATTTGTAGAATGCTTTCTTATCAGCAGTCTTCCACTGCATTTTAAGGATAACTGGCTCGTTGGGGATAGTTCTTAGGGTATTTTGCTCAGTTTCTAGGAATGATACTCACTGTTGGGAGATTTATTCTCAGCCAATTACTGCAGATCTGCATAAACACCATAATTATTAGTGACCTTACTTCTGATTTCTTTCTTTCTGTAAATCTAATAGCCACTTTACTTTTAAACCTTTGTTTAGATGAGGCATAATTTTTGGATACCTAAAAGCTAAACATTGGTTACACTAGAAAAATTATTAAACACTAGCCTTCTGATTAAGAGAAAGTTGCTATTAAAGTGACATTACAGTTTTTATTTTAATAAGTTATGCTCACGTCTTTACAATATATTATTTCAGAAAGTGCTGAAAATTCAGAGCTAGATTATATAGCCTACCAGTTGAGTCTATTTCAAATCAGATCTTATACATTCTTTTCTTTATTGCAGTAAGATATATTTAACATAAAATTTACCACTCTGACACTTTTTAAAGTGCACAATTCAGTGGCATTAAATACATTCACATTGTTGTGCAACTGTCACCACCGTCCATCTCCAGAACATTTTTTGTCTTCCCAAACTGAAATTCTGTACCCATACTCTTCATTGCCTGGTCCCTGTCAACTGCAGTTTTTTGTGTCACTTGTATATATTCTTTTTTGAAACTACATTTCAAATAAGACAACCATGCTAGCATAAGTTCACTGATAGGCTATTTGATTCCAAGGTGAAAATTCCTTGGCTTTGTCTGATATTCTCTTGTTTATATCAGTGTCCTTCCCTCCCTACAACCATATAACCGTATCATGTTTTTATTCTGTCTTTTGATAACTTTAATTGACAAATTTATGCCACATTTATTTCATGAGATTAATTTCTATGTGAATTCCTTTCTCTTAGGTATTACTTTTATTTCCCCTTTTCAATTCATTATTAGCAGCTATATGGGAAGAGCTGCCTTCTTGTAAACCATCACATATGAGGGCAAATTAAAAAAAACAATAATCGCTATCCTCTTTACACTTTTTATATATATATAAATATTTCCATTATAAAAATATAAGCTCATTATATGAAACTTACAAAATTCAAAGGATAAGAGAATAAAAATCACCTGTAATGTTCCCACCTAGACACATACACATATTATTCTTTTTTATTTTCTTATTTATTTACACATATTATTCTTAATATTTTGATGTATTTTCTCTCCTCTGCATTATGTTAAACAAAGGTAAGATTACGTATATCATCTTACCTTTATATACACAGTTTTGTATCCAGTCCTTTTAATATTCACGAGCATTTTCCCATTGTGTGCATGCTTTTTAAACATAATTTTTATAGTTATAAACCTTCATAGAAGCCACCTTAAATTCTTTCTGAAGCACAGTAGTAAATGAATGAATAAATCAACAAACAAAATACATTTCCCTGGTAGATGTTCTACAATTGATTTTACCATTTTGTTGTTTACCGTTTTCTCTTTGACAAATTGTGCTGCAGTGAACATCTTTGCAGATACTCAATTTTAGGATTTTTTTTTTAAGGTAGGATCAATAAAAATAGAACTAAACCAGGGTAAAGTATCTGAGATTTTTAAAAGGTGTTTGATATCTATTGATACTAAAAAACCTTTGGGCTGGCCACAGTGGCTCACGCCTGTAATCCCAGCATTTTGGGAGGCTGAGGTGGGTGGATCACTTGAGCTCAGGAGTTCAAGACCAGCCTGGACAATGTGGCAAAACCCCATCTCTACAAAAAATACAAAAGTTAGCCAGGTGTGGTGGCACATGCCTCTGGTTTCAGCTGCTTGGGAGGCTGAGGTGAGAGGATTGCTTGAGCCCAGAATTTTGAGGTTACAGTGAGCTGAGATTGTGCCACTGCACTCCAGCCTGGGTGATGGAGCGAGATCCTGTCTCAAGAAAACAAAAACAAAAAACAAACAAACAAAAAACCTTTGAACTGCCAGCATAATTGAGGTAATTTATTTTAGATTTTTGTTGGTTTTAATAGATTTCATTGATTAATGTAATTGAACATTTTCCAGTTATTAGCTATATGTATATATTCTTTTATGAACTAAGTTTTTACTTTATTTATTTGAGACAGAGTCTTGCTCTGTTGGCACAATCTTGGCTTACTGCAACCTGTGTCTCCTGGGTTCAAGTGATGATTCTCTTGCCTCAGGTGGGATTATAGGCACATGCTACCACGCCTGGCTAATTTTTTTTAATTTTTTATTTTTAGTAAAGTTAGGGTTTCGTTGTGTTGGCCTGGCTGATCTCAAACTCCTGACCTCAAGTGATCTACCTGCCTTGGCCTCCCAAAGTGCTAGGATTACATGAGCCACTCTTTAAAGTTTTATATGTATTAAAGTTTTGTGAGCTCTTTGTAATTGGTAATTCATAGCTATCTCCTTTGCACAATAGTGAAAGGGTTTTTTATTACCAAGATACATGTACAATGCTATTTTGAGGGTTCTTAGGCAGTAGACATTATAGTTTTCCTACATGCAAATTGGCTTGGCTAGATTATCCTTTGCTTTCTTGAGTGGTGGGTTGGGAAGAATGCTATGGTTTGAATCCATGTGACTAAAGAATCTATTTCATACACACTTGTGGTTTTTGAAAGGATTTCAAAATACCCACTGAAATTAAAAAACACCCACCCTTCCCCCCCCCCTCCCCCACCGTCTCTGCCTATCTTTAAAGTGACAGATAATTTTGAGGAAGAAAAGATGAAGTGTGAACTATAGTGGTGTTTTTGGGCCTTTTGTGGTAATGCATACAAACTGACAGTCTTGTCTTGTGAGGGTAGGTTTCATAAGACCTTTTTGCAAACTAAATCCTGTGTATCTTCAAAGCTTTTTTGCCTGTAATAAGTCAGATGCTAATGTATCCAGCACTGATGATCATGAGGTTTTTGTAAAGCAGTGCTTGAAAAGAGATTGTTGACCGTTAGCTATGATATGAGATGGGCCCCAGAGAAAGAGGTGGCTGGCGAAGGTGTTTTCCTTAGTTATGGGGTGAGAGTGGGAGAAAAATAACATTTTGACTGAGAATATAGGATTTATATCTCTAAGCCTAAAAATACTGGGTTGGTTTTTTTTTTTTTTTTTTTTTGGTACAATTCTGGGTAGTCTGCAAGTAATATTGAGTCAGCACATTTTAGGGACATATTACCCAATATTGAATGGATAATCATGCTTCATGGTTACTGTGACTCACATAGTAAATTGGTAATGAAACGTTAACATATTTTATACCCTGTCCCACCATAGTCTCTAATCCTAAAATTATAGTATATTTCAGTAAATGGTGCTGTCTAGGTTACATCGTCAGCCTTCTTGCATAGATTCTTAACCTTTTAGACTTAGGAACTTATTTGAGAATTTGATGAATCCTGTGGATCCCCACCTCAGAAATACAGACACATGAATACACAGATTTCACTCACAATTTCAGTGGATACATAGATATACCAGAAGTCCATCAGATTAAGGACTCCTATTAGCCACAATTTCAGTGGATGCATGTGTGCCAGAAGCCTGACAGATTAAGGACTCCTATTTTATAGTCTCCTTGCTCAAGCTCATCCACTCATAGGGCTTTCATTACAGCCTATTTGCTGATTATCATAAATCTGTATTTCCTAGTGGGTCTCTTTCCTGAGCCCTAGGTTCATTATTTCCAACTGTCTTCTGTATGTGTCCACCGAAATGCTCTCAAGGACCTCAAATTCAAAGTCCAAAATTGAATTTATTTTCTAAACTTGTTCCCTGAGAGGCAGAAGCTAGGTGGAATTGTTCATTAAACTGAGCAGGAATCCACCTTGAGAGTGGGGATGATGCTGTGCTCATCTATACTTGCGGTACCTATGAGCCAGAGAGCAGATTTGAGGAACAGAGTCCTCAGGGCACATGGCTCAAACCCCAAAACAATTCAAGAACCTGGTTGCTAAAGTTAGAGAGCTGAAAAGCAGATCCAATTTATGAATGGAATATTTAGTTGGAAACCTGAGTAGATAGTACTGAGGAAGAGCAAGTGATCAAATGGAAAAGCATGTACCAAGGTGCAGAACCCACAGTAACAGACAAGAAGAAACATGAAAATGAAGTCAGCTGGGGGACAGGGGTTAGATTAAATCCCTAAACCAAACAACAAAAAGCTGCAGCAGCAGTTGGAATTGATATTCTTACATTAAAGGTAAAGCCTGGAATGAATGCATACTTGTGTTTTCTGGTTCCTATACTCAGCAAAAACTGCTTGTTCCTGTTTTTTTCTATCTCCATACATAGCATGCTTATTCACCCAGTTACCCAAATTAGGTCTCCTCACTTAAAATTCATGAATGACTCCACTGTTACTACAGGATAGAGTCTAGACTTCTTAGAATGACATTTACTTTTCTAGTATTTGGGTATTTTCTCATTATCTTTTTGTTGTTGATTTCTAATGTGACCATTATGGTCAGAGAACACTCATTATGGTTTGTTTCAGTCCTTTGAAATATATTGAATATTGTTTTATGGCCAGTATATGGTCTTATGTGATCAGTTGAAAAAATATGTATTCTGTGATTGTTGCAGAGTTCTGTAAATATCAGTGAGGTCAAGAAATTTTATAGTGTTGTTACAGTCTAAATCTTATTTGATTTTTTGGTCTGCTTTATTAATGTTGGGAAAATTATGAATTTTTCAAATTTTCCTTACATTTCTAGCAATTTTGTTTCATGTATTTAGGATCTATATTATTGGGAACACACCCATTTAGACCTTCTTGAAGAAGTAACTCTTTTGTAATTATGAAATATTTCTCTTTATCTCTGCTGTTACCCTCTGAAAGTCTACTTTATCTGATATGAATATAGCCACAACAGTGTTTTTATGTATACTATATACATGGTATATTTTCCCGATTCTTTTACTTTTAATCTGTGTCTTTATATAGCTGGCTTTGTTTGTTAATCCAGTTTTATAGTCTCTGCCTTTTAAATGGAGAGTTAATCCACTTACATTTAATGTAATTATTCATCTGATTGGATTTAAAACTACCATCTTGCTATTTGTTTTTTATTTGGATCATCTATTTTTGTTTCTTTGTTTCTCTTTTCCTGCCTTCTTTTGGATTAATCTTTTTTGGTATTCCATTTTATATATTATCTCCTCTTTTTAGCTATACCTCTTCTTTTTGTTTTGTTTTTGCTTATAGTGGTTACTGTAAGACATGGGCTGCACATTTTTTATATTGTAAAAATCCAGATAGTAGGCCGGGTGCAGTGGCTCACACCTGTAATCCCAGCACTTTGGGAGGCTGAGGCAGGTGGATCACAAGGTCAGGAGATCGAGACCATCCTGGCTAACATGGTGAAACCCCCGTCTCTACTAAAAATACAAAAAGAATTAGCTGGGCTTGGTTGTGGGCACCTGTAGTCCCAGCTACTTGGGAGGCTGAGGCAGGAGAATGGCATGAACCTGGGAGGTGGAGCTTGCAGTGAGCTGTGATCACTCCACTGCACTCCAGCCTGGGCAACAGAGCGAGACACCGTCTCAAAAAAAAAAAAAAATCCAGATAGTAAATATATTATGCTTTGTGGGCCACAGTTGGGCTCTTTGTTCTTTACTTGAAGATCCAGATTTTCATCTGGCATCATTTCTCTTTAGCCTGATGCACTTCCTTTAGCAGTTCTTATAGTAAAGACATGTTGACTACTAATGCTCTTAGGTTTTTTTTTTTTTTTTTAATTTGAAAATGTGTTTGTTTTTTTTTTAATTTGAGAATATTTTGCTGGACATAGAGTTCTAGGCTATTGGTCGTTTTGTATTTTTTTTAACTTTCAACATTAAAAAGATACTATTTTATTGGCTTCCCATGTTTTTGATGAAAGTCAGCTGACATTCTTATGAATGTAATTTTTTTTCTTTGACTGCTATAAGATTTTTCCCTATTTTTGGTTTTCAGCAGTTTGATTATAATATACCAAATTCGTAGCTCCGTTCTACTGCCATCTCCTGTGTGGGCCTCAGTTTTGATTAGTTTTTATTAGCCTACCTTTGAATTCATTGATCCCTTCTTTTTCTGTGTCCAGTCTGCTGTTAAACCCATCTGGTGACTTCTTCATTTCAGATCATTTATTTTTCAGTTCTAGAATTTCCCTTTCTCTGCTGGAATTCTTTGCTCTTTACCCATTCTGTTGATCTTTTCCTCTAAATTATTTAACATATTCATAATAACTTTTAAAGTCTTCATCCACGGATCTCTCCCTGTTGACTTTGTTTCTTTATTATGGGTTATAGGCACACCTTGGAGAGACTGTGGGTTTGGTTCCAGACCACCAAAATAAAGTGAATATCCCAATAAAGCAAGTCACACATAATTTGGTTTCCCAGTACATATAAAAGTTATACACTACATTGTAGTCTGTTCAGTCTGTAGTAGCATTGTGTCAAAAGAAAACACAATGCATATGCCTTAATTTAAAATACTTTATTGCTAAAAAAAAAATGCTAGCAATCATCCAAGCCTTCAGCAAGTCATAATCATTTTGCTGGTGGAGACTCTTACCTCCATGTTGATGACTGCTAGACCATTCAGGGTGGTGGTTGCTAAAGATTGGGGTGACTATAGCAATTTGTTTTGTTATGTAATATTCTATATCCTTTGCTGTCTTTTCAACAATATTCACAGCATCTTCACCAGGAGTAGATTCCATCTCAAGAACCACTTTCTCTGCTCATTCTTAAGAAGCAACTCATTCATTCAAGTTCAATCATAAGATTGTAGCAATTCAACCACATCTTCAGGCTCACTTCTAGTTATAGTTCTTTTGCTATTTCTACCACATCTGCAGTTCCTTCCTCCACTGAAGTCTTGAACCTCTCAATGTCATCTGTCTGATTCTTCCAAATTCCTGTTAACATTGAAATTTTGACCTCCTCCCATGAATTACGAATGTTCTTAATGGCATCTAAAATGATGAACCCTTTCCAGAAGGTTTGCAGTTGACTTTGTGCAAATCCATCAGAGGAGTTGGTATCTATGGCAGCTATAGTCTTAAGAAATGTATTTCTTAAATAATAATCTTGACAGGGCCAGGTGCAGTGTCTTAAACCTGTAATCCCAGCACTTTGGGAGGCCAAGGTGGATGGATCACCTGAGGTCAGGAGTTCAAGACCAGCCTGGCCAACATGGCGAAACTCCATCTCTACTAAAAATACAAAAATTAGCTGGGTGTGGTGGCGCATGTGTGTAATCCCAGCCACTCAAGAGGCTGAGGCAAGAGAATCGCTTGAACCGGGGAGGGAGAGGTTGCAGTGAGCCAAGATTATGCCACTGCACTCCAGCCTGGGTGACAGAGCGAGACTCCATCTCAAAAAAAAAAACAAAAAACAAAACCAACTTGACAGTAGAAATTACTCCTTGATCCATGGACTACAGAATGGATACTGTGTTAGCAAGCATGAAAACAGCATTCATCTCCTTGTATATCTCTATCAGAACTCATGGGTGACAAGGTGCATTGTCAACGAGCAATAGTATTTTGTGAGAAATCTTTTTTCCTAAGCAATAGGTCTCAACAGTGGGCTGAAAATTGCATTTTTATGTTATGGAGATAGCTTCTTTCCTTAATCTTCATAAACAAACAACCTCTACTAGCCTCCAACTTTTCCTCTCACAGCCTTTATAAAATTGAAGAGAATTAGGGCCTTGCTCTGGATTAGGCTTTGGCTTAAGGGAATGTCATGGCTGGCTTTATCTGTCTAGTCCACTAAAACTTTTGCCATGTCTACAGTAAGACTCTCACTTTCTTACCACTTGTGTGTTCATTGGAGTAGCACTTGAATTTACTTCAAGAACTTTTCCTTTGTATTCACAACTTGACTATTTGATGGAAGAGGCCTGGCTTTCAGCTTATCTTGGCTTTCAACATACCTTCCTCACTAAGCTTGATTGTTTCTAGCTTCTGACTTAAAGTGAGAGATATGCGACTATTCCTTTCATTTGGACACTTAGAGCCCATTGTTGGATTATTAATCGGCCTTTTTTCAATATCAATGTGTCACAGGAACAGGGAGGCCCAAGGAGAGGGAGAGAGATGGGGGAACAAACAGCCAGTTGGTGTAGCAGTCAGAACATACACAACATTGATTAAGTTAATTATGTTATATGGGCTTAGGATCGTGGCACCCCAAAACAATTACATGGTAACATCAAAGATCTCTGATCGCACATCACCGTAACAGATACAATAATGAAGAAGCTTCAAATATTGCAAGAATTACCACAGTGTCATAAAGAGACATGAAGGGAGTGCATGTTGTTGGAAAAATGTCACCAACAGACTTGCTCACCACAGGATTACCACACACCTTCAATTTGTAAAAAACACAACATCTGCAAAGCACAATGAAATGAGGTATGCCTGTACTCATTTGCTTCTTCACATGTCTTAGAAGTTTTAACTGCATACTGGACCTTTTGTATAACAGAGGGGTAGAGAATGAACTAGGTAATACTTTTTGTTTTATTTTTGTTAAAGAGAGCAGTTCTTTCCTCCAGCAGGTAGCTAAGGTGATCACTCAAATTTGACAGTGAATCAAGCTGAGCTGGGGCTGAGCAGTAGCTTTAATTGATTTCAGTTTGCCTCTGGATTCAAATGAGATTAAGGAAATTTGACTTTTAGCCCAACCTTAGCTTTCTATATCATTTAGACGAGGGGTTCATTTCTTTGATTTTAGCAAGATTGCAGCTGGGAGGCAGTTGGGTTGAAGATTAAATTAATTTACTTTACCTCTGGATTGCAACTATAGCAGGGCCCTGGAACCCAAGCACCACACAGCATTGGGAGATCTCTTTCTGTCTCTCACTGTGCTCCCACCAGCACTTACTAAGATTCTCTTGTAGTATTACATGTAATTGTCAGGTCAAGAGATTTGTTTTTACACTTGGGACTCTTTCAGATTCTAATTAATCATACCAGTCCACAGTCTCACTAAAAGTTTGGCTTGTTTCAGCAAAATCTTTCCACCTATGGGAGACCTCCTTTTCTGCCCACTTGTACCCAGACAGGCAATTGATTCAAGGTAGCTAGAAACAGGCTTTTGTTTCTCTGTGAAGAACTCATCCTTCTCCAGAAATTGGCTCAGTTAGACTTCTTGGCATTCATTTACTGCTTTTTCATGGCTTTACAGAAAAGTATGAAGTTTAGTTTATCTGGTGTTTTCTTGTTTTGATGAGAGCAGTGGTCTTTTGGGATCAGCTGCATTCAAACCAGGTTGGAATGCTTTAGAATGATGGCATTAAGATTCTTTGCCTTCTGCTTTCAACCTTCCTTTTCAACCTCATCTCTTTTTATTCTTTTAACCACACCACAGTGCCTCCCTTTCATTCCCACAGCACATTGTATACCTCCATACCTTTGTTCCTTCTGCCTTGATTGTCCTTCTTCTCATCTTACAACTTTGTCCTTTAAAACTCAACTCACATGACACCTCTTCTGTGCCACAGATCCTCCTGCTACAATGTACCTACCTTTACTTGTGTACTTTCACATTATATTGTGATGATTTATATTATATGCTGCTGCTTTTAAACTAAGGACATGCCAGACATGCCTTCATCTGAAAATGTTAATATAGTTCAAAGTGTTGCTATAGTCTTTGTTTAGTTAAAGTAACAACTTTCTGGTCTGAAAAAAAAAAGACTATGCATCCCTTCAACAGAATAAGATAGTTTTAAAAGTAATGATATGGGAGCATCTCTTAAGATATGGTCAGTGTTATGTTTTACCATTTGTATTTAGAAAAACAGCTGTGTGTGTATGTATGTATGTATGTATGTATTAATTTATTTTGAAACGGAGTCTCATTCTGTCACCCAGGCTGGAGTTCAGTGGTGCGATCTCTGCTCACTGCAACCCCCGCCTCCTGGGTTCAAGCAATTCTCCCACCTCAGCCCCTAGAGTAGCTGGTGTTACAGGTGCATGCCACCATGCCTGGCTAATTTTTATATTTTTAGTAGTGACAGGGTTTCACCAAGTTGCCCAGGCTGGTCTGAAGCTGCTGACCTCAGGCGATCTGCTCACCTTGGCCTCTCAAAGTGCTGGGATTACAGGCGTGAGTCACTGCACCTGGCTTGTATATGTAGTTTTTTAAAAAAATAAATAAGTAAAGACTTTTCAAGGACAAAGATATCATTTGCATTTTGTAGCCTGAGTGCCAGTAATACTTGACAATTACTTGATGCTCAATAAAATGATTCTTATTAGCAAAATAAACCTTACACGTAGAAAAAGAATATGCCAGGAACCAAGAAAAGGGATATTCAGATATGAGGCTCTTGGAGTTACGGCTCAGCTCACAAGGATTCTGCCGTAGGTGAGAAATGCTCCATTACCCAGAGGCAAAGCCCCAGAGGTTGTGGCAGCACTTTATGACTATGTATCAGTCTGGGCTCAGTCAGGGAAACATTGAGCCACTGTTAAGTGTTATAGGAGTGAGGGGTTTAATATAGTAATTAAGGCCTGTGCAAATATGGGAGGACTAGAGAAGTGAAGGTCTGCACGTTTTTTATTGTATACTGGACACGTTGTTTACAATAGGAGTAGGGAATGAGCTGGATACAGCTACAGTTGGAAGACCAGAGGAATAGGCACTGATGACTGAAACCTGCAGCTCTAGAGAGGGCAGAGAAGTGCTAGGAAACTGCCTCTCGCTGCCAAAGTAGGACTCAGTGTGGGATCCCAAGGAAAGGTCTGTGAAGACTGCCACGGGGATAAAGTGGAGCTTTAGGAGAGGCCAGTGGAGCGACTGCATCTGACTGCCCTGACCTCTTAAAAATAATGGCTTCTACTTCATTTCCACCTTCTAAAACTCACAGAAGCCTCTGACCCAGAACCACACAGGGAAAGGAATTCTGGGAGACTTAATTTTCTGTCCTAGACAACAGTGGTGGTGGTGCCAGTTGACCATCCAGCATAGGCCATTCCTTTGCCAGCCTGGCTTACATACACACCTACTTAAACCATATTTAACTGCCAGATAAAGCTAAATGCTCTGCTTAACATGTTGTAACTATCGCTTAGCAAACTGAAAACATGCTAAGCACTCCCTCAAAGAGGAGATGCTGTATTTCATATTGTGCTTTGTACATTTCTGGCTGATATGAATGTATTCCACTAGCTGAGTCACATCCCCTCTTTGATATCCTAAAACTTACATATACTGAGATACAGAGTTAGCCATTTCCTTTTTTTTTTTTTCTTGGCAAGGTCTTGTTCTGTCACCCAGGCTGCAGTGCAGTGGCGCCATCATAGCTCACTGCATCCAGAATCTCCTGGGCCCAAGCGATCCGCCTGCCTTAGCTTCTTGACTATAGGTGTGCACCACCACACCTAGCTAAATTTTTTTTATTTTTAACTTTTTGTAGAGACAAGAGGTATCACTGTGTTGCCCAGGCTGCTCTTGAACTCCTGGCCTCAAGCAATCCTGTTGCCTTAGCCTCTCAACGTGTTAGGATTATAGGCATGAACCACCGTGCCCAGCCAGAGTCAATACACCTTATATTAGAGAGTATTATTAGACAGGGAAAAGTGGAAAAAAGAATTCGTTAATATATTCAGTATATATTCATATCAAAGCAAAGAAGAATATCTGCCAAACTATTGTAGTTCTCATTTTCTGTACCTTTCATGTGATCATGGCAGGTATCTGTCATTTCTTTCTTCCTCTAGCCATTCCATGTTCCTTTGGTCCTCAGTAGTCACCTCAGATGGTCTTTGTTCTTTGCCTGGTGGGGTGGCCTAAACCTTCATTCTGGGGTGTATGTACCAATAAATGGCCATATTGTTTTGCTCTAATATCCCGTTAACTTTCCATAATAAACAAGTGTAATAGAAAATCCTAGGTTCCAGGCAATTTCTTTCCTTCTTCCATTGAGTATTTTTTTCCCATTGTGTATTTTAAACTTGGTTCTTCCTTGATAATCGGGATCAATCAGCCTAGCTATTATAGTACCTGCCTTACTTGTCTTTGGCTAAGTGGCATGAGGAGCAAGAAGTGCTGAGTTAACAGTCTCAGCTCTCTGTTCAGTGGAAATAATGTTGTGTCTCCCCCAAAGAAGCACTTCTCCCTTGAGGATTAAGACCTGTAAACTGGGAGAGCCCACAGCTGCTGCGAGTTTTCTTTTGGGGAAGGATTTTGATAATATTTAGTGAATATAGGGCTATTTCGATTTTCTTGTTCTTGTATCAATTTTGATAAATTGTATTTTTTAAAGTAATTTGGCCATTTCACTTAAGTTGTCAAATTTGTTGGCAGGAAGCTGCAGTATTTTCTTAGAGTCCTTCTAATCTTTGTCAAATTGATAGTGATAACTTTTCTATTCCTCATGTGATGACCCCTTGATTCCGCCTCTGTCCACACCTGTTAGTGATTCCCTCCACCTGAATGTGGACAGGACCTGTGACTTGCTTGGAACGAATAGAATACAACAAAGGCGATGGGAGATATGTGATTGCATGATTATATTATATAAGATTACAGCACTGGACTGGCTGGAGTGTGCACGTCTCTCTCTCTCTCTCTCTGGACATAAAGACTGTTATCTTGTATAGACTCTGGGTTCCTTTATAATACTCTTGTGAATGCATTTACTTTTGTTTTAGCAGGCAATCAACTCAGGTAGGCTGGATTATACATTGTTTTGCCTTTTGCAGGCAGTGATTCAAATCCCAATTCAGTTATCAAAGCAAAGCCTTTGCTAAACTGGTTTGGGTTTGTCCTGTGCATGTGTGATTCAGAGGTTAAGGTGAGACCCGTGTAGGTGCATACATAAAAGTGGAGAGCTCCTTCACCTGCTGTTTCTGCTCCAGGAGTTTGCTCTGACTCCCTGTCTTTCTTTGGCTCCTTTCCCTGCTTGCTCTGACCAGAAAGAAAACAATTCCTATCAGAGTTTTAGCCACCTACGTGTGCTGCTTAGTGACTGAAGCTGTCCCACCCTCAAGGAAAAACTTGATGAGAAAAAAATAAACAAACAGAAAACTCACCCTGTAAGGTCACTTCTCCAACTTTTTACTTCCCTCCACAATCTGCCTGCTTTTATTTACTTTCCAGATCCTCATATAGTTTTTTGTTTTGTTTTGTTTTGCTGTGTTTTGAGATGGAGTTTCACTCTTGGTGCCCAGGCTGGAGTGCAGTGGCACAATCTTGTCTCACTGAAACCTCCCCCTCCCGGGTTGAAGCGACTCTTTTGCCTCAGCCTCCTGAGTAGCTTGGGATTACGGGCAGCCGCCACCATGCACGGCTAATTTTTGGTATTTTTAGTAGAGACAGGGTTTCACCATGTTGGCCAGGCTGGTCTTGAACTCCTGACCTCAGGTGTCCCACCCACTTCAGCCTCCCCACAGTGCTGGGATTACAGGTGTGAGCCACCGCGCCTGGCCCAAGGTAGTTATTTTTTAAAAGTTTGCTCAAACTTTATAGTTGTAATTAGAGGGAGGAACAACTTTATGGGATGTAGGTGGCTTAACCTCACCATAATGGAACCAAAACTCCACTTCATTCACTTTTTTTTTTTAGATGGAGTCTCGCTCTGTCTGCAGTGATGAGATCTCGGCTCACTGCAAGGTCCGCCTCCCGGGTTCATGCCATTCTCCTGCCTCAGCCTCCTGAGTAGCTGGGACTACAGGCGTCTGCCACCACGCCCGGCTAGTTTTTTTGTATTTTTAGTAGAGACGGGGTTTCACCGTGTTAGCCAGGATGGTCTCGATCTCTTGACTTCGTGATCCGCCCGCCTCGGCCTCCCAAAGTGCTGGGATTACAGGTGTGAGCCACTGCGCCCGGCCCACTTCATTCACTTTAAAATGAAGTACTTGACCAGAAGCAGTACTGTTTAGAATGCCATTATGGTGAATAAGATATTTTGTAAGGGAAAGGATGCTGGTTTTTGACAGAAATGTTGTGGGCAGAGAAGGAAATCTTCATTGAGTAAAAGCAGTGTCCTTTTTAGATGGAAGCGGTCCAGTGTGATCATCCTGCTACAGATGGCTGCCCAGACCCCCTGGGAGCAGCGCTTTATTGGGGCACCATTGTTGGCCTCTCCTGTTGGCAGGTTGGACACTTAGCCATGATTGTTGCCAGGTCAGCCTTGACAGGTGGAAGCCTGTGTCACTGAGCACATGCATGACCTTCATTCCTGTTGCTCTCACAGTAGGATATGAACTTTGTTCATTAGCGTTCTGAGCAAGGGAAACAGTGGCTGATAAAATAATGAGTCATTTTGTCCACTTGGTTATTGAGAGCCTCCTCTGCTGAGATTATACATTGGTCATCATTTACATGGGACACAAATACCCTCACACTTTGTCCTGTTTGAGAATAGTTTATTGACATAGCTCTTTTCTATATCTTACCACAAGTTTCCCAACCTTATTCTAAGTTTCTGAATTTCCAGTCAAACCATCTGCTGCTGACCACAAATCAGTGTGGATTCGTATTTATAGCCATCACTCCTTTGACACAAAATGTGCAGTCATGTACACTGCTTCGAGTGTATGATGAGCAGCCTAAGCGACTTGGGCAACTTGGTAGCCAGTGGTAAAGTGTTCAGTCCTTACTAAATCCTAGTAGCAAGCAAGGGCTCTTTCTCAAAAGGGAGAGTAATGATCTCCAGAAGTTAGCATAGCTTTGCTCTAAAATCCTAGGGTTCTATACTGTGATTTACCTCTAGGGCCTGCCATACCTCCACACATCACTCATGAAGTATCATCCTGTATCTTAAGTTTTTGTTGGCGATACTAATCTCTGCAGTTCCTCTAGGAATGCAGTATTACTTTTGGTGTAATATTTTGGTAGAGAGAGGCAGCTCTAATGTAACCCCTGAGGTATGGCTTTAGTATGCTACCCATCTCTGTTAGTCCTAGGGACACCATCACCAATCAGCCACCACCAGAGATCTCTACAGCTCACACCATTCTCTTTTCCTACTCTACCTCTGCGTGTGCTTATAAAGTATAGCCATGTGCCCATTGTTTCTGTCATGAAGCGTCACCAGTTGGCTGCTGTGACTCAGAGATCTTTTCATCCTTCCCTTGGGTTCAGGGAATCTATTTCTCTGACAGCCTTTCCCATTGTTATTTCTAGCCTGCAGCGAACAAGCACTAAAGAGCTTTTTAGGGATGTTGTTGCCCCCTTCACCAATGTATTTCTCAAAGGCTTGGTAAAGGAGTGAGTTCTCTAGACATTCCTGGGATGTAGTTAGGAGATCAGTGAACAGATCAGTCATACGTATTAAATACACCCCAGTATTCCTTATTTTCTAACCTTTTGAATAAATTTTATTTTGAGACTGAGTTTTGCTCCTGTTGCCCAAGCTGGAGTGCAATGGCACTGTCTCAGCTCATTGCAACCTCTGCCTTCCGGGTTCAAGCACTTCTCCTGCTCAGTCTCCTCAGTAGCTGGGATTACAGGTGCCCGACACCATGCCCAGCTAATTTTTGTATTTTTAGTAGAGACAGGGTTTCACCATGTTGGTCAGGCTGGTCTTGGAACTCCTGACCTCAGGTGATCCACCCACCTTGGCCTCCCAAAGTGCTGGGATTACAGGCATGAGCCACTGCACCTGGCTTGAACAACTTTTATTTACAGTATACCAAGGAGGTTCTGGCATCTAAGCTTCATTTAATGTAAGCCACTGATGGATCCAGGTTTTGGCCAACCAGGTGAGGAAATTGTTAGAGTTATTCCCTGATTACTCAAGCCAATATACTGCATCCAAAATATCTGGTTAATGTACTCATATATTGATAAATTTGACCAAGTCCAACGTTACATTCCTTCTTGTCTGGTCTAACATTCTTAGGATTCATTGCTACACACTTCCTAGGTTTCTGCAAGTACAAATGGGCAAAATCTAGCACAATGACCCTAGCCCTCTGAGGGTCACAGCAGGTTGGTTCAGGAGTAGGAACCTGACCCAACACAGGCAAATAAAGGTCTTTCCCTGGGACTGTGAAATGGTACCAAGGGAAGAAAGGTGGTTTCTCTCTGGTAGGGAGGGCCACTGGATATAAGGCACAGGAACTGTTGCTGGAAGCGTTAGACACTGCTGACTGCTTGTTCCTTTTTCCCTGTTAGTAAAGACTATTCCTTTAAAAAACCAAAAAAGGTAGATAAAAATGCCAGATATTCATTTTCCCATATACTCTTGTGGGTGGAATGACCACTTGACCATTTTTTTGTAGCCAGTGATACATAAGGAGATTTTTTTTTAACAGGGAAAAAAAGAGCTTACAAATTTTATGTGCACATGTGTGCATGGGAGTTATACAATTCTTTTAAAAAAAAAACTCAAATGGCTAGATGATTGACACTTTTGTACCACCCTGAGATACAGAAAGAATAGGGGCTTGGATCATGGCCAAACAAGTTATGGTGGCAAAACAGGTTATGGGAGGAAGAGAAGACCACCTTTGCCTGGCTAGCAAAGGTAGTCTTGAACTCTCACAGGCAGCAGCCCTCAGAAAGAATGGATAGTAGCCAGTGATAAATGTTTCTAGCAGACCTTTAAAGGTGTTAGACTCTCAGTTAATCATTCTTAGGTCTGGATAAGGAGATGTTTGCTAGGGATTTTCTGGGAGAGATTTAGCTTTCTGAGAAAATAAAGAATTGTGTGAAAAGAGCTTACTCTTTCCTTCCTGCTTTTGAACATTGCTGTGAAAGAACATTATGCTTAGCCCTGCTGCAGCCACTTTGTGATCCTAAGAGAAGTTATCATCAATAACACACTGAAGGTGACAGAAGGAAGATTAGGGCAGAGGCTTCCCTTGATTTCTGGGCTTAGGACTGTCCATCCACCTCATGTCTGGACTTCTTGTTATGTGTTTGACATACTTGTACTCAGTTATTCTATTACCGTGTGTTCACTGCAAATGGGGTCGTGTTCCTCAGTGTGTAAGGGAATAAAGCCAACCCATCGAGAGAAGCAGAGCCAAAGAGGTCAAGGGAGTGTCTGGCAGGGGTTGAGGTCCTGGTTCTGGTTGCCCATGAAGATCATTTCCAGCTCTGCCCTTGCCACAGTTCCAGGAAACATTTCCCTTTTTGACTGTATTACTTGAATTGGGTTTCTGGGCTGTAGTAGGAATATTCCAACTAATACCATACTGGGTAAATTTGAAGTATGATAAATTTTAAGCTACTTCTCACTTTATTTCTTGTGCCTAAATTTGAAGAGTATTTATTTATTTATTTATTTATTTATTTATTTATGAGACAGGGTCTCGCTCTGTTGCCCAGAGTGCTCTGGAATGCAGTGGCACGATCATAGCTTACTGCAGCCTTGACTTCTTGGGCTCAGGTGATCCTCCCACCTTGGCCTCCCAAAGTTCTGGGATTATAGGCATATAGGCATGAGCCACTTTGTCTGGCCTAAATTTTAGTTAAAGAAATTCTTATCTCATTCTTTCAGAATTTTCATAGGCCTTCAAAGCAACAACCATGGAGTTAAATTCATTTCCTCAACTTGGCAGGATTTTTTTTTTCCCCTATTGAAGTATTTTGTCTTTTTTTTGTGTGTGTGTGACAGGGTTTCACTCTTCGCTCTGTTGCCCAGGCTGGAGTGCAGTGGCATGATGATAGCTCACTGTAGCCTTAAACTCCCCTGGGCTCAAGCCATCCTCCCACCTCAGCTCCCTGAGTAGCTGAGACCATAGGCATGCACCACTATGCCCAACTAATTATTGTATTTTTTGTAGAGACAAGATGTCACCATATTACCCAGGCTGGCCTCAAACTCCTGAGCTCAAGTGATTCACCTGGCCCGGCCTCCCAAAGTGCTGGGATTACAGGAGTGAGCCACTGTGCCCAGCCATTTTGTTTTATTTTGAAAGAAGGCTGAATTGATTCCTGCAGGCATTCTGTAAAGAATATATAAGGAAGTTCAAAGTAGCACATTTTACCATCTCTCAGAATACCTCAGTCTTTCTTCTGATGCATCACTTTAAGGCTTCGATTATTAAACAAGCAATTACTAAACAGTTGCTTTTTGGAATACTACCTTCTAGTGCTTCAGGAGATGCAAAGATCTGGCTTGTATCCAGGAAGAAAATACAGGTAATTGGATTGGAGAGAGAAGACATGCCATAGAAGAAAATGAAATAATAATAAGATGGGAGAAGAATTTTTACTGTGTTTTAAAGGGTTAAAAACTGTTGGAAACCTAAAAATTTGTCCACAGGACGAGGCTGAAAGTCTGAGACTACCCCACAGGAATAGCCTTGTCAAGGCCTGATTGTGCCCTTTGACTCATCCTTCAAAGTCAAACCTTTCTCATCTTCTCTCCCAGCTTTGGCACTGTCATTCCATAAGTGTATCCCAATAATTTGTGTTTTCTGCCAGAAATCCTTTTGGGGCTAATGAGTTTCATGCACTTGTATTTGCTGTGTAAAGTAGGTTTTCCTATACTTGTACTTACCAGATTAAATGTCAAAGGATCCAGCTCTTTGTTGGTTTTGTGTACAAGCACAAATTGCACTTGCTCATGCCATTCAGAATTTCGTACATTTTAGTTGTCTTTTACAACTGTAATCCCATCTGAAGGTCTATGGGAAATTCAGTTCCTTAAGAAATAGGTTCCCCTCATCCTTCTCTTTCTGCCTTCATTAGTGAGAGTACTTTTTGAGAGCAAGAGAACATTTGCAGTGAAGAGGTTTAGTTGGATAGCTATTTATACAGTTTTCCTTGGAATTTTAAAGAATGAAATAATTTCTCTTTATGTCAGCAAATGCCTATTCTGAACATTCAGAATGACTGTTCTGAACAGTAATGTTTAACTCTTAAAAAACATGGTATTTATAAATGAGAATATAATAAATCAGTATTAGAAGTCATTTTTTACCCCATGCTCTAATTCAGGAGAAAATAGGAGATACTTATAGGTTAACTTGGTGTCTGATTACCAGTGCCTGATATAATTTCTCCAATTCCCTTTTTAAAAATCTATTAAAATATCGTTAATTTAAAAAATCCCTTTAAAATGAAGATATGAAAAGCTCTATGCTAAAGAATAGGGAAATTTTCCACTAAGTCGATCATTGATTGTATTGTGGCTTTTCCTTAAACCCAAAGATTACCCAAAGATTACTGTAGAAGTGACACTACGAAAAATCAAATTAATGATAGGGAGAGTATACATTAGATGCTCTTCCAGAATGTACAGCAAAAGAACAGAGATGAAGATTGATAGATGAGAGAAAATGATACCTATGAAAGAAAAAAATAGAGATTTAACTGGTGACTAATAGATGTCTGCAAAGGAGACAACAGAAGTGGAACAAAAGCATGGATCAAATGTGTCATTGTGGAAGACTTTCCAGGGTTGAAAATGACCTGAAGAATAAAAGAGCTCACTGTATTCTAAAGAACATTATGAAAACGTGTCTGTACCTAGACATATTTTGCTGGTTTTCTTTTGATTTTAAGGATCCTGAAAAAAAAAAAAAAATCCTGCATATATCAAGGCACAAAAAAATGAGCTTTCAACAAAGAAACAAAAATGATGCTGGTAGCCAGGCGCGGTGGCTCATGCCTGTAATCCCAGCACTTTGGGTGGCCAAGGTGGGCAGATCACAAGGTTAGGAGTTTGAGACCAGCCTGGCCAACATGGTGAAACCCTGAATCTACTGAAAATACAAAAAATTAGCTGGGTGTGGTGGCATGTGCCTATAATCCCAGCTACTCGGGAGGCTGAGGCAGGAGAATCATTTGAACTCGGGAGGCGGAGGTTGCAGTGAGCCAAGATCATGCCATAACTCTCCAGCTTGGGTGACAGGGCGAGACTTGATCTCAAAAAAAATAAAATAATAAAATAAAATAAACAAATTATGCTGGCTACAAAATTTTCTTTTGCAAATACTAAATGTTGGAAAATGATGGAGCAGTGGGCAGTGATCCTTAGCTTATGTGGTCTTTGAACTCCCTGCAGTAATATTTGGACCTCTATGTCTTGATGCAAGTTGATTTTCCTGGGAATAGAATCTATATCGTTCCTCATATTTTCCAGGATTTCATGAAACAAAGAGTTAAGAACTACAGTAGTGGAGCAATATTCATGGTGCTTTTTCTTTTTCTTTTGAAATAATTAAAAACTTACAGAAAGGCTGTAAGAATAATACAGAGAAATCCTGTGTATTCTTTCCCAAATTCATGTGTTTGTCTTCTCTCTCTTTCTCTCTCCTTATAAAATATTTCAATGTTGTTAGTTATCTCAAAATGGACTTTGTAGTTTTTTTTTCCTCCCCTACCAGTACAGGTTTCAGTCTAAGATCACATCATATATATAGTTTTATATTGTTTTAGTTTTCTTTATCTGTAACAGTTTCTCAGATGCTCTCTGTCTTCCATGATACTGATATTTTTTTGAAGAATGCTGGCAGGTTATTTTACAGTGTTCCTCATTCTGGGTTTGTCTGATGTTTCCTCTTGATTATTATTCGGGTTATGCATATGAGGCCACAATACTAGGTAAATTGTGTGGTTTCATTCTCAAGGTATCCACATCTGAAGGCGTATGATGTTCATCTGTCACACCGTTGATGTTAATTTCGATCTCATGGTAAATGTGTTTTTTCGGTGTCTCCACTCTATGGTTACTTTTTTATCCCTTTCAATTAAAAAACAATCAGTGGTCGGGCACTGTGGCTCATGCCTATGATCCCAACACTTTGGGAGGCAGAGGCAGGAGGATCGCTTAAGCCCAGGAACTCAAGACCAGCCTGGGCAACATAGGGAGACCCCATCTCTACTGGACTGGTGGCATGTGCCTCTTGTCCCAGCTGCAGGAGGCTGAGGTGGGAGGATTGTCTGAGCCCAGGATGTCAAGCCTGCAGTGAGCTGAGATTGCACCACTGCACTCCAGCCTGAGTGACAGAGTGAGACCCTGTCTCAAAAATAAATAAATTAATTAAAAATAAAAACGATCAATGTGGAAAAAACTTGAAGACTGTGCAAATAGCCATATGTTGCTTAACGATGGGAATACATTGTGAAAAATGTGTTATTAGGTGATTCTGTCATTGTGCAAACACCATAGGGTGTACTTACATAAATTTAGATGGTATAGCCTGCTACATAGCTAGGCTATATGGTTTAGCCTATTGTTCTTAGGCTACAAAACTGTACAGCTTGTTACTGTACTGAATATTGTAGGCAGTTGTAACACTATGATAAGTATTATATAAACATATCTAAACATAGGAAGATACAGTAAAAATACAGAATTATAATCTTATGGGACCACTGTCATAAGTGTGGTTTATTACTGACCAAAATGTCATTATGTGGCACATGGCTGTATCTTGCTTTTCATCAGGCTTTACACTCTAGATGAGCATCCATTGATTATTCTTACCCACACCAATGGTACAGTTATGATAGTTGGAAAATGCTGCTTTTTTCCAACTCCACTACTCCCTCCATTTCATGGTATTCTAATGAATGATCATTGTCACAAAATTCAACACCTAATTGTATCTGTTATGATAATGAAAAGAAACAAATGACCCATTCAAAACAGTTCAGTTGAAAAGAGTTTATCAAAGGAATGACTTAACACGGTGTGGCCACAGTAAGGGAATCAACAAGGAATGGTGAAGCACCCAGTAACTAGCAACAGTGGGAAGCCATTGCCACCCTTAGACCTGCGGAGGCAAAGGGAGGGCACATGGTTATCAGGCTCGTGAAACTGGAATTCATAGAGGAGGAACCACCTACAGGTGCTGTGTCTCTAGAGAAAAACAGCCACTGTCAGCACAGAGGCAAGGTTGAGACAAAGCTGGGGGAATCAGCTGAGTTCTTCCTGCTGCTGCTCTGACCTGTTAGTAGTGCTCACGGTTGCCCAGTCATAAGCCAAAGGACAAGAAAGCCTGGGTGATGCAATCTGGAGAGCTTGACCTCCTGGGGCACAGAAGGTGTTGCGGGGTTGTGGGAATGGTAGTATAACCAGCACACTAGCTAAGATTTTATTAATGTGACAAGACAAGAAAAAGATCTCTGATGCGCAAGAACTGAATGGAGAGTTCAGATCATGTTCTTAGATGGGAAGATTGAATAGTATAAATATCTTGGTTCTTGCCACATGAATTTGTCTACTTAATTCCAACAGTCTAATGGAATTACGGAGGGAGTAGGGGTGATGGTGGGGTAACATTGTTAAAATGATTCTAAGTTCAATCAGGCAAGAATAACAAGAAAAAAAAATTCGGGCCAGGTGCGGTAGCACACGCCTGTAATCCCAGCACTTTGGGAGGCCAAAGCAGGCAGATCACCTGAGGTCTGGAGTTCGAGACCAGCCTGACCAACATGGAGAAACCCTGCCTCTACTAAAAATACAAAATTAGCCAGGCATGGTAGCACATGCCTGTAATCCCAGCTACTCGGGAGGCTGAGGCAGGAGAATCGCTTGAACTCAGGATGCGGAGGTTGCGGTGAGCCAAATTCATGCCATTGCACTCCAGCCTGGGCAACAAGAGTGAAACTCCATCTCAAAAAAAAAAAAAAAATTCTGATTTCACTGCGTAATTTTAAAAATAATATTTTAATTTTGTTTTGAACTAAATATTTTAAAATTATTTGTGTTCATAAATTATTTAGAATTGTTTTTAAGGGTTTTCTAAGTTACATTTTTGTTACTCCTTTCTGACTTAAATATAATATAGTTAAAGAATATTATCTAAATGATACTAATTCTGTAAAATGTTGTTGAAGCTTAATGATCTAAGACGGGTCAGTTTTTGTGAATCTTACTGTGTGTGTGTTCCTGAGAAGGATGTGTATTCACTAATTAATGGGTGCTGGGTTTTATTGGTAGGCCAGAAGTCAAACTTGACAGTTATGTAGCCCTTAATTCATGCTAATGTTTTGTATCATTGGTCTGTAAATAACTGAAAGAGCTGTGTTGAAATCTTCCACTTTGTGGATAGATTTGTTCATTTCTCTCTAAAGTTGTCAAATTTTGCTTTATTTTGAGGCTATTTTTTGAGAGCTTACAAATTTAGATTCATTAGCATTTTCTAGCAAATTGAACATTTTATTGTAACATACGGACTATCACTAAAAATGCTTTTTGTCTTACAGAGTAGAATTGCTAAATAAAATACAGGATGCTCAATTAAATTTGAATTTCAGATAAATGTTGAGTACTTTTTTAGTATAAGTATGTTCTACATATTGCAAAAATTATTCATTTTTCACAGGAACAGAAAACCAGATACCACGTGTTCTCACTTATAAGGGGGCACTAAATGATGAGAACACATGGACACATGGCGGAGAACAAGACACTGGGGTGTACTGGAGGGTGGAGGGTGGAGGAGGGAGAGGATCAGGAAACATAACTAATGGGTACTAGGCTTAATACCTGGGTGATGAAATAATCTGTACAGCAAACCCCCATGACATGAGTTTACCTATAGAACAAAACTGTACATGTTCCCCTGAACTTAAAATAAAAGTTAACAAAAAAAGTCTGGCATGGAAAGACATAAACATGCGTGGAGCTGGTTGTCTCTGATCTTGCACCACTTGTGATAAAGTTGTTTGTAGTATTTAATGAATGTGTTCAAAAATCTGTATCTTTAGTTATATGTACTTCTTGGTCCTAATATTACTGATTTGTGCTACCTATACAGTTTTGGTGGGGGGTTTGCTTATTTGGGGGATAACCTTACTACTGGTTTGTCTCTCTTATTAGTCTTTTCAAGTAATACTTTCTTTGGCTGTATTCTGTTGCTCCTTTTCTAGCTTGTTTAATTGAACATTTAATTAAATATTCATCATTCCTTTTGAAAAAATTGTTGTTTATCTGACATTCAAATTTAACTAGGCATCCTATGTTTTGTTTGTTTTTGCTAAATTTGGGAGCCTATTTAAAAACTATTTTGTTTGATACTAATATAGCTATCCCCAATATTTTTTGGTTATAATTTCCCTAGTATATCGTTTTTATAAATTTCATTCTTTGAGTCTTTGTGTTTTAATGTTTTTTTTTTAATATCCTATAGTCAGAATTGTTAGTCTAATCTTACCTATGTTGTTTTTCTAGGAAGTGTAGGGCTTTTTTATTGGGATTGCAGACCTATTGTCCCTTTTTTAAAACTATATTTTCAAATGCTTTTTATTTTTCCCACTTGTTTTGTGCTTTTGTGGACTGTTTTCTTTTTGCATGATTTTAAAAAAATTCCATGTTCTCTTACTATTATTTTAGACATTACACATATTTATTATTTTGTTAACCTTTAAATATTACTGTCAGGCCAGGCACGGTGGCTCATGCCTGTAATCCCATCACTTTGGGAGGCCAAAGCGGGTGGATCACCTGAGGTCAGGTGTTCCAGACCAGCCTGGCCAACATGGCGAAACCCCGTCTCTACTAAAAATATAAAAATTAGCCAGGCGGGGTGGCAGGCGCCTATAATCACAGCTACTGAGAAGGCTGAGTCAGGAGAATCGCTTGAACCTGGAGGCAGAGGTTACAGCGAGCCGAGATCATGCCATTGTACTCGAGCCTCGGCGACAGAGCAAGACTCTTTCTCAAAAATAAATAAATAAATAAATATATATTACTGTTCAAACTCTACTTGATAAAGTTATTTAATATTTTTAAATCCCCACACAAACATCCTAACTCTGATAACTACCCTTTTAATGCTTATGCTATTACTGTTGAATATTTAAGTTCTTTTTTTAACACTATATGTTAGACATCATCATTACTGTTACTTTATATGGACAGTATTATGTTTATGTATATGTTTACCATTTCCCATGCTCACAATTACTTCTTGCATCTAAGATCATCTTTCTCAGATTGGTTTCCTTTTTTTTCCCCCAAGTACATTCTTCAGAATTTTTTTTTTTTTTTAGACGAAGTCTCACTCTGTTGTCAGGCTGGAGTGCAGTGGCACGATCTCAGCTCACTGCAACCTCCCCCTCCTGGGTTCAAGGGATTCTCCTGCCTCAGCCTCCCGAGTAGCTCCTACTACAGGTGCCCGCCACCACGCCTGGCCAATTTTTGCATTTTTAGTAGAGATGGGGTTTCACCATGTTGCCCAGGCTGGTCTCGATCTCCTGACCATGTGACTCGCCGCCTTGGCCTCTCAAAGTGCTGGGAGTATAGGCGTGAGCCACCACGCCCAGCCTAGAAGTTTTTTTGGTAAAGGTAAATTGATGGTAGACTCAGACTTTGCATATTTGGGAATATTTTTACTTCACTCTAATTCTTGAAATGTTGTTTTGTTGAATAGACTAGGTTTATAGTAATCTTCCATCAGCACTTTGAAGATATTTTAACATTTTCTGGGCCCTAGTTTTGCAATTGAGAAGTTACTATCAGCGTAGTTGCTATTTCTTTGTGGGTGACTTTACTCTCTGATTTTTAAGGTCTTCTTTATATAACTGTATTTTCCAATTTTACTACAATATAGCTAACTGTGGCTTTTCTCATTTATTTGTTTTGTTTTGTATATTTATATGATTTCCTGTATTTTATCAGTTCTATAAAATTCTCGACCATTTTTCTTTGAATATTTCTTCTTCTCCGTTCTCTCCATTTTGTCCTTTGAACTCCAGTTATTTGAATATTAAAATGTTGCATTCTGTCCTCCAGATAGTTTAACAACTCTTTCATGTTTTCTGCCTTCTTACCTCTATCTGCTAGATAATTTCTTTAGATCAATTGTCTGATTCACTCATTCTTTCTTCATCTGTTTCATTTGCTCTTTAACGTGTCCAGTATATTTTAATTAAAAATATATATGTTGGGTTATTTTTAGCCTGCCTGCTACTTTAAAAAAATACTCTTTTGTTCCTTTTAAAACATCAAAAGTTGATCTGAAGTGTTTCAGCAGTTGAACTCCTAGGTCTTCATTGTCAGCCTGCTGTACTTGTTTTCTTCAAGAAGATAGATATCTCTAAATGTTGTCATATCCTTTTTTGTTATTGAATCAAAGTAGCTGAATTTGATAGAAGTTCAGTGTTGCATTGTCCAGATACACAGTTTTGAGGTTTGAAAGCTTGAATAAGTGCCAGTGGACTTCATGCAAATGCTTTATATATTTTTCACCTAATATATTTTGAATTTCAACAAGTAACACATTCTCTTAAATACTGACTTGATAGGCAAGTGAGCATAGCAAGCTTCATCTTTTAGTGAAAGTCCATTGATCCTGTTTCGTAATTGGATGAAGAGTGTCCAAACTATTGCCAGTAGCTTTCTGTTTTCCCATCATTTTTCAACCCAGAAATATTTATTTTTCTTTCCAGGGAGGCATTAGCAGTACCCTGGAAGCTCCCCTCCTACCCCTCCAAATTATTCCCTCCTCCTCTTTACTTTTCTCCAAAGATAATCTCTGTCCTGAATCAAAAATCGTCCCCGCTTCCTGGTAGCACCCGATCTGGAAGAAACCCAAAATCACCTAACCAAAACCTGAATCATATAATAGTCTTTTCTAATACTCTTTTACTGAGACATTCCACAATTCCCAATTATATGTGTTATTCCTTGCTGAAATGAATAATGAACCCAACATGTGCAACTACAGCTATGTTCCTGGTAACCTTTGGCTGGGAGGATTGACAATATTCATTTGTGTCTGGTTTCTTTCTTTCTTTTTTTCTTTTTCTTTTTTTTTTTTTTTTTTTTGAGACGGAGTCTTGCTCTGTCCCCCAGGCTGGAGTGCAGTGGCACAATCTCGGCTCACTGCAAGCTCCACCTCCCGGGTTCACTCCATTCTCCTGCCTCAGCCTCCCGAGTTGCTGGGACTACAGGCGCCCGCCACCATGCCTGGCTAATTTTTTGTATTTTTAGTAGAGGCGGGGTTTCACCATGTTAGCCAGGATGGTCTCGATCTCCTGACCTTGTGATCTGCCCGCCTCGGCCTCCCAAAGTGCTGGGATTACAGGCGTGAGCCACCGCGCCCAGCCTGGTTTCTTTCTTTTTAACATTTTGTAAGATTCATGTTTTTGCATGTAGTCATAGTTTTTTTTGTGTGTGTGATGGAATTTCACTCTTGTTGCCCAGGCTGGAGTGCAATGGAGTGATCTCGTCTCACCACAACCTCCGCCTCCCAGGTTCAAGCGATTCTCCTGCCTCAGCCTCCCGAGTAGCTGGTATTACAGACATGTGCCACCACGCCCGGCTAATTTTGCATTTTTAGTAGAGATGGGGCTTCACCATGTTGGTCAGGCTGGTCTCAAACTCCTGACCTCAGGTGATCTGCCCGCCTCAGCCTCCCAAAGTGCTGGGATTACAGTTGTGAGCCACCGTGCCCGGCCTTGTTCATTTTTGTTATTTAATATTATGCTATAATTACATAACTATTTGGAACTTTTTGACTCTGTTTTAATGTTGATACACAGTATCTTTGTACATATCATTTGGTGAACATGAATAATGCATTTTTGTTGGGAGTATGCCTGGGAGTTATATTGGGAGTTCCCAAGACCACTCATAGTAATCAGAAGTTATGATTATGATTATAGTTGATTACAGCAAAAGGATATGAAGTAAAAGTCAAGAAAGGGAAAAGGCACATGGGCAAAGTCTGGAAGGAACCAGCTGCTCACTTTCCAATGTGCCCTCTCAGTGGAGTCAGACAGGACATGTTTCATTTCCCCAGCAACATGTGTGACAACACACACAAAATGTTTCCAATCAAGGAAGCTCACCTGAGCTTTTGTGTCCAGAGTTTTTATTAGGGGTCAGTCATGACATAGGCATTTGGTATTACCTGCACAACTGACTTCAGGGTCAGGCTCCAGATCCCCAGAGAAAAAGCAGGTGTCAACCATAAATCACATTGTTAGCATAAACTATCTGGTTAAACCAGTACAGCATGGCCCAAGGCCTCAGACACATGAAACATTTCTTATCAGACATAAGATTCTATGATAGGAGGCAGCCAATAGCCAGTCCTGAAAACAGGCCTGTCTTGGGAATGTGCAACCAGGCCTGCTGAGTTAATAAACTTTTCCAGCAGAGATTGAAAAGGATGGGTCAAAGGATATCTGTAGGTACAAATTTGAGAGATAGTGCCAAAGAGTTTTTCAAAGTGATTATACCTGTTTACTCTCTAACCAGCAGATGTGTAAGAACTTCAGTTCTTCTACTTTGCCAATACCTTGTACAGTTTAATCTTCTAAAATTGTAATTTTCTTCCTCGTGTCTATTGATATCTCATTTTGGTTTACATTTTTATTTCCTTAGTAACTGAGACTGAGCACCTTTTCATATGTCATTGACCAGTAGCCTATGTTGTGAAGTGCCAGTTCAGGTTCTTTGCCTGGTTTTCTTTTGAATCATTTGCTTTTTTCTCATTGATTTTTAGGAATTATTTACATGTTTTGATATGTACACTTCATGTGTGTTTCAAATAACTTCTCCCATCTATCTGCCTTGCCTTTTCTCTCTCTTAAGGCTGTCTTTTGAAAAATAGAAGTTAATTTTAATGTCTAATTTTGTGATCTTTTTCTTTACTGCTTTTGGCATACCATTTAATAAATCTTTTTTCCAATTCAAGTCCTTGGATATATCCTCCTATGTTATCTAATGAAAAGTTTATTGCTTTACCTTTCTCTTTTAGATCTGTAACCTGCCTGGAATTGATTTCTTTTCATTGTGGTAAGAAACACATGACATAAAATACTCTCTTAAAGATTTACAACTGTACATCTCAGTAGTGTTAAACATATTTACAGTGTTGTAAAACAGATTCAGAAACTTTTTATCTTGAAAAACGGAAAACTTTATACTCATTAAACAATAACTCTCCATTCTTCTTCTCCCCACTCCCCTCCTTGCTGCTCCTGGCAGTCCCTATTTTACTTTTGTCTCGATTTAAGTACCTCATGTGGCATCAAATAGTATTTGTCTCTTTGTGACTGGCTTGTTTGAGTTAGCATAATGTCCTCAAGTTTCATCCATGTTACAGGATGTGACAGGACTTCCTTTTTAAGGCTGCATAGTATTTCATTGTATGTCTGTACCACATTTTGTTCATCCATTCATCTGTTGATCAATTTGGGTTGCTTCCATTTCTTGGCTATTGTGAATAGTGCTGCAGTGAACATGATGTGCAGATATCTCTTTGAGTTCTTGCTTTCAGTTATTTTGTGTATACTCAGAAGTGGAATTGCTGAATTATATGGGAGTTCTATTTTTTATTTTTTCAGGAAGCTGCCGTACTGTTACTCCATAGCAGCTGCACTATTTTACATCCCTTCCAGTAGTGCACAAAGGTTCCAGTGGTGCACAAAGGTTCCAGTTTTCCACAGCTCACCAACACTTGTTATTTTTTTTATTTTTTTATTTTTTATTTTTTTAAATAGTAGCCATTCTAATGGATATGAATGGTAACTCATTATGGTTTTGATTTGCATTTCTCTGATGATTAGTGATGTTGAGCATCTTTTCATATGCTTGTTGTCTATTTATGTATCATCTTTGGGAAGAAATACTTTGTTCATTTTTAATTGGATTTTTTGATTTTTTGCTGTGAATTGTAGAAGTTCTTTATGTAATTCTGAATATTAACCCCATAGCAGATACATGACTTGCAAAATTGTGTTTCTTTAGAGTTGATTTCTTTAACTTTATTTTGATTCTTTAATTGGGCCATCTATCCAGACCAGGCTGGTCTCGGACTCCTGAGCTCAGGCAATCAACCCGTATCAGCCTTCCAAAGTGCTGGGATTACAGGCGTGAGCCACCCTGCCTGGCCGCTGTGGATTTTTAAATAAACGTCCTTTATCATGTTAAAGAAGCTTTCTTCTGTTCTTAGTTTACTAAGTGTTTTGTTATGAAGTGATGTTGAGTTTTGCCCAGTGTTTTTTTCTGTGTGTATTGAGATGATGTGTTTTTCTTTATATTTTATTATTATGTATTACACTGGATGATTATCTTACATTGAACCACCCTAGCATTCCTGAGATAAATCCAAATTGGGCTGCATCGAAACTAAAAACTTTTGTATTACAAATGTTATGAAGAAAGTGAAAAGACAACCCACAGATGCTATCTAGAGATTGGTATCCAGATTATATAAAGAATTCTTGCAAGTCAAATAATAAAAATTTACATCACCCAATTAGTAGTTTAAGTCAGCCAGAGTTGGTTCCTCTTGAATCACCCAATTTGTGGTGAATTGAAACTATAATCAGATACTACTTCACACCCACCGGGATGCTTATAATAAAAAATACATGGGAAATAGTACAGTAGTTCCTCAAAAAATTATAGAATTACCATTTGATCCAGCAGTTCCACTTCTGTGTATATATACAAAAGAGGTCAAAGCAGGGATACAGATATTTGTGCACCAGTGTTCATAGCAGCACTATTCACAACAGTCAGAAGGTGGAAACAACCTAAATGTCCATCTACAGATGAATGGGTAAACAAAATGTGGTAAAGATGGATCAATAGATCACAAAGGAATATTATTCAGCCTTAAAAAGGAATGAAATTCTGATACATGCTACAATAAGGATGAAACTTCAAGACACTGTGCTGGGTGAAATAAGCCAGACACAAAAGGACAAATGTTGTATAATTTGACTTATGGGGTACATAGAATAGGTCAATTCATAGAGATAGAAAGTAGAATGGAGGTTATCAGGGGTGGGGTATGATTTCATTCCTGTAAAGTTCAGAGTTACTCTTATTGGAGGAAAGGATACATTATGACTAGAAGGAGGGACAAGGAAGGCCACTGGGTCATCTTCTATTTCTCAATCTGTGTTTACTCCATAGAATTTGATTGAGCTGTTTAGCTGTGGTTTGCACATTTTCCTTTACGTATAAACTTTTTACATATATACTTTTATTAAAATCTACTTAAAATGGGGAAAAAAAAGATATCTAGATTTCAGCTTTTAAATGCTGGTGCAATGATAGCCATTTTCGGCTGGGTGCAGTGGCTCACACCTGTAATCCCAGCACTTTGGGAGGCTGAGGCAGCTGGATCACCTGAGGTCAGGAGTTCAAGACCAGCCTGGCTAACATGGTGAAACTTTGTCTCTACTAAAAATTAGCCAAACCTGGTGGTGGGTTCCTGTAATCCCAGCTACTCGGGAGGCTGAGGAAGGAGAATTGCTTGAACTCGGGAGGCAGAGGTTTTGCAGTGATCCAAGACTGTGCCACTGCACTCCAGCCTGGGTGACAGAGTAAGACTCTGTCTCAAAAAAAAAAAAAAAAAAAAAAAAAAAAAACAAGACAAAACACTCATATCTGAAATGTGGTTTACATAGAATGTTCTTCCAGGCAAAAAAAACAAGATTAAAATTACTGGTTTTGAAAATGTATTCTGTTCTTTCTTATATCAAAGTCTTGATGTTGGTGGCTAGAGAGAACTTCTTAGGTTTTCTACCTGTATTAGTCCGTTTTCATACTGCTATAAAGAACTGCCCAAGACGGGGTAATTTATAAAGGAAAGAGGTTTAATTGACTCATAGTTCAGCATGGCTGGGGAGGCCTCAGGAAACTTAAAATCATAGTAGAAGGTCAAGAGGAAGCAAGGCACTTTCTTCACAAGTCACAAAGGAGAAGTGCTAAGTGAAGGATGAAGAGCCCCATATAAAACCATCACATCTCGTGAGAACTCACTCACTATCACGAGGACAGCATGGGGGAACCTCTGCCGTGATTCAGTGACTTCCACCTGGTCTCTCCCTTGACACGTGGGGATTATGGGGATTATAATTCAAGAGGAGATTTGGATGGGGACACAAAGCCTAACCATATCACTACCATTTTTCTTTTCTTTTTTTTTCATGCCTGGATTTTTTCGTTGTTCCCTCATGAACATTTTAAAGTGTAATTAAGCAAAAGAGAATACTATACAATGGTTTTTAACAATTTTTTTAAGTTTCCCCCCTCCCCCCAAGACAGGGTTTCCCAATGTTGCCTAGGCTGGTCTCGAACTCCTGGCCTCAAGTGATTCTCCCACCTCACCCTCCTAAGTAGCTGGGACTACAGACATGTGCCACTGTGCCCAGCTGCCTATACAGTGTTTTTATTTTATTTTATTTTTTTAAGATGGAGTCTTGCTTTGTCACCCAGGCTGGAGTGCAGTGGCATTATCTTGGCTTACCGCAACCTGTGCCTCCCGGATTCAAATGATTCTCCTGCCTAAGCCTCCCAAGTAGCTGGGATTACAGGCACCCGCCTCCATGCCTGGCTAATTTTTGTATTTTTAGTAGAGACAGGGTTTCACCATGTTGGCCAGGCTGGTCTCGAACTCCTGAGCTCGTGATCTGCCCGCCTTGGCCTCCCAAATTGCTGGGGTTACAGGCGTGAGCCACCATGCCTGGCCTTTAATTTTTTTAAAAAGTAAAACTTCTTTAATTTTCTTCTCGCAAGAATTGAATAGAATGATAGAATGAATGCCAGTATTTTATAATGTTGTATCCAGCAGGTTGCAATCAGGGAGGCTCCAACAGAGTCACTTTTTCTGTCTTTTTATGTTCAATCTATGCTGTAAATTGGTTTCAGAAACTTCTGTGAGTCTATCAACTGTAAAAATGGAGATGACTATGAAAGGATCTTACGCTTTTATTCTTCTTTGATCCACATGTCTGTTTGTTCCTCCATCTAGAATATAAAGATGATTAAGACTCTACCTGTCTCCTTTAAGTCCAGTGAAGAAGATAGATTTACAATTAATGGTAATTCAGTATAACTGCCGTAAGAACAGGGCATTCAGAATGCCCTGTGAGCTCAGAGATGGCGCTACTGTATTCTCATGTTTAAAGGATAAGTAAAAGTTCCCCAGTTTGAGAAAAGAGGGGAAAAGGACTCCAGTGAAAGGAAATTGATGAAATTACTGTTGACTTTACTTGTATATATTAACTGTCTTTCAGTGTCTCTGAAAACTTGATTTGGGACTATTTCCTTTGAACAGAAATAATAGCATTCCTGCCTGATAAATGTCCTGTGGTCAAATAATATGATTTCCTAATCATTCTGCACACTAAACTTCCCCCCACCAGGAAATCAATGCCTTAATGCTAAATTTCCTCTGTACTACTTTCTGTAAGAGTAAGAGGTTCCTATTTCACAGTCACGACACATTCCCAACTCAATTCACATTCCAATCCATCTTGTCCAACTTCATTGAAAGTTGATACACTGAACCATTTCCTTTACTTAAAAGAAATAGAATTCTTCCTAAATTCTATCTACTGTTGGAATAGAAAGAATATCATGCTTCTAGACTGACTAATTTTTTTTCTTCTTGATATAAGTATTGACAACATTTATTCATTTGTTTCTAGGCAGCACAAGACTGTTGAACTTTCCTAGAACTGAGTCTGAGATTTGCAAAGCTGCCAAAATATTTTGAAACAAATGAAAATATGTAAACATGAATGTTATCAGCTGTTTTACAGTATTTGTGTTTTAGAGATAATGAGCATCTGGTGGACCACAGGAGCCCAGGGGGATTTCAAACTCCAGATTCCTTTTTGTGTAATCATATCTGGCTGGAGTTATTTGTTTTCTCTGCATGTGAAACTATCAAGTCATAATTCTTCAAAGGGGAATGTTTATTGCATTATTTAAAAATAATAAATTATATTACTAAATAAATAACAGCAGGCCAGGCATAAACCAATGATGAAAGTTTGTCAGAAACTAAGGCTTCTGATTAATTCTGTGCTCTGGACTATAATTGGAAGGAAGGATTATATTAGAGTTTACAATGAGTTTACAGAAAGAAAGGAGAGGGATAAATTATATTTAGTTCACAGTAAATCTGAATTCAGAACCCCTGGTTGTAAGACTAGTCTTTTAACCTTTAGAGTTAAAAAATGTATATGTACAGCTGGGTGCAGTGGTTCACGCCTGTAATCCTAGCACTTTGGGAGGCCAAGGTGGGTGGATCGCTTGAACCCAGGAGTTTGAGACCAGGATGGGCAAAATGGCAAAACCCTGACTCTATAAAAAATACAAAAATTAGCTAGGTGTGGTGGCAGGTGCCCATAGTCCTAGCTACTCAGGAGGCTGAGGTGGGAGGATCCCTTGAGTCTGGGAGGTCAAAGCTGCAGTGAGCCGTGATTGTGCTACTGTACTCCAGCCTGGGTGACAGAGAAAGACCCTGTCTTAAAAAAAAAAAAAAGTGCGTGTGTGTGTGTGTATGTACGTTGAAGAAAACTATGAGAAAAAGCAAAAATGTAGAGTCCATAATGCATAATGTTGTGTTAAGCACATAGTTTAGTCATTGGTACATATTTCTGGAGATGGTCTAAAGATCTATTTTTTAAAAACTGATTTTAGTTAAATCAGAGGTTAGCAAATCACAGCCTGCAGGCCAAATCTGGCCTATCATACATTTTGTTTGTCTCTTTGTTGTGTTTTTGGTGTTTTTTTTTCTTTCTTTTTTTTTTCCTTTCCTTTTTTTTTTTTTTTTTTTTTTTTTTTTGAGACAGAGTCTTGCTCTGTTACCCAGACCAGGCTGGAGTGCATTGGTGCGATCTCAGCTCACTGCAACCTCTGTCTCCCAGGTTCAAGCAATTCTCCTGCCTCAGCCTCCTGAGTAGCTGGGATTATAGGTGTGCACCACCATGCCCAGCTAATTTTTGTATTTTTAGTAGAGATGGGGTTTTACCATGTTGCCCAGGCTGGTCTCAAACTCCTGAGCTCAGGCAATCTTCTCGCCCCAGCCTCCCAAAGTGCTGGGATTACAGACGTGAGCCACCGCGCCTGGCCCTATCATACATTTTGGTAAATAAAGTTTTATTAGAACATACTATGCTCAATCATTTATATGTTTTGTGTGGCTGCATTTGCCCTGCAGCAGTAGAGCTGAGTAGTTGGAACAGAGACTGTGGTTCATACAACCTAAAATATTTACCCTGGCCTTTGTTACAGAATAGGTTGCTAACCTCTGAGTTTCTCAGTTTTAGCCCATTCACAAATGAAATAGTTTTTTTTTGTTGTTTTTTTTGAGACAGCCTCACTCTGTCGCCCAGGCTGGAGTGCAGTGGCATGATCTTGGCTCACTGCAACCTCTGCCTCTTGGGTTCAAGCAATTCTCTTGCCTAAACCTCCTGAGAAGTTGGGACTATAGGCACATGCCACAACGCCTGGCTAATTTTTGTATTTTTAGTAGAGACCAGGTTTCGCCATGTTGACCAGGCTGGTCTTGAACTCCTGGCATCAAGTGATCTGCCTGTCTTGGCCTCCCAAAGTGCTGGGATCCCAGCCTCTCTCTCTCTCTTTCTCACTCTCTCTCTCTCCCGCTCTCTCTCTCTCTCTCTCTCTCTCTCTATATATATATATATATATATTTTTTTTTTTTTTTTTTTTTTTGAGACAGGGTCTCATTCTGTCACCCAGGCTGGAGTGCAGTGGCATAATCACAGCTCACTGCAGCCTCAACCCCACGGGCTCAAGCAATTCTCCTGCCTCAGCCTCCCAAGTAGCTGGGATTACAGGTGCGCACAACCACGCCCAGCTAATACTTGTATTTTTTTGTAGAGACGAGGCTTCTCCATGTTGTCCAGGCTGTTCTCGAGCTCCTGGAACTCAAGCAATCTGCCTCAGGCAGGAATCCTGAAATTCTGGGATTATAGGTGTGAGCCACTTCTCCTGGCCCACAAATGACATATTCCTTATAATCTACTACAGTGAGCTTTGCATGGTTAATATATTTGTTGTGTTGAAACTATCTTCCTGATTTTTTCCAATTTTTTATAGAGAAACCTGGAAAGAATAGTACCATAAATACCTATATACCCTAACAGAGAATTATTGTTAAAATTTTGCCATATTTGCTTTATCTTCTCTGTGCATATGTATACTCACATGGCTTTTTTTTTATTGGTATTAGTTGAAAGTTGCAGATATTATGCTTCCTCAGCGCATATCCCTAAGAATAAAAGCATTTTCCTCGACAACTGATTATGTTAAAATTTGAAGACGTGTATGAGGTTTTTGTTTGTGAGGGCTATATGACTGGCGTTTCTCCAGTATATGACACTTTGTTCATCCCTATGTTCCTCTTTATAAACTGCAGAAATTCTAAATATAATGCATTAGTTGTCTATTGCTTGCAAGTAGTAGACTGAATGATGGCTCCATAAAGATGTCCACTTCCATTAGATAAAGAAAATGTGTACATATACACCATGAAATATTGCACAGCCATAACAAAGAGCGAAATCATGTTCTTTGCAGCAGTTTGGATGGCGCTTGAGGCCATTATCCTAAGTGAATTAATGCAGAAACAGAAAACCAAGTACCTCATGTTCTCACTTGTAAGTGAGAGGTAAACACTGGGTACAAATGGACATAAAGATGGGGACAGTAGACACTGGGAATACAAGAGGGCAGAAGAGGGAAGGAAAAATAAGGGTTGAAAAACTACCTATTGGGTACTGTGCTCACTACCTGGGTGACAGGTTCAATCATATCCCAAACTTCAGCATCACACACTATACCCCTGTAACAAACCTGCACATGTACCCCCTGAATCTAAATAAAAGTTGGAAAAACAAATCAACCCAGATGGCCATTTCCTAATCCCTGGGGTCTGTGAATATGTTACCTTATCTGGCAAAAGGAACTTTACAGATGGAATTAAGGAATTTTAGATGAGGAGATTACCGATCATCTGGTGGGCCTAAAGTAATCACCAGGGTCCTCATAAAGGAGAGGCAAGGGAGTTGAAGGTAGAGAAGGGGCTCTGAAGATGGGAAGCAGAATAAGTGTAGGAAATGTGAGCTTGCCACACTGCTAGTGTTGAAGATGGTGAGGCTAAGAATTTTCACATCCACTTTCAAAACCATTGTGTCCTGGCTCCTTTTAAACCATCTTTCCCTCAATTTCTCTGTCCTCTTACATCTTATTGTAAACACCAAGAAGAAACCTGGCAGTTAACTTTGCTTGGAAATCTTTTTAGCTAGACCATCTAATTCATTCGGCACATTTTCTACCTTCCACATCACTGTAAAATTGGGTTGCTAAACTTTCCACAACTACCTAACAGAGATCCCTTGCCTCCAGTTTCTACTCAGATGTTCCTCACATTCCTTAAAACTCACAGTCCACCTCCTAACAATCTAAAATCTACCAACTATCAATTCCTGGCAATTTAGGCTTTACTGCTCCTCTCCTGAAAGGCCTTAAAGTATTAGAACTGGGCCCTATTATTAGAACCTATTTCCCAGTTCTAATATTCCTCCCACATTTTTGGTATGTGTGACAATGGAACTTTACTCCTGATACCAAAATCTGTATGATTTATATATGAAGCATAACAAATTATTCTAAAACGTATTAATGGCTTAAATCAACAAACGTGTTGTCTCATAGGTTCTGTGGTTCAGGAATCCAGGCAAAGCTACCTAGATGCTTCTAGCTCAGGATCTTTCATGAAGTTGCAGTCAAGCTGTCAGCTGGGCTGCAGTCATCCAAGGCTCAGCTGGGAGAGGATCTGCCTTCAAGCTCTCTCATGTGACTGTTGGCAGGCCTCAGGTTTTCACTGGCTGTTGGCTGGAGATGCCAGTTATTTGCCACATGAGCCTCTGTCTACGGCAGTTGACAACATGCAGCTGGCCTACCTCAGAGCAAGCAACCAAGCAAGAGAGCAAGATAGAGTGCTCAAGACAAAAGATAACAGACTTTTTGTAACTTAATCTCAGAAGTAACATCCCATCACTTTTGCCAAATTCTGGTTGTTAGAAGCCAGTCACTAGATCTGTCCCACACTTGAAGAGGGTTAAACAAGGTCATGTTCTTCATAAGATTAATCCAAGTACAGAATTGGCTTAATAACATTTCTGACGATTTTTCCTATAACTTGTAAAACCTTGGCTATCTGAAACCCTTGGGAAGTGAATCATCCTTAAAAGCTAAGTTTCTGGATAGATTTTTACCATGAAGGGACCAAATCTTAATAATTTGGAGTAGAATCACTTCTGCATTTGATCACATATTTCTTGCCTTTTAAAATAAATTACTGATCATTATTTGAAATTTTATTTCATCAAAAGAAAATTAGCAATTGTGTGTTATAAAAAGAAGGTGTCTGTCTTCTCCTTATGTAGGGTATAGAACTGTTCATCTCTTTACTAAAAACTTAAGGCTTCTGTCTGCCTTTTATAATTTCTGTTTCTTTCTTTGTTTCATTTGTTACCTCTTAGTTATCAGTACTTGCCCATTGCCTTCCTGTTTACTGTATCTAGTAAGTTGCTGCAAAAGTAATTGTGATTTTTGTATTAAAACAAATGGCATTAGATTCTCATAGGAGCACGAACACTTTTGTGAACTGTGCATGTGAGGCATCTCGGTTGTTCTTGCCTTATGAGACTCTAATGCCTGATGATCTTTCACTGTCTCCGATCACCCCCAGATGAGACCCTCTAGTTGCAGGAAAACAAGCTCAGGGCTTCTACTGATTCTGCAATATAGTGAGTTGTGTAATAATTTCACTATATATTATGATGTAATAATAACAGAAATAAAGTGCACAGTAAACGTAATGTGCTTGAATCATCCGGAAACCATCCCCTCTGCTGGTCCATGGAAAGATTGTTTTTCACAAAACCGGCCCAAAGTTGGGGACTACTGCTATAGAGAATTGGATCTGCGGTCTACAAGTAATGTTAATGACATTTATTTTAAGTTGCACTGAGACTTTTGTTTACATCTTTTTTTTTTTTTTGAGATGAGAGTCTCGTTTGTGTTGCTCAGGCTGGAGTGCAAGGCACAATCTCAGCTCACTGCAACGTCCGTCTCCTGAGTTCAAGCGATTCTCCTGCCTCAGCCTCCCGAGTAGCTGGGATTACAGGTGCCCGCCACCAAGCCCAGCTAATTTTTTGTATTTTTAATAGAGATGGGGTTTCACCATACTGGTTGGCCAGGCTGGTCTTGAACTCCTGACCTCAGGTGATCCACCCGCCTCGGCCTCCCAAAGTGCTAGGATTACAGGCATGAGCCAACATGCCTGGCCTGTTTACATCTTAATTATGAATTGTTACTATAGTCAGCCCTTTGTATCTGTGGTTTCCACATCCATAGATTCAACTAACCATGGACTGAAAATATGTGGGGGGGAAATGATGCTTACATCTGTACTGAACGTGACGGACTTTGTCATTATTTCCTAAAAAATACAGGATAACTATTTACATAGCATTTGCATTGTATTAGGTGTTATAAGCAGTCTAGAGATGATTTAAAGTATACAGGAGGATATGTGTATGTTACGTGCAAATACTACACCATTTTATATAAGGCACTTGAGCACCTGTGGATTTTGTTATTCACAGGGGATCCTGGAAACAATCCCCTGTGGATACCAAGAGATGACTGTATAGGGGAGGCCGTGGTGACAGATGAAGTGGCACTGGGCTTAGTAAGGGTAAGAAAGCTAAGAGTGGCCTGAGGACAGATGACAAACATGACATATTGCTCACTTTAGCCAATGCTCAGAATCTCTTAGGTTTTTGAAACTTCACAAGCAATTTAGGCAAACTCTCCTTTCTTCTCTATCTCTGTATTCTATGTAATCCCACAGTTGAAGGCTGTTCTTATAGTGGAATTAATTATACCTCACTCCAAAAACTTGACCCTGATTTCCGTCTACAAACCCAAAGCAGCAAATACAATTTACTTTTATATTTGAATTATTTTCTTTGTAATGGTGTCTGTTGACAGCCAAAGCCTCTTGTATGGAAACATACCACCACTGCCACAAGTAAAAGCTATAAAGCAGTGTTAAATACTGTATATAGAGCTCACATTTGTATATGCATTTCTTTTAGGTCTTATGTAGTGTGTGTACTGTGGAAGATCGAGAAAGTGCGTTAGGTTGTTAGACAAAAGACCCAGAAGGCCTGCTAGAGATGCCACAGGTGGAACTAAGAAAGCAATCTCTGTGTCACTCAGGCTTTGAGAAACTTCCTTCAGAATCATAAAACATTAGAACTGGGAAGGTTAAAAAATCTTTAGTCTTTTTTTCCCAGCTCCAGTCTCTTGTGAATAATTAACAGTAAAGTTAAAGATTATGGGAATTACGTGCCTCCTTTTTTCCCTTGCACAACATAGAATTTGTTTTCTAATAGTAGTTTATTTGTTAGCTTTGCATTCCCATAAGTGATGGTTTCCAGCCTTGGCAAACCCTTGCAGCCTCCAGCCACAAGTCCCCTGGACCTCAGAGAATGTATATACTGTATGTGCACCCTAATAACATATTTCCTTAAAACTAGTACTACTGGATCCTCTAACTTTAGTACATGTCTTTCATGTCCAACTTTTCAGAGGCCGCCAAACTAGCAACCCTAAACTCATTTGTCACTATCAAAACATAATATACGAATATGGAAAGCTAATATAAAAATGGTAAGGGACTGAGCCATTTGGAAGGTAACTTAATGTAAGTGCCTGAAAAACAGGGATACAAAAAAGCAAAGGGACAAGAAGCAAGCCAGTTCACCCTGAACCCTACAAATGTTTGGGAATTAGAAACATCAAGTATTACAAATTAGGGGAAACGGATGAAGTCTGATACTAAAAATAGGGAGGTTGACAGTCTGTGTAGGAACAGTTAGACTTCCAGATCCTTATCTCTATACCCCACCTCCCCCTCTGCAGAAGAGATAGATTCCCTTAGGGAGGAAGAAAACTAGAGAAAATAAAGACACTAGGGGGAGAGTGTGATGTCAGCAAGATAGTGGAATAAAAGATACCTGGCATCACTCTTCCCACAAAAATGCAACTAGAAATTATTCAGGCTGGGCGCGGTGGCTCACTCCTGTAATCCCAGCATGTTGGGAGGCCGAAACGTGTGGATCACTTGAGGTCAGGAGTTCGAGACCAGCCTGGCCAACATGGTGAAACGCCGTCTCTACTAAAAATACAAACATTAGCTGGGCATGGTGGTGGGTGCCTGTAATCCCAGCTACTCAGGAGGCTGAGACAGGAGAATTGCTTGAACTCGGGAGTTGGAGGTTGCAGTGAGCCAAGATCATGCCACTGCACTCCAGCCTGGGTGAAAGAGCGAGACTCCATCTCAAAAAAAAAAAAAAAAGTATTCAAAGACAAGAATATCAACCTGAGTTCACCAGAACTTGGGGAAGAAGTGGAGAAACCTCCTGGGCCAACAAAATTTTTTGTAAAATAAGTGGTCATTTCAGACTGTGCCACCCCTTCCCCCCAAGCTGGCATAACACCACTCAGGGAGAATTTTCCTAGCCCTGCAGTTTCCAAGGTGAGAGGAAGGAATTGGAGGTGTGTATTCAGTCTCCTCACTGGTCTGGGAATCTTCCCAGGGAGCCCACTCCCGTCCCATCAGGGAGAGCCAGGAGAGCTGAACTATCTGGGGTAAAGTGGGGACAAAGAGCAGGGCACTGATTGTAGCAACTAGTATATGGATCTTGCAGCTACTCTGTACTCTAATTAGCCGAGACACCCTATTGACAAGGATGGCCAGTGTCTTAGTGCCACTGGGGTGTAATCAGTGGGAAGGCCTGAATCCCTGGTCGGATTTTCCACAAAACTTAGTGCTCACATGGAACCTTCCCGTGGCCCAGAAACAGCTATAAGATTGGGATTAAGCTGGGCATGGCAGCTCATTTCTGTAATCCCACTTTGGGAGGCCAAGTTGGGTGGATAATTTGAGCCCAGGAGTTCAAGACCAGCCTGGGCAACATAGCAAAATCCCACTTCTACCACAAAAACAAAAGTTAGCTGCATGTGGTGGTACGTGCCTGTAATCCCAGCTACTTCAGAGGCTGAAGCAAAGAGTCGCTTGAGCCTGGGAGACAGAGGTTACAGTGAGCCAAGATCGCACCACTGAACGCCAGCCTGGGCAACAGAGCAAAACTGTGTCTCAAAAAAAAAAAAAAGTTGGGATTAACTTCCAGTGTACACTTAAGCACTTAAGACTTTCACAGACTGGGAAATGATGACAGGATAGCAATATAGTTGGAGAACAATGTTTACCTTTCGGTGGTCACTATAAGTCTTCCTGTCTGTGAAACAATGTCAGGGCAAGTTAGTTTAGTTTTAGTGCAGTGTTTTGAACGGCAGGGCAAGTTAGTTCTGTTTTAGTGCAATGTTTTGAATGGCAGGGCAAGTTAGTTTAGTTTTAGTGCAGTGTTTCAGTTCTGATGCTCACTGTAAGTCTTCCCCAGAATGGGAAGAAACAATAGGCCAGTACTTAAGCTCTCATACTAAGTAAAGGCCCGAAATCACCAAAGAACACCTGCAAAACCTAGAAGAAATGGCTGTGTCCTCAAATGTGCAAGCATCAACATAAACAAGCAATGATTATGAAAACTTAGGGAAATATGACACCACCAAAAGAAACCAACAAAGCTCCACCAGTGGACTCAGAAGAATTGAAGATCTATGAAATGTCAGACAGAGAATTCAGAATAAGCCTCTTTAAAAAGTTCAGTGAATCTGCCAGGCATGGTGGCTTACGCCTGTAATCCCAGCACTTTGGGAGGCCGAGGTGGGCAGATCACGAGGTCAGGGGATCGAGACCATCCTGGCTAACATGGTGAAACCCCATTTCTACTAAAAATACAAAAAATAAGCAGGGCCTGGTGGTGGGCACCTGTAGTCCCAGCTACTCGGGAGGCTGAGGCAGGAGAATGGTGTGAACCCAGGAGGCGGAGCTTGCAGTGAGCTGAGATTGTGCCACTGCACTCCAGCCTGGGAGACAGAGCAAGACTCCGCCTCAAAAAAAAAAAAAATGTTCAGGGAATCACAAGAAAATAGAGATAGAAAATTAAATGAAATTTAGAAAGCAATCCATGTATGTAGTGAGAAATTTGACAAAGAAATAGAAACAAGAAAACAAATAGAAATCCTATCTATAAACAATACAGTAACTGAACTGGAATAACTCATTGGAAAGCTTTAGCAGCAGACTTAATCAAATAAAAGAATTGGTGAGCTTCAGGACAGAACATATGAAATTACCCATTCAGAGGAGCAAGAATAAAAAAGGGTAAAGAAGACCTACAAGAATTGTGGAATACCATCAAGCAGACTAACCTCTGCATAATAGGAATTCCTGAAGATGAGGAAGAAAAGGGTGTAGAAAGCATACTTAAGCAAATCATGGCTGAAAAAGTCCCAAATCTAGAGAAAGATGACACTGTCTAGGTACAGGAAGCTCAGTGATCAGCAATTAAAATCAACCCAAAGAAGAGATACCTATGGCACATAACAATCTGGTTAACAAAAATCAAAGACAAAGAAAGATTACTCAAGGCAGCAAGAGAAAAGAAATGTGTCCCATTCAACATACCCCAATAGAGCTTTCAGCAGATATCCCAGCAGAAACCCTGTAGGCCAGCAAAGAGTGGAATGGTATATTTAGAGTGCTGAAGGAAAAGAAAAAAACTGCCAAGCAAGAATACTGTACCCAGCAAAGTTACCCTTTATAAACACAAAGGCAAGATAAAGATTTTTCCAGACAAACAAAAGTTGAGGGAATTCATCAACACCAGACCTGTCTTACAAAAAATGCTAAAGGGAGCTGTTCAGTCAGAAAGTGAAGGATGCTAATGGGTAAAAAGAAAGCATCTAATGGCATTAAACTCACCGGCAAAAGAAAGAAAACTCACTGGTAAAAGAAGACTTCTGAAAAATTCAGAATATTGTAATACTGCAAATGGGATGAGTAAACCACTTATATTTTAAGTATGAAGACTAAAAGACAAATTTTTTTTTTTTTTTTTTTTTTTTTTAAGACAGAGCCTCGCTCTGTCACTCAAGCTGGAGAGTGCAGTGGTGCAATCTCAGCTCACTGCAACCTGCACCTCCTGGGTTGAAGTGATTCTCATGCCTCAGCCTCCGAGTAACTGGGATTACAGATATGTGCCAACACACCTGGCTTATTTTTGTATTTTTAGTAGAGACAGTATTTCACAATGTTGGCCAGGCTGGTCTCGAACTCCTGACCTCAGGTGATCCGCCCATCTCGGCCTCCTGAAGTGCTGGGATTACAGGCTTGAGCCACCATGTCCGGCCGACAAAACTATTAAAAACAGTAACTACAACGGTTATTTAGGAGACAGACAATTGTTTAAGCAATAAAAAGATTAAATCAAAACATCAAAAAGTCAAAATGGCAATGGCGGTGTTAAAGTATAGAGTTTTTGTTACTTTTCTTTGCAAAGTTAAGTGATTATCAGTTTAAAATAACCTATTATAAGATTTTTTTGTAAGCCTCACAGTAACCATAAAGCAAAAACCTATAATAGATACACTAAAAATAAATAGCACAAAATCAAAGCACGCTGCTAGAGAAAATCACTTACCATAGAGGAAGACAGTAAGAGAGGAAAATAGGAAGAAAGAATCTACAAAGCAACCAAAAACAAGGAACAGTATGGCAGTAGTAAACCCTTACCTGTCAGTAATAACTTTGAATATAAATGGATTAAATTCTTCAATTAAGAGTGGCAGAATGGATTAAAAAACAAGACCCATCCATATGCTGGCTACAAGAAACTCACTTCATCTGTAAAGATAAGCACAGACTGAAAGTGAAGGTATGGAAAAAGATAATTTATGCAAATGGAAACCAAAAAAGAGCAAGAGAGCCTATAGTTTTATCACATAAAATAAACTTAAATCAAGATGGTTAAAAAAAAGACAAGGCCATTATATAACGACAAAGGGGTCAGTACAGCAAGAGGATATAACAATGGTAAATATATATACACCCAACACCAGAGCACCCAAATATATAAAGCAAATATTAATAGACCTAAAGAGAGAGATAGACTGCAATACAGTAATACTAGGGAACATCCACACTTTCAATGTGAACAGATCATCCAGACAGAAAAGAAACAAAGAAACGTAGACATTAAACTGTACTCTGGACCAAATGGACCTAACAGATATTTACAGAACATTCCATCCAACAGTTGCAGAATACACATTTTTCTCAACAGCACATGGAATATTCTCCAGGATTGATCATACATTAGGTCACAAAACAAGTTTTAACAAATTTTTAAAATTGAAATTATATTTATCTTGTCACAGTGGAATAAAACTAGAAATCTATAATCAGAGGAACATTGGAAACAGTACAAATTAATGGAAATTAAACAACAAATGGACCAATGAAGAAATTTTAAAGTAAATTTTAAAATTTCTTGAGACAAATGAAAATGGAAACAAAATACCAAAACCTATGGGATACAGCAAAAGCGGTTCTAAGAGGGAAGTGTATAGCAATAAACGTCTATATCAAAAAAGTAAAAAGACTTCAAATAACCTAACGATACACCTCAAGGAACTAGAAAAGCAAAACCAAACAAACCCCCAATTTTTTGTTCTTTTTTTCTCCGTGAAAAAAGGCATCTAAAAAACAAACCAATGTTAATAGAAAGAAATAATAAAAGAGCAGAAGTAAATGAAACCAAGACTAAAAGAATACAAAGATCAATGAAATGAAAATGTTTTTTTGAATAGGTAATCAAAATTGGCAAACCTTTCAGAAGACTAAGTGTTGGGGGGTGGTGGGTGGGGGGAGAGAAGACCCAAATAAGCAAAACCAGAGGTGAAAAATGGGACATTGTAAGTGATACCACCGATATACAAAAAGATCATTAGAGACTACTATGAACAACTATACACCAAAAAATTGCAAAGCCTAGAAGGAATGTGTAAATTCTCTGACACATACAACCTACCAAGATTGAATCAGGAAGAAACAAAAGACCTCAACAAACCAATAATGAGTAATGAGATTGAAGCCATATAAAAAAAGTCTCTCAACCAAGAAAAGCCCAGGACCTGTTGCTTCACTGCTAAATTCTGCCAGACATTTAAAGAACTAATACCAATCCTACTCAAACTCCTCAAAACAAAAATTTTTTTGGAAGAGAAGGGATTACTTCCCAACTCATTCTACAAGGGCAACATTACCCTGATACCAAAACCAGACAGGATGCAACAAGAAAATGACAGGCCAACATCCCTGATGAACACAGATGCAAAAATCCTCAACAAAATACTAACAAACCAAGTGCAACAATACATTAAAAAGATCATCCTGGGATACGAAGAGGGGAAGAACAGACTTACTTGAGGGTGGGGGGTTGGAGGAAGGAGAGGATCAGAAAAAATACCTATTCGGTACTATGCTTATTACCTGAGTGATGAAATAATCTGTACACCAAGCCTCTGTGACACACAGTTTACCCACATAACAAACCAGCACATGTACCCCTCAACCTAAAAAAAAAAAAAAAAAAAATCATCATGATAAAGTGGAAATCCGAGGGATGCAAGGATGATTCAGCATACCCAAATCAATAAACATAGTACATTACATTAATACAATCAAGACCAAAAACCATATGATGATTTCAATAGATGCTCAAAAAGCATTCAGTAGAATTCAGCATCCCTTCTTGATAAAAATTCTCAACAAACGGTATAGAAGGAACATACTTCGGTGAGGTGTAGTGGCTCATGCCTGTAATCCCAGCAATTTGGGAGGCTGAGGTGAGTGGATCCCTTGAAGTCAGGAGTTTGAGACCAGCCTGGCCCACATGGTGAAACCCCATCTCTACTAAAAATACAAAGCCTGGGTGATAGAGCGAGACTTTATCTCAAAAAAGAAAAAAAAAAGAAGGAACATATCTCAAACCATATATGACAAACCCACAGCTAACGTCATGTTCAACAGTGAAAAGCTGAATAATGAATAATTTTTCTCTAAGATTAGGAACAGACAAGGATGCCCACTCTAACCACTTCTGTTCAACTTAGTACTTGAGGTCCTAGCCCAAGCAATTAGGCAAGAGAAAGAAATAAAGGGTACCCAAATTGGAAAGGAAGAAACCACATTATCTTTATTTGCAGATAACATGATCCTGTATTTAGAAAAACCTGAAGACTCCTCCAAAAACTGCTAGAACTGATAAACAAATTCACTTAAGTTTCATGATACAAAATCAACATAACAAAAATCTGTAGCATTTCTATACATCAACAGCAAGCAATCTGAAAAAGAAATCAGAAAAGCAATCCCATTTACATAGCTACAAAAAAAATAAAATACCTAGGCATGAACTTAACCAAATAAGTGAAGAATCTCTGTGATGAAAACTGTAAAAGACTGATGACAGAAATTGAAGAGGACATATAGAAAATGAAAAGATACTTCATACTCATGGATTAGAAGAATTAATATTGTTATGGAGTTCGAGACCAGCCTGGCCAACATAGTGAAACCCCATCTCTACTAAAAATAGAAAAATTAGCCAGGCCTGGTTGTGGGTGCCTATAATCCCAGCTACTCAGGAGGCTGAGGCAGGAGAATCACTTGAACCTGGGAGGCAGAGGGTGCACCAAGCCGAGATCATGCCACTGCACTCCAGCCTGGGTGACAGAGTGAGACTCCGTCTCAAAAGTCAGTATTACCCAAAGTAATCTACAGAGTCAGTATAATCTCTATCAAAATACCAATGACATTTTTCACAGAAATAGAAAAAACCTAAAATTTGTGTGGAATGACAAAAGACCTTGAATACCTAAAGCTATCCTGAGCAGAAAGAACAAAGTTGGAGACATCTCACTGCCTGACTTTGAATACCACAAAGCTATGGTAACCAAAACACCATGGTTCTATATATATGTGCACACATTTTATACACACATAGGTATATAAAACACCTACAAATTTTTGTTTTTTGAGACAGAGTCTCGCTCTGTTGCCCAGGCTGGAGTGCAGTGGCATGATCTTGGCTCACTGCAACCTCCGCCTCCTGGGTTCAAGCAATTCTCTGCCTCAGCCTCCCAAGTAGCTGGGATTGCAGGCACCCATCACAAATGCCTGGCTAATGTTTTTGTATTTTTGGTAGAGATGGGTTATCACCATCTTGGTCAGGCTGGTCTTGAACTCCTGACCTCATGATCCACCTGCCTCGGCCTCCCAAAGTGCTGGGATTCCAGGTGTGAGCCACCGCACTCAGCCTAGACCTACAAAATTATACTTGGAGAATCCTGACAAAAAGGCTGGCTGAGAAAGCACACCCATAATTATACTCAACTCTCATATAGAGAACTCCATTTAACTTTGTAGTGCTTCATAGCCAAGACTTGCCAGAAATTGGCAGAACATCTCTAACATAAGAGAGACCAAAAGAAAGAAAAATGTACCTCGGAGATAACAAAAACAATGTAATAAGCAAAAGAAATCATAAATGAACTGTAATTAATATTCTTGTAGAGGTGAGGTGAAGGAACAAGAATAAATTGCTATTTTCTAAAACATTCAGAAAGCTTGGGAACTAAAAATAGGAGAGCTGAAATTTAAAATCAGTGATTGGATAAAGTTGAGAAAATATCTTAGTAAAACAAAAAGAAAAAACAAGAGATGACTTAGAGAGAAAAGATAAGAAACTTAGAAGCAAAATTCAAGTTGTCTGATGTTTAACTGACTGGAATTCCAGAAAAAGAGAATAGAGAAAACGAACAGCAGGATGTTATCAAAATGACAATATAAGAGTAGATGGACATGTATCTGTTTCCAATACCACTGAGTGAGGAAAATAAGCCACAGTACCATGAAACTGTAGAACACCAAGGACAAAGAGAAGCTGCAAAAACTGAAAAATCAACTCTTCAATCAGAAAATTGAGGCTTCAGGGCAAACCATTCTCCCAAAAACTGGAGGGAATGGTGCATACTGAGAATCACAGATTACCTCCAGAAACCTCACCAGATTCTCAGGGTAAAGAGAAAAATCTCCTCAAGCTTTAGGTAGGGAGAAGGGGAAATCATCATCTTGAAATAAGCCGTAGCACTCCTTAGCAATGGTTTGCTCTCAAAGTAAACTGTTTAATCAAGCCTAATTGACATGTGCTTTACCAGAGCCTAACAGACCTGGAGGAAGATGTGTTAGTCCATCTTGCATTGCTAAAAAAGAATACCTGAGACTGGTAATTTATAAAGAAGAGGGGTTTATTTGGCTCACATTTCTGCAGACTGTACAAGAAGCATGGCACCAGCATCTATCTGCTTAGCTTCTGGTGAGGCCTCAGGAAGCTTTCCCTTATGGTGGAACACAAAGGGGAACAGGCACAGCACATGGAGAGAGAGAGAGCAAGAGAGAGAGGGGAGGGAGGTGCCAGACTCTTGAACAACCAGATCTCGCACCAGGTCTTGCGTGAACTATAGTTATAGAGTAAGAACTCACTCACAAGTGCAGGGACAACATCAAGCCATTCATGAGGGATCTGGCCCCATGACCCAAACACTTCCCACTAGGCCCCACCTTCAACACTGGGAATCACATTTCAGCATGAGTTGGAGGGGAAAAATACCCAAAGTGTATCAGAAGGGAAACACCCAACTGCAGCCCTCTCTAGCCTTCCTGTCTTACCTAATTGGGGAGAAGGGAACCTGAGAAGCACTTGTGAAAGTCACGGCCCAGGCACACAGGCTCACTAAAAGACTGAGAACTAATTATGTGATTATAAGACACTCCCCCCACCACACACACCTCACCACCACACCAATCAGTCTCCTGTGTAATGATAGTGGATTACTGCTAAATGAACTAATTTTCAGACCCTATTCTATTTTAATAAGGAGTCTTTAGGGAAACGAAGAAATGATAGATACAAAAACAAGGATGTGATTGTAACAACGTGGGTACAGCTGGAGGCCATTATCCTAAGTGAATTAATGCTGAAACAAAAAACCAAAAACTACATGTTCCGAACTCATAAGTGGGAGCTAGACATTGGGTATTCATGGACATAAAGATGGGAACAGTAGACACTGGGTACTGCAAGAGACAGGAGAGAGGGAGGGGAGAAAGGGTTGAAAAGCTGCCTATTGGGTACTATGCTCACGACCTGGGTAGCAGGATCAGTTGTACCCCAGACGTCAGCATCACACAAAATACCCTTGTAACCTGCACGTGTACCCCTGAATCTAAAATAAAAATTGATTTAAAAAAGGACACTAAAGGAAATGTAACCTATACAGCTACACAAAACAGTAAACACAGCCCAACTCTTAGCCAGAGAAACATAAAGCCTCAAACAAGAGGACTTTTTACCGCAGTTTCTTCTACCCAGTATATCATGTCTGCTTTCAACAAAAACTTACAAGACATGCTAAAAGGCAAAAATCAAAGTTGCATGAGGCATAACAAGAATCAGAACCATTGCCAGACTCATTTATGGCAGCGATTTTTGGAATAATCAGACTGGAAATTTTAAATAAGTATGATTAATATACTAAAGGCTCTAATGGAAAAAGTGAACAACATGCAAGAAAGGTGGGTAACATAAGCAGACAATAGAAACTCTAAGAAAGAACCCAAAAGAAATACTAGAAATAAGCAATACTATAACAGAAATGAAGAATGCCCTTGGACTTATTGATAGAGTGGAAAGGACAATAGATAACCTGGGAAAGATTCAATGAGCTTGAAGATATGTCAGTAGAAAGTTCCAAAACTTAAACTGCAAAGAGAAAAAAGAATAAATGACAGAACATGGCGGGGCCTGGTGGCTCACACTGTATCTCCACACTTCAGGAGGCCCAGGTGGGAAGATCACTTGAGACCAAGAGTTGAGGGCCAGCCTAGGCAACAGAGAGAGATCTGTTGACTCCACAAAAAATAAAAAGGAAAAGAATAGGATATCCAAAAACTGTGGGACAGTTACAAAATTATATATATTTAAGTCCTTGCTTTGGCTGAACCTAACACTAAAATTGGAACAATACCAAGAAGATTGCACAACATGGCCCTGTGCAAGGATGATATGTAAGGTCATGAAGCATAGAAAAAACATTTCTAATTGTTTTTTTTAGATGGAGTCTCACTCTTTCACCTGAGCTGTAGTGCAGTGGCATGATCTTGGCTCACTGCAACCTCTGCTGCCCAGATTCAAGCGATTCTCCTGCCTCAGCCTCCAGAGTAGCTGGGATTACAGGTGTCTACCACTGCGCCTGGCTAATTTTTGTAATTTTAGTGGAGATGGGGTTTCACCATCTTGGCCAAGCTGGTCTTGAACTCCTGACCTCGTGATCCACCTGCCTTGGCCTCCCAAAGTGCTGGGATTACAGGTGTGAGGCACCTCACCCAGCCAACATTTCTAATTTTTTTTTTTTTTTTTTTTTAGACATAGTCTCACTCTGTCGCCCAGGCTGGAGTACAGTGGTGCAATCTCGGCTCACTGCAAGCTCCGCCTCCTGGGTTCATGCCATTCTTCTGCCTCAGCCTCCCTAGTAGCTGGGACTACAGGTGCCTGCCAACACATCCAGCTAATTTTTTATACTTTTTAGTAGAGACGGGGTTTCACCATGTTAGCCGGGATGGTCTCGATCTCCTGACCTTGTGATCCGCCCGCCTCGGCCTCCCAAAGTGCTGGGATTACAGGCGTGAGCCACCGCGCCTGGCCAATTTTTTAAAAAATTAAAAAAAATATGTGTATGTAAAATTGTGTACACACGATGGGAATAACAGAGGAAAAGAGAGAAAGGAATAGAAGAACCATTTGAAGTAATAATGACTATTTTCAAAACTAAAGACAGATGCCAAACCACAAATCCAGTTTAGAAAGTTAAGAAAACAAGCAAGATCAATACCAAATGCCAGGTGCGGTGGCTCACACCTGTAATCCCAGCATTTTGGGAGGCCGAGGTGGGCAGATCACTTGAGGTCAGGAGTTCAAGACCAGCCTGGCCAACATGGTGAAACCCTGTCTCTACTAAAAATAGAAAAATTAGGCCTGGTGGCAGGTGCCTGTAATCCCAGCTACTCAAGAGACTGAGGCAGGAGAATTGCTTGAACCTGGGAGGCAGAGGTTGCAGTGAGCTGGGCACCACTGCACTCCAGCTTGGGCAAAAGAGTGAGACTCCATCTCCAAAAAAAAAAAAAAAAAAAAAAAAAGATAAATACAAGAAAGTCTGTACCCAGGCACCTAGGCATATCATAATCAAATTGCAGAAAATCAAAGATAACATCCTGAAAAAACCTAGAGGAAAAAAAACACCTATGGAGAGTGGAGTGAAATATCTCTATATTTATTATGTCTTTATTATGTTTTTAATTATGTTTTTCATTTATTTTTGTGGTTACCTGGTAGGTGTATATATTTATGGGGTACATGAGATATTTTGATGCGGGTATACAATATGTAATAATCACATCAGGATGAATGAGGTATCTGTCACCTCAAGCATTTATCATTTTCTTGTATTACAAACCATCTAGTTATACTCTAGTTGTTTTTAAATAAATAGTTAATTATTGACTGTAGTCGCCGTGTTGTGCTATCAAATACTAGATTTTATTCCTTCTATCTAATAATATTTTTGTACCCTATAATTATCCCCTCCCCCACCCACCTACCCACTACCCTTCCCAGCCTTTGGTAACCATTGTTCTACTCTCTATTTCCATGAGTTCAACTGTCTTAATTTTTAGCTCCCACAAATAAGTGAGAACATGTAAAGTTTGTCTTTCTATACCTGGCTTATTTTACTTAACATAATGACCCCCACTTCCATCCATGTTGTTGCAGATGACAGGGTCATTCTTTTCTATGGCTGAATAGTACATATATATATATATATATAATATTTCCTTTATCCATTTATCTGTTGATGGACACTTAGATTGATCCCAAATCTTGGCTATTGTGAATAGTGCTGCAGCAAACGTGAGAATGCAGATATCTCCTTGATTTACTGATTTCCCTTCTTTTGGGTATATTCCTAGTAGTGGGATTGCTAGATCATATGGTAGTTCCATTTTTAGTTTTTTGAGGAACCTCCATACTGTTCTCCATGGTGGTTGTACTAATTTATATTCCCACCAACAGTGTACCAGGGTTCCCTTTTCTCCACATCCTCACCAGCATTCGTTATTGCCTGTCTTTTGGATAAAAGCCATTTTAACTGGGATGAGATGATATCTCATTGTAGTTTTGATTTGCATCTCCCTGATGGTCATGACGTAATATTGAGTACCTTTTCATATACCTGCTTGCCATTTGTATGTCTACTTTGTAGTAATGTCTATTCTGATCTTTTGCCCATTTTTTATTGTATTATTCGATTTTTTATTGACTTGTTTGAGCTCTTTATTCTGGTTATTAGTTTCTTGTCAAATGGATAGTTTGCAAATATTTTCTTCCATTTGGGGGATTGTCACTTCCCTTTGTTGATTGTATCCTTTGCTGCATAGAAGTTTTTACACTTGGCATGATCCCATTTGTCCATTTTTGCTTTGGGTGCCTGTCTTTGTGGGGTATTACTCAAGAAATCTTTGCTCAGTGCAATGTCCTGGAGAGTTTTCCAAATGTTTTCTTTTAGCAGCTTCATAGTTTGAGGTTTTAGATTTAAGTATTTAATTCATTTTGATTTGATTTTTGTATATGGCAAGAGATAGGGGTCTAGTTTCTTTCTTTCTTCTTTTTTTCCTTTGCTTTTCTTTTTTTTTTTTTTTTTTTTTTTTTTGAGACAGGGTCTCACTCTGTCTCCCAGGCTGGAGTACAGTGGTGTGATCACAACTCATTGCAACCTCCACCTCCCAGGTTCAAGTAATTCTAATGCCTCAGCCTCCTGAGTAGCTGGGATTTCAGGTATATGCCACCATGCCTGGCTAATTTTTGTATTTTGAGTAGAGACGGGGTTTCACCATGTTGCCCGGGCTGGTCTCAAACTTCTGGCCTCAAGTGATCCACTGGCCTTGACTTACTAAAGTGCTGGGATTATAGGTGTGAGCCACCATGTCCAGCAAGTATCTAGTTTCATTCTACTACATATGGATATCCAGTTTTCCCAGCACCATTTATTGAAGAGACTGTTCTTTCCCCAATGTATGTTCTTGGCACATTTGTTGGTAATGAGTTCTCTGTAGATGTGTGGATATGTTTCTGGGTTATCTGTTCTTTTCCATCAATCTGTGTGTCTATTTTTATGCCAGTACCATGCTGTTTTGGTTACTATAACTCTGTAGTATAATTCGAATTCAGGTAATGTTACTCCACCAGTATTATTCTTTTTGCTCAGGATAGCTTTGGTTATTCTGGATCTTTCATGGTTCCAGGTAAACTTTAGAATTGTTTTTTCTATTTCTGAGTAGAAGAATTTTATTTTATTCATAGCTATTGTAAATGGGATTACTTTCTTGACTTCTTTTTCAGATTGTTCACTGTTGGCACATAAAAATGCTACTGATTTTTGTATGTTGGTTTTGTCTTCTTCAACTTTCTGAATTTATTAGTTCTAATAGTTTTTTTGGTGGAGTCTTTTGGTTTTTCCAAATATAAGGTTATATTATCTATAAACAAGGATAATTTGACTTCTTTCTTTCTAGTTTGGATGCCCTTTCTTTCTATTTTCTTATTGCTGTAAGACTTACAGAATGAAATATTTAAAGTATTGAAAGAAAAACCCCACCAACCTATGGTAACTCCATGTTTCCAGTTGGTAGTTGCTTAGGCAAAACACCTTGGAGTCATTCTTGATTCTCCTTGTCCCTCACATCCCACATCCTATCTGTTAGGATATCGAGATGTAATAAGAAAAAAAAAATTGTAATCCTCCCCTTCTTACCACCTCTATTTCTATCTCCTTGGTCCAAGCCATCATTATCTCTTCTCTGGATTATTGCTATAGACTCCATACTACAGTCTAAACAGAGCAACTAGAATGATTAAAGTCCAATCTAGTACTACTACAGAAGCTTCCCATTTCACTACCTGTCTATGAATTACTTAATTTCTCTGTGTCTCAGTTGCTTCATCTGTTAAAAGAGAATAATACCTCCTCAGGAGATTGTGTGATTGATGAGGAGGCACTTACTTAATACCAACCTGATGCACAGAAAATAGTAAAGTTTAGCGATTTTTTTTATTATTTTAATTTCCAATTTGCCCTTCAAATCAGAAGCTTAGTTTTGTCTTATTCTTCAGTGCTTGAGGTGGGAGGGTTTGTAGAAACATTTGGCTTCTGAATACCTAGCTCATTGCTGTCAAGCAGAATCCTCCATCTTTTAGTGCCTGAAAATATTCAGATGTCCAGAAACATTAACCAAAGGAAATTCCATTTCTAGCTCTGCTGTTTGTATAGGCAATGTAGTGGGTCAGTTTTCTGCACTGTGTAGAAATTGCTTTGTCAGTGGAAAATGTTATTTTCGTCGGTTTTACAGTTCCTAACTTTTGAGGCATTTGTTCCCTGGAGGATACTAAAAGAAGGAAATCTTCAGACAGCTGCCCACTGAATTTTTGCGTGAGCCTTTATTTGATATTTTACCCAGACCCCTTTTGGTTTTTTATTACAGTAACATCGCATACCTAGGTTTTTTTTTTCTTCTTCATATAAGCCTTACCTATCTGGAACTGTCAGTACTAGGAAGGTACTTATAGTGTTGAATGTTCCCACTCATATTTCCTGTTATGCCTTATGCTTTTTATAACAAGCCAAAAAGAGGAAGAAAGATTTCACCATAGATTTGCTAAAGGCAATGTGGGATGCAATGAGTGTGGTTTAATGGAAGAGCCCTGGGGTGCGGCCTCTGAGCCTTGCTCTGCCACTGACACCTGTATGACTGCCTGGGCTTGAGTTAAACGTTCTGCATAAATTCTAGCAGAAGAGGCTAGCTCAAAGAGGAGATTCAGTGTCTGAATGTCTGAGAGAGTGTGAAAATAAGAAAAGTTGGCTGGGCGCCGTGGCTCACACCTGTAATGCAGCACTTTGGGAGGCCGAGGCAGGCGGATCACCTGAGGTCAGGAGTTCAAGACCAGCCTGACCAACATGGAGAAACCCTGTCTCTATTAAAAATTCAAAAAAGTAGCCAGGCGTGGTGGTGCATGCCTGTAATCCCAGCTACTCAGGAAGCTGAGGCAGGAGAAGTGCTTGAACCTGGGAGGCAGAGGTTGTGGTGAGCCAAGATTGCGCCATTGCACTCCAGCCTGGGTGACAGAGCGAAACTCCGTCTCAAAACAACAACAACAACAACAACAAAGTCAAGTCACTTGAGACCTCAACCCACTGACAAGAGAAGAGGGACTGGGGCAGACCCAACCTGAACTGGTTCTGTAAAGCAGCCACGGCACAGACCAGAGTGGACTGTGGGCCTGAGCAGTGTATGCCCCTGGGGCCTGGAAAGTAGGGGCTGGGACTTCATTTCTTGAATAGAGGGAGAAGGAAAGACACTTGAGAATCTGGTAAAAACAAAAACAACAACAACAAAAAACCCAAAACAAATAAAACATTCTAGTAGCTTCAGCCCCTCCACTGGGCATGGTGTCTTCTTGACCCACAGACAATAGGCAGGCAAAGTAGATGGAAGCAAGTGCTAACATGATACACAGCTCCCAGGGCTTAGACACTTCCCACCTCAGCAAGCTGGACCCATCCAAGCTGTGGTGTCAGGGTAGAACAAATGATTCTTTTTTTCGAGATGGAGTTTCGCTCTTGTTGCCCAGTCTGGAGTGCAATGCTGAGATCAGCTCACTGCAGCCTCCGCCTCCCAGGTTTGAGCAATTCACCTGCCTCAGCCTCCTGAGTAGCTGGGATTACAGGCGCCTGCCAACACGCTCAGCTAATTTTTTGTATTTTAAGTAGAGATGGGGTTTCACCATGTTGGCCAGGCTGGTCTCGAACTCCTGACCTCAGGTGATCTGCCCGCCTTCGCCTCCCAAAATGCTGGGATTACAGGCATGAGCTACCGCGCCCAGCCGAACAAATGATTCTTATATGTAGATTCTTTAGGGAGCAGCTAAGCCAGCCCCCATTGACTGGGGGAGATGATGGTAGCTTTGAGACACTCCTAGCAGCTGCAGTTTTGTTATCCTGCACCCTGTTCACTTTCCAGGGCCATGCACCTCCACGGAAATACCTTATCTATAAGCCTTGTGTCTCTACTTCAGTTTAGGTCTCCTAGACTGTAACGGAGAACAAAAAAAAAAAATAGACCAAGTTTTAGGCATTGCAGGAAAAAAAAGTGTGTTCATTCTCTGAGCCTCCGAAGTAATGCAGCTATATTTATAAGTGGATCAGTAAAAGGAGAAACTTCTTTAGGTTTTTAGACCTGGGATTCAGCATTGAGATTTTCTGTGCTCTGAAGGACTATCCAGTAACTGTCCTTCCAATAACTTTCCTTAGTTTCTTGTTACAATCGCGATTCCGGTGGTTATCAAACTTCTTCCTAGTGGATTGCTTTTCCACTCTTCATTGACATTACTTGTTCCCAAGTTTTTTTTTGCTGTTGCAAAGTGTTGAAATAAACATCTTTGTACTTAAATGATATATGTGTAACAGTAAATTTTTAACATTAAACCACTGACTTAATTCATTTATTGAATTTTGTTGTAGTATATCACACATACAGTATACCAATCATTTATCAATAACTGATGTGTTCACAAAATGAACACATGCTCATAATCACTACTGATATCAAGACAGAAAATTACCAGCACCCTGGAAGCCTCTCTCAGCTTCTCTCTCTCAATCACTACCACCTCCTTCCTACCCAGGGCAAACAGTATCCTGATTTCTAAGATCATTGATTTGTTTTACCTACTTAGTAGCTTTAAATTTTTTAAATGAAGATGTAGTATATTATTCTTTGGAATCTGGCTCCCCACCTCCTCATCATTATGTTGAGATTCATCTGTGTTGTTGCTAATGTAGCAGAGTTCATTTTTTTGTTACTGTATAGTGTATCATTATATGCGTAGATCACGTTTTTTAATTTATTCTTTCTCATTGCACTGTTCTGCAATGCCACCTTGCCGTAAACCAGGCATCTGCATCTGAGGGGCTGTTTCTGGACCTGTCATTCTGTTTCATCGATATATTTATCTATCCTTGTGCCAAAACCCTACTGTCTTACTTATGGCTATATCATTAACTTAGCTAATGTTTAGAGCTATGTAATGTAGATAATTGTAGCTGTATAATAGTAATGTATCGATATCTGGTAGAATAAGTTCTTCTACTTTGTTATTCTTTTAAAACTACCTTGACTATTCTTGGCCCTGTGTATTTCCATATAACTTTTACAATCAAGTTGAAATTACTCCCTCCCCTCCAAAAAAAAAAAAAAAGCATGCTAGAATTTTGATTGGGAATTCTTTGAGGAGAATGGCTATCTTTATTATATTAAATCTTCCTGTCCCTGAAAGTGGTATGTCTGTTTATGTGGGTCTTTAATTTCTCTCAATAGTGTTTTATAGTTTTCTGTGTTAAGGTTTTATATATCTTTTATTGATTTACTCTTACATATTCAGTGGGCTTTTAAATGTAATAAATGGTATTTATCACAAATTTATCATAAAGATTCCTAATTATTGCATGTATTAGAAACATTTTTATATATTAAAGCATAGGTTTTTAATTATAAGATTTTATGAGATTTACGGTTTATATCATTTTAAGAATCACTTAATATTCAAATTCAAATCACCATGAGAATTCTGGGTAAATTGAGAAAAGTAAAGTTGGATTAAATCCAGGGTTGTATCCTTGGAGAATTCAAAAGGAACCAGGAAGAGCTTGTTCCTAAACTGCGTGAGTTCTGTGTTGGTTGCTTGAGAGAGATTGCCTAGGGCTTGCTTCCTCTCTCAGCTAAAGTGATTGGGATTTGGCAGTCAGGGTGCTTTTGTTTTTAGGGTACCCTGAGCCCTCTCCTAGCCAGCCCACATTTGTGAGCACTCGGTAAACACAGAGCAGGAGGGAATTACAGTGAATGGGGATTTCCCTCAGTGCTGCCCACTGGCTGCTCTTGAACTGACAGGCTTCTTTCTCATTCTAAACTCACCAGCAGTGGAGCAGTAAACCCGGCCACGGTCAGGCATGGCACATGTCCTGCAATGATGGGGACTGGACCTGTTGCCTTAAACTCACGCCTGCTTTGTTTTTCCAGGTCTATAAGGGAGAATTCCAACTACCTGACTTTCTTAAAGAAAAACCACAGGTACTGTGTCTGCTTTTTCCTCCTGATGTATACTAGATTGGCTCTTGCATTGAAGTAATATTTTTAAAGAGATAATGAAATTAAAAAGACAGAAACAAGAAAACCAAAAAGAAAAGAAGAAAAGGGATAGTGATATGTGCTGGGGAAGAAAGATCAGCGTCTGGGACTTGTTGATTTTAACAATAATTTAACACAGTCTTAATTTCAGAGAGCTCAGTGTCTCCCAAAACCAGGGAAATACTTTATTGATAACCAAATTCTGATTGCTTGAGGTCCTGCACAAGCCGCCCAGTGGGTAAAGCTGCTCCAGCGTTCCAGTGCCTAATTTGAAATAAAAATGTTCAGCGACCCTCTCTGTTCCTACTCTGTGTACTGTACATCCTTGCCCCTTTGACTTTTCTCATTTGGAGCCCAGATGACTTATATATACACATAGTCACTGGCCCCTGGGAAGGACAGTGAGAGTTTGAAGGATTAAAGCCAGCATGGTGGCTCATGCCTGTAATCCCAGCAATTTGTGAGACCGAGGTTGGCAGATCACTTGAAGTCGGGAGTTCAAGACCAGCATGGCCAACATGGTGAAACCTCATCTCTACTGAAAATATAAAAATTAGCCGAGTATTGCAGAATTTGCCTGTAATCCCAGCTACTTGGGAGGCTGAGGGAGAATCACATGAACCGGGAGGTGGAGGTTGCTGAGCCAAGATTACACCACTGCACTACAGCCTGTGTGACAGAACAAGACTGCCTCAAAAAAAGAAAAAATTAGCTAGGCATGGTGGCGAGGCCTCTGGTCCCAGCTACTTGGGAGGCTGAGGCAGGAGGATCGCTTGAGCCCATGAGGTGGAGGTTGCCATGAGTTTAGATTGTGCCACTGCACTCCAGCCTGGGTGACAGAGTGAGACCCTGTCTCAAAAATAAAAAAAATTAAGCAGATTCAGAGTTTTCCCTGTAACGTCTTCTCTCACTGACTTGCATTCCAATCCTGTTTCCTGGGTTGGAAAGAAACAGGGAGTCTCACGGCTGACATGCCTAGAGGAGCCCGGCATCCTGCCTCTGGGCATCACTGTCATGCCCATATGGAAGTCAGAAAAAATGGACACTCATGGCCTGAGTGCAGCCGACTTCCCTTTCCAGCAAGGCGATGATGCATGTTGCCTCCAGGCTGCTGCTGTCAGTGATTAGCTTGTCAATAGGAAGAGGAGACTCAGTTTTGAACTCAGTTTCTGAAAGCGTTCCAGATAGAGGTTGGTGAAGCAACAGCACCTCAGAGACTTGTGTGAAGTCCAGTTGCCTGATGCAAGCCTGGAGTAAATGGGCTGCCCTCTCTGAGGGAAGCCATGTCTCACACCAGAGTTGAAGCCTCTTCCTTCCTGACCCTTTTCTGAAAACACTTAGCCGCCAGTAATTGATACATATGACTTGAGTGTTTCAAAGTACTTTCAAGGCATATTCTTATTCACATATATTTACTATTCATCCATTCATTCACTTATTCACCAATTGTTTACCCAGTGTCTACTATGGTGAGGAATTAGAGTAAGTCCTCAGGAGTCACGGGGGAAAGAAAGACCTCAAGGAGCTCCTGATTTATCCAGAAGAATCCGACCACCTCGTGCAGACAAGGGGACACAGAGCTCTGGGCCCAGGCTGGGCATGATGTCCCAGAAACCTGGGCAGATTCATGAACAGACTGACACCGGCTGTGGAAATTGGAGCCAGAGAATATTCCAAGAGGCTGTCTTGAAGGAATATAAAATCCAAAAGCGCCCAGGTGCGGTGGTTCACGCCTGTAATCCCAGCACTTTGGGAGGCCCAGGTGGGTGGATTGCCTGAGGTCAGGAGTTCAAGATCTGTTTAGCCAACACAGTGACACCCCGTCTCTACTAAAAATATAAAATAATTAGCAAGACTTGGTGGTGTGCGCCTGTAATCCCAGCCTGGGTGACAGAGCGAGAGTCTGTCTCAAAAAAAAAAAAAAAAAAAAAAAAAAAAATTCCAAAAGCCGGTTTGCATAACAAATCTGAAGAAGTCAAGAAAAGGTATTTGAGACTAAAACTAAAGGGACACTCCTGCTTCACAACATACCTAAAAATATTTCCAAATGGATTGCACACCTAAATGTGAAAGGCAAAATAATGAAAGTTGTTAGAGGATATAGAAGAGCCAGGCATGAGGCTCACGCTTGTAATCCCAGCACTTTGGGAGGCAGGCAGATTGCTTGAGTCCAGGCATTCAAAACCAGCCTGGGAAACATAGCCAAACCTCATCTCTACTAAAAATACAAAAAATTAGCTGGGTGTGGTGCATGCCTGTAGTCCCAGCTACTTGGGAGGCTGAGGTGGGAGGATCACCTGAGCCCCAGAGGTTGAAGCTGCAATGAGCCGAGATCACACCACTGCACTGCAGCCTGGGCAGTCAATCCTGTCTCATAAAAACGAAGAAGATAATAGAGGAACCATCTTTATGACCATAAGAGGACAGGATTTCTTAAGCCCTAAAAAGTACTGATTATTAATTTAAAGGTAGATAATATGAACTACATTATAATTGAGGATGTTTATGTAATAAAAATCATGAGAGTAAAATAGTGAGCCTAAGTAGGAGAATATATTTGAAACAAAGGACTTATCTGGAGCCGAGTGCAGTGACTCACACCTGTAATCCCAGCACTTTGGGAGGCCAAGGCGGCTGGATCACGAGGGCAGGAGTTTTAGACCAGCCTGGCCAACATAGTGAAACCCCATCTCTACTAAAAATACAAAAAAAAAAATTAGCTGGGCGTGTTGGGCACCTGTAATCCCAGCTACTTGGGAGGGTGAGGCAGGACAATCGCTTGAACTCAGGAGGCAGAGGTTGAAGTGAGCTGAGAACGTGCCACTGCACTCCAGCCTGGGAAAGATTGCGAGACTCCCTCTCAAAAAAAAAAACAAAAAACAAACAAACAAAAAACTCATCTGTGGAATATAGATCATCATCGTAAGGGAATTTTTTTTTAAATTGGGCAAAAAGCCTGGACAACATAGCAAGACCCTATCTCTATCAAAAAATTAGCTGGGCAGGGCCAGGCGTGGTGGCTCCCACCTGTAATCCCAGCACTTTGGGAGGCTGAGGCGGGCAGATCACTTGAGATTAGGAGTTCAAGACCAGCCTGGCAAACATGGCAAAACTCCATCTCTAAAAACAAGTACCAAAAAAAATTAGCTGGGTGTGGTGGCACACACCTATAATCCCAGCTGCTCCTGAGGCTGAGGCAGGAGAATTGCTTGAACTCAGGAGGCAGAGGTTGCAGTGAACCGAGATTGCGCCACTGCATTCCAACCTGGGTGACAGAGCAAGACTCCATCAAAAAAAAAAAAAAAAAAAAAAAGGCTGAGCGTGGTGGCATACTTGGGAAGCTGAGGCAGGATGATCTGTTAAGCCCAGACAGCTGTGATTGTGCCACTGCACTACAGCCTGGGTTACAGAGGGAAACCTTGTCTATTAAAAAAAGAAACAATCATGCAGAAGTGTGCACACAGAGACACACACACGTAGAAAAGGGCCCATAAGGTCTTCAGTTTAACTTCTAATGAAAATCAGCAGAAACTCATAGAACCTTCAGATTGAATAATTAGCTAGAATGGTTCATAAAACTCGGTAAAGTGTAGTACTTAACAATGACAGTTTTATAAAGGATGCAGATCAGGACCAGCCATAAGATAGAAGTGGGCCCAGGAGGGTCCTGAATGCAGAGCTTCTGTGCCTCCTCCCTATGAAAGCAGGGCACGTCACCCTCCCGGCACACCCATGTGTTCACCAACCGGGAAGTGCCACTGAACTTCCACACCCAGCATTTTTATTGGGGTTTATTTATGCAGGCAAGATTGATCAAATCGTTGGTCATGTGTTAGAACTCAATCTCCAGCCAACCTCCCCTCCCCAGAGTTGACGTGGGCTCCAAGCCCCAGCCCCTGATCCCATGGTTGGTCTTTGTGGTGAGCAGCCCCATCCTGAATCATCTCATAACATAAATCCAGATGTGATCCAAGGGCATCAGAAATAACAAAGACACTCTTGTTACCCAGGAAATTCCAAGGATTCGGCATTTCCCTCCCAGGAACCAGGGGGAAAGGCCAGTCAGATTCTTGAGCATACCACAGTAGTGCACTGAGTTCATCTGAAAGTGAACAGAGCCTGCGGGCCACCCCTCATGTTTCAGTGGGGACGGTCACTTCTCATGCTGACCAACTTCAAGGACATTAAAACATCTTTTCTTTCCTTCAACAGACTGAGCAAGTGGAGTAGCAGAACCAGGAGCCTCTTCCATACATGAGGTGAGGGTTGGGGGACATTGCCAGGTCTTTCTGTTTCCCACTCGGGCTCTTGCAGGGGGCTGGGTGGCCAAGGTGGAGAGCACAGCTCTGGAGTCCGTCTGCCAGGGTTGGAATCCTGCCTCTTCACTTTCTGTGTGGAAGCAAGCACATTACTTCACCTCTCTGTGTCTTCATTTATTCATCTATGAAATGAGGATAATATTAACAAGAGCATGGTGGTGAGAATTAATCATCATCCAAGAGCCTGGCTCATAATAAGCGCACAATAGTATTGTTATTTTCATTATGAACCATGAAATATTTCAGCTGAAAGGGACCTGGAGGCCATCAAGCCCAACTCCCTGTTTACTGATAAGGAAGCTGGTCCCAGAGGGAGCAGGTCGTTTGTCAGGACCATAGTCCATAGGCAAGGAAACCCAGAACTCAAGAGTGGCTGTTTACTTCTGGTTACCTGTTCAGCCAGGGCCCCAGCCACCCATCCCCACCTCCAGTGGCTTTCTTCGTGTGCTGGACTTGCAGATGTTTTTGCCCTACTGCAATTTTTGTTTGTTTGTTTGTTTCTTGGTTGGTTTTTCAAGTTTGCCCTTGCTTGTTTTAATGTATTATGGATGGCTTATGTGAGTAACCTATATTGTCTCATTGGACTAAGTGCTACATTGTAGACAAGGCCAGCCTTGCCTTCTCAGCCCTTTTTCTATCTGAGTATGTGGCCCTCATCAGGCACATGTCCAGGGACACCAGCTCATGAGTGGCAAAGCTGGTTTCTCAGCCCAGATCTCCAGGTGCAGCTGCTCAGAGTTCATACCCTTGTCCCAGACTTTCAGTCTCTGCTTATCCACCCAAACTTTCTTAAGATCAGTTTTGCTCCAAATGATGTGGCAAAGCCTTTGATCAGTTGTAACTTGAACAGCCTTTTCAAAAAATCTGATATTGGCTGGGCATGGTGGCTCATGCCTGTAATCCCAGCACTTTGGGAGGCCAAGGTGGGCAGATCACAAGGTCAGGAGTTCGAGACCAGCCTGGCCAACATAGTGAAACCTCGTCTCTACTAAAAATACAAAAATTAGCTGGGTGTGGTGGCAGGGACCTGTAATCCCAGCTACTTGGGAGGCTGAGGCAGGAGAATCACTTGAACCCAAGAGGTGGATGTTACAGTAAGCCGAAATCGTGCCATTGCACTCCAGCCTGGGTGACAAGAGAGAGACTTCGTCTCAAAAAAAAAAAATTGGCTGGGCGTGGTGGTGGGCACTTATAGTCCCAGCTACTCGGGAGGCTGAAGGAAGAGAATTGCTTGAAGCCAGGAGGCAGAGAGGTTGCAGTGAGCCGAGATTGCAGCACTGCACTCTAGCCTGGGTGACAGAGCGAGACTTCGTCTCAAAAATAAATAAATAAATAAATAAAAATAAAATCTGATATTGATAGTGATTTTTTCTCATAGTTTACTTGCTGACCTTTGTTTTTTTTTTTTATATAATGTTTTTATTTTTACTTTATATAATGATGTATTGTGCATACTCCATACCAGGCATAAAATACCAAGGATTTTATTTGCATATATATAAGATGATATATATATAACAGATACGCTAAATTATATATACATCTATATATAAAATTGTATTCAGTTCTCAAACCACTCTGGCAAGCTGGTAGTATTCCTGTTTTGCTAGTGAGAAAACAGGTTGAATGTGACTTGCGGTGCGTTGATGGATTATAGACATAAGAAGCACATGGACGCTGGTCCGTCATGTCAAAATCCCAGATGGCAGCAAGCTGCTAATATTGACAGGTTCTAGGATTCAGGTTTCCTTTTTGCTGAGGAGCAAATGCTGAATGTTAGTCTTATGCCCTGTGGGTCTGCATATTTAACAGCAGTTATCAGGCCTTGGCTAATTTTGTTTATACAAAATGCTTTCAAACTTCATAGGTAATCTCCCTGCCCGCCCCACCAAACACACACAAGGCCTCATTTCTTTACCAGCGTGTTGTAGGATGGACCGCATCAGCAGTTGCCTCTGCAGCATTTCACCCTGGCTTGTGTGTGGAGGTTGGGAGGGGCCAACCTGTGCTGAGGAGGACTCAGGAGAACTGGGGACACAGCAAAGCCCTTAGGATGGATACTATCTTTCTTATCTTTTGGGTCCCTTTGGCATTTCAATAACAGTATCTGTGTTCTCTGGAGCTTCCTTTAAAGAACCTTAGGATCCATTTCTTCACGTGAGGAGGAATCAGGGTGCTGACCCCTGGACACTTAAAGAACCTTAGGACCCATTTCTTCACATGAGGAGGAATCAGGGTGCTGACCCCTGGGACACTTAAAGAACCTTAGGACCCATTTCTTCACATGAGGAGGAATCAGGGTCTTGACCCCTGGACACTTAACCTTAGGACCCATTTCTTCACATGAGGAGGAATCAGGGTGCTGCCCCCTGGACACTTAAAGAACCTTAGGACCCATTTCTTCACATGAGGAATCAGGGTGCTGCCCCCTGGACACTTAAAGAACCTTAGGACCCATTTCTTCACATGAGGAGGAATCAGGGTGCTGCCCCCTGGACACTTGAAGAACCTTAGGACCCATTTCTTCACATAAGGAGGAATCAGGGTCTTGACCCCTGGACACTTTAAGAACCTTAGGACCCATTTCTTCACACGAGGAATCATGGTGCTGACCCCTGGACATCTGGTGCCCCTGACAGTGCCCCCACAGTAGCAACAATAGCAGATGACAGTCAGTTATTTAGAAATGGGCAGGAGCAGCCCTGGTTTTGGCCATCTGCTTGCTTTGCACCCAGCAGCTACTTGCATGCATCTGAAAGCACCAGAGTGAGGGTGTGTGTGCCTCCCAGGCAGTCTTCCTGAGGCAGCTGTTCTCAACATCCATCCTCCTGGCCCCTGATCTGCAGGAACCTCCCCAACCGCCTGGCTTGTCTAGGCCTGTAGCTGGGAAGGAAGAGACGAAGACACAGGGAGAACACACCGGGACTCCACACCTGTAACCACATTCTGTTTGTTCGCCCTAGGAAAGATTGCTGCCTTTTCAGCAGAAGGGAAATTCCTAGGATTGGCTGTCCCCTGCCAAGCTTGGTGGAGCGTCTGCACCTTGGCTGCGCCGCCTGTGCATTTGCCAGTTTCCTCCCACTGAGAGGATGGAGGTGTCCGCACAGCTTTGGGCCTCGTGAGGGATCTGCCTCCTGAGCAAAGAGCTCTTGATCCCGATTTCATGCACAGCCCTGCAGTAAGGAGCCCAGAAGGAACATGTGTTTCCTGTTAAAACTCCTCTTGTTCTCTTTTCTTACATTATGACGTTTGTTTTCAAGGAGAGGGTTTAAAAATGGGATCCTGTAAGCAGACTTGGGCAGTCTCCTTTTGAAATAGGTTGTCTGTACATGTTCTAATGTTTTGTAGAACACGTGTGCCTGTTTAAGTGTATTGATGTGAATAATATTAAATATCCTAATTATTTAATTCATTGTATTGTTTCTGAGAAGTTGGGAAATTACCATTATACATTTACAACCTAATGACTTTTGTATTTTATTTTTCAAAATAAAAGCTTTCAATGTGAAGCATTCTGGTAGTTACATGTTTTCATTAATGTGATTTCAGAGAAGCACAGACCTTATCAGATGCTGATGTGATAAACCAAAGTTTCCTTGGTTGGCTGTATTGTAGATACTCCCCTGGAGCCATCACCTTTTTTTGGAGGGGGGTGGTGGGTAGAGGCAGGGTCTCGCTACATTCCCCAGCCTGGGCTCAAACGATCCTTCTGCCTCAGCCTCCCAAAGTACTAAAATTACAGGTGTGAGCCACGGTGCTTGGCCTGCATTATCATTTTGTAGTGAAGTTTTCTTTTTATTTCAAGAGAGAACCTATTGCCATCCACTTTGAGAATCCTGTTCTATTTCATGCTTGCAGACTGTATTTAAGGACATGGAAGTTACTATTTCCACTTGTTTTCTAGAAGCCTTTGTTATGAAACCCAGGATGTCCAGATAGTAGTAATAATTCCCATATTGAGTGTGTTCACATATGTGCCAGCCATGAAAAGGGTATATAACATGTTATCCCATCTCTGCCCCAAAACTTGTACCTATCCATTTAGGTCATATCCATATCAGTAACTGCAGTATTTTCTACTGTCACTTGAGCCAGAAACTGAAGAGTCACACTTGATTTCACCCTTTTCCTCCCTCTTTCCATTCGCATCCAAGATCTTTGATCCTACCTTCAACGTATTTTTTGGATCACAGCAGAATAAGAGTTTTTAGAATGCACATCTGGACAGGAGCCTCCCCGCCTGAAACATTTCAGTGGCTTCCATTTCACTTAAAAGAGTCCAGACTCCTGTCAGGGCCGGCAGGGTCCTCCTCTCCATCTCATCGCAGGCCTCTCTCCCAACCTCACCGCTTGTGCTCTAGAAGTATCTTTATTTTCAGAACATAGCAAGTTCTTCCTGTCTCTACATATCTCCTCTCTCTGGAATGTTCTTCCCTTTGGCTATTTAAGATGAAGTTTTGCTCTGTCACCCAGCTGGCCTGCAGTAGCACAATCTCGGCTCACTGCAACCTCCGCCTCCCAGGTTCAAGCAATTTTCCTGCCTTAGCCTCCCGAGTAGCTGAAATTACAGGCATGTGCCACCACGCCCGGCTAATTTTTGTATTTTTAGTAGAGACAGGGTTTCACCATGTTCACCAGGCTGGTCTTAAACTCCCAATCTCAAATGATCCTCCCTCCTCAGCCTCCCAAAGTGCTGGGATTACAGGCGTGAGCCACCACACCCAGCCCCCTTTGTTCTTTGTCTGATAGGCTCCTTCTCAATTCTGTGGTCTCGGTAAGCCTCACTTACTCAGAGGGATTTTCCCTGGCCTCTTAAACTAAAAGGTAATTCTCCCGCTGCTTGCCTTCTTCATGGTCACACTTTGCAGTGTTTCATCTGTTTGTTGCCTTTTTTATTATCTGTCTCCTCCACCAGCCAATAAGTTCCTGGAGTTCCAAGACTATGTTTTTTCTTGTCTGTTGTACTTTTGGCACCTAGCAAACTGGCACTTTCTAGAAACCAAGTAAGGCCGGTCGCAGTGGCTAATGCCTGTAATCCCAGCACTTTGGGAGGCCGAGGTGGGCGGACCACAAGGTCAGGAGATGGAGACCATCCTGGCTACCACGGTGAAACCCTGTCTCTACTAAAAATACAAAAAATCAGCTGGGTGTGGTGGCGGGTGCCTGTAGTCCCAGCTACTTGGGAGGCTGAGGCAGGAGAATGGCATGAACCTGGGAGGCGGAGGTTGCAGTGAGCCGAGATCACACCACTGCACTCCAGCCTGGGTGATAGAGCGAGACTCCGTCTAAAAAAAAGAAAAGAAAAGAAAAGAAACCAAGTAAAATACTTGGTGAATTACTAATCCTCCAAAGAGCCTTCTGACATACATACTGTTTTACAGATCAGGAAACAGGCTCAACTAGGTCAGGTCACTTACACAAGGCCCCCCACCTAGTGCCACAGGTGACTTGGCATGTAGCTGGGCCCAGGCACAAGCCTGACTCTAATGTCCTCTGCAGTCCACTTCCCTAGCCCTGTCCCTTTCCATTTAAAATGAATATGTCCAGCCTGGGCAACATAAGGAGACCCTGTCTCTACAAAAAAAATTTTTTTAATTAGCCAGGCATGGTGTGCACCTGTAATCCCAGTTACTCGGGAGGTTGAGGCAGGAGAATTGCTTGAACCTGGGTGGCGGAGGTTGCAGTGAGCCAAGATCATGCTACTGCACTCCAGCCTGGGCGACGAGGGAGAATCTCTCAAAAAAAAAAAAAAAAAATTAAAAATACTGCTGTCAGATCAATCTTGTGTTTAACACTGTTTTAAGTCACTCATTTGCTCCAAAACCTTTAATTCTCCAATGCCTAACATTACATCTAAATGTCTAAGCTGGCCAGGCATGGTGGCTCACACCTGTAATCCCAGCACTTTGGGAGGCCAAGAAGGGTGGATCACCTGATATCAGGGGTTGGAGACCAGCCTGGCCAACATGGTGAAACTCCATCTCCAATAAAAATACAAAAATTAGCCAGGTGTGGTGGCACACACATGTAATCCCAGCTACTCGGGAGGCTGAGGCAGGAGAATCACTTGAACCTGGGAGGCGGAGGTTGTGGTGAGCCAAGATAGCACCATTGCACTCCAGCCTTGGTGACAGAGTGAGACTCCATCTAAAAAAATTAATAATAAATGTCTAAGCTATTCTGCTGCCACAATGTGGCCTTACTGCTCCCTGATATACGGTGCCTTTCTCCTCCCTTGTTTCATTCTCTTCACTTTCTTCTTCCAGATGCTCGTACACCCAGTCCCCCTACCTGGGAAATCACAACCTCATTAAGAGCTCAGCTATCTTAAGTCCTATTTCCTCATGAAGTCTAACTCAACTGCTGCAACTTCCGAGTAGCAATTAAATCAGCTCCAGCATAACCTCTTTTTTCCCTTGTCTCCTGTGTTAGTATTATGTCACTAACTTTGTGGGGACAAGGTCATATAACACTCTAGAGCATATCAGAATGACAGAACATCTTCAGCTATAACCTACCTAGATACCAATATTTGCCCCCAAGGCAATGTTTGATTTTTATTCCCCATTATGAGAAACAAACTCACCCCTCCAAACCCAAAGAATGGACTCAGAGACCTGGAGAACAGCGAAAGTGAGACTTTTAATGATGCTCTTGTAATATTGGGTGTCTGGCAGCAGGCACACCCAGCACAGTTTCAACAAGCAATTTATCCCCTAGTGCACAGGTGCCTCCCCCAGTTCCTCATGGGCTGTGTATTATGGGGTCACAATCTTCCCGGACATTGCCTATTGGTCGTTGGGTAGGGGCTTCGGGTGTTTTCTTTAGGGTTGTCCTGCTGCGTTTTGTTGCAGCCCACAATGCATTGCAATCCTAGTTAGCTCAGGGGCTCTTCAGGTATTTGACTTATGACTTAAGTAGCTGGGGCAGGCTGATAAGAACAGGCAACACGAGCTATTTTGCAGCTAGTAAACTTTCATCTTAGACTAAACTTCTTTGGTTCAGGTGAGGGTAACTAAGGGGGTTGGGGGGGGGTGACAAGCAGGCATTGGCTGTCCAAGCAGGAGCCTACTGTATCCTGTTTTCTTCTGTAGTCTACTGACCTAAGTTGATTTAAGGCACTTTGTCTTGGAAATGGACCACTGTATACATTTCCTTCACCCAGCTAAGTTTTAAATTTTTTTTGTAGAGGTGGGGTCTCACTCTGTTGCCCAAGCTGCTCTTGAACTCTTGGCCTCAAGTGGTCCTCCTGCCTCAGCCTCCCAGAGTGCTTGGATTACAGGCATGAGCCACCTGTTCGGCCATCATTGTTTAAACAAAAAAGTTTAGAGGACTCCCAACTAGGAACTATTGCAATAATCTGGGCCAGATATTATTCTAGCTGGGTTGAAACAATGACCAAAATAAAAAGGAGGAAGATGGGGAAAGGCTGGGAGGTGTACAACCGACAGGACTTGCAAGTAAGCAGATCTGGTGGCAAAGGTCAGAGAAAACCAAAGAAGACTCCCAGGTCTCCAGGTGATGAGGCTAGACATGGTACATGGTAGTGCTGGCAGACAGAGTGGGAGTGCATACCACTACACAGTTGGCCCACACACTCTGGCTGCAAAGGGCCAGGGACCGTGTGGTCTCCAGCTTGCTGCCTGAATTTGGACAACCCACTCACTCTCACTGCCTGTCTTCACAATTTGAAAATGAAGCTAAAACAAACCCGTCTCTAGCTTGTTTTGTTTTTGTTTTTTTCTGAGATGAAGTCTTCCTCTATCACCCAGGTTGGAGTGCAGTGGTGCAATCTTGGCTTTCTGCAACCTCCGACTCCCAGGTTCTAGCGATTCTCCTGCCTCAGCCTCCCAAGTAGCTGGGATTCAGGTGCCCACCACCATGCCCAGCTAATTTTTTTGTATTTTTTTCAGTAAAGATGGGGTTTCACCATGTTGGCTAGGTTGGTCTCAAACTCGTGACCACAGGTGATCCACCCGCTTCAGCCTCCCAAAGTGTTAGGATTACAGGTGTGAGCTACTGCACCCAGCCTCCAGCTTGTTTTAAGAATCCAGTAACATGATTATGTTTAACAATTGGCTTAGATATTCAGAAGCTGCTGGCTGGGCATGGTAGCTCACGCCTGTAATCCTAGCACTTTGGGAGGCCGAGGCGGGCGGATCACCTGAGGTCAGGAGTTCAAGACCAGCCTGATCAACATGGAGAAACCCCGTCTCTACTAAAAATACAAAATTAGCCGGGCGTAGTGGCACATGCCTGTGATCCCAGCTACGCGGGAGGCTGAGGCAGGAACTTGCGGTGAGCCGAGATTGCGCCATTGCACTCCAGCCTGGGAACAAGAGCTAAACTCCATCTCAAAAAAAAAAAAAAAAGACATTCAGAAGCTGCTGATGTGAACGTTTAATGAATTTGTTTTTTGTTTTGTTGTTTGTTTTTGTTTTTTGAGATGGCGTCTCCCTCTGTCACCCAGGCTGTAGTGCAGTGGTGAGATCTCAGCTCACTGCAACCTCCACCTCCCGGGTTAAAGCAATTCTCTGCCTTAGCCACCCTAGTAGCTGGGATTACAGGTGCCTGCCACCACGCCCAGCTAATTTTTGTATTTTTAGTAGAGGTGGATTTTCACCATCATGGCCCGGCTGGTGTTGAACTCCTGACCTCGTGATCTGCCTGCCTCATCCTCCCAAAGTGCTGGGAGCCACCTCACCCGGCCCGTTGAATGAATTTCATGAGTAAACAAATTAGATCAAAGTAAGTGGATTCCATGAAGCCGAGAATGATGTCTTCTGGATATGCCACCTGGTAACCCCTCCTTCAGCGCACTGTGCCCCTTGACAAACACCATGGGGAGCAGGAACAGAGGAGGTGGGTGGGGAGCACAGGGACAGGCATGGTGACATCCGCTCCTCCCTTACTCCCGTCCCATCCACCCCTTTCTATAATACAATCATTTAACAATGGTTTCCCATGTGTAAAATACTTGCTTCATTCAATCACAGAATAGACACTTGGTATTCAAATTTACTGAGGAAGAAACTGTTTCACATGCCAAGTAGCAACTTGAAAAAATCAACAACCCTTAATTAGTTGTATTATTGAAGTAAAACCAATGTAAGGGATGTAGTGTTTATCCAGGCAAGCCTGGTTGGCTTCTTGGCTTTTTTATCTTCCCCATTTCTTCCTCCTTCTTAAAGTGTAAATTTTATTTTCAAAACTGGGAAAAGAGGAGTTCAAGGTGGGAGGTGGAGGCAGGAGGATGGCTTTAGATCAGGAGTTGAAGACCAGCCTGGTCAATATTGGAAGACCTTGTGTCCAGAAAATTTTTTTTTTTTTACTTAGCTGGGTGTGGTGGTGCATGCCTGTGGTCCCACCCTCTCAGGAGGCTGAGGCAGGAGGATCGCTTGAGCCCAGGAATTTGAAGCTGCAGCAAGCTGTAATCATGCCACTGCATTCCAGCCTGCATGACAGAGCAAGACCCTGTCTAAAAACAACAACAAAAAAGGGCCAGACTCAGTGGCTCACACCTGTAATCCCAGCACTTTGGTAGGCTGAGGCAGGAGGATCTCTTGAGGCCAGGAATTTGAGACTAGCTTGGGCAACATAGTGAGACCGTGTGTGTGTGTGTGTGTGTGTGTGTGTGTGTGTGTGTGTTTAATGAGGTGTTTTGGAACTGCCACTATGTAGACGTCCACTGCTAAAGGGCTGTTTTGGGTCATAACCAAGACACATGGCCTGAGAGCCTGTGATGATTATTTGTGTTTGTGCAAACTCCAGAGCAGCCCAAGCTCCTAGACTAAGTGACACTCCACTCTGTAAGTCTTGAGCAGAATATAAAGAGAGACAGGTCATTGTCTCCAGCATCAAAGGAATGAACCAAGATGTTGATTTTGAAGAGCCAACACTTCCCCAAGAAGCCTCCACAGTGTGACCTCACAGGGCTTACACTGGCACTGAGTGTCAGAATTAAGGCATCTGAGGCTGGGCCACATTCTTGCAGAGGCCTCACTCAAAACATGGCCTGGAGTGATCAAAAGATGTTGATGTGGCAGCTCCTCACCAGATGTCCTGCTCCCACTCTTGCTCCTCCATGTCCAGTCTCTTGACAAGCAGCTGAAATGTTCTTTTTAGTTTTTTTATTTTTTCTTTGAGAAAGAGTCCTGCTCTGTCACCAAGACTTGAGTGCAGTGGCGTGATCTCTGCTCACTGCAACCTCTGCCTCCTGGATTCAAGCAATTCTCATGCCTCAGACTCCCAAGTAGCTGGGATTACAGGTGCATACCACCATGCCCGGCTAATTTTTGTATTTTTTTAGTAGAGATGAGGTTTCACCATGTTGGTCAGGCTGGTCTCTAACTCCTGACCTCAGGCGATCCACCCGCCTCGGCCTCCCAAAGTGCTGGGATTACAGGCATGAGCCACCGCACCCGGCCCCTTGATACTTATTTATTCTAATGACATTTATTGTGTGCCTACTATGTGCCAAGTACTATATTAGGTTCTGAGAATGAACAAGATATGACTCCTACTGTAGGGAGCCTCTGTTGTGATTCGCTGTGAGTTTGGGAGGAGGACATGCAGACAAGGAATTCAATAAATAAGCTGATTTTTGAGTTGTGATATCTGGTTTGAGAGAACCAGGCAGGACGAGGCATTGAAAAGGAGGATGATTCCCCCTTCACAGGATGAGGGAGGATTTCTCTGCAGGGGTGATGTGTGAGCTGAGGTATGAAACATGAGAAAAATCCAGCTATGGCAAGAGGTATGGGAAGTCCATTTCGGGCAGGGGAGAGCATGTGCAAAGGTCTTGAAGAGGGAAACCACTTGGCATTTACAGGAGCAGAAAAGAAGCCCAGATGCCTGATGCACAATGAGCAAGAGGAAAGGAATAGAGGGTGGCAGACAGGGTCCGATCATGCTAGGATTGGTTTGTTTTTTAAGAGACATGGTCTCACTCTGTCACCCAGGCTGGAGTGCAGTGGGGCAATCATAGCTCACTGCAGCCTCAACCTCCTGGGTTCAAGGGATCCTGTCATCTCAGCCTCCCAAGTAGCTGGGACTATAGGCCTGAGCCCCACCATGCCTGGCTAAGTTTTTTTATTGTTATTAGAGATGACAGTCTTGCTATGTTGCCTAGGTGGGTCTCAAACTCCCATACTCAAGTGATCCTCCTATCCTGGCCTCAAAAAACACTGGAATTACAGGTGTGTGCCACCACATCTGGCCAAAATTGGGAATTTCAAAATGCTTTACTTTTAATTTTTGTGGGTACACAGTAGGTGTATATATTTATGGGGTGCATCAGATGTCTTGATACAGGCATGTAATGTGTAATAATCACATCAGGGTGAATGGGATGCCCATCACCTCAAGCATTTGTGCTTTGTTTTACAAACAATCCAATTATGCCTTTTTTTTTTTTTTTTTTTTTTTAGACAAAGTCTAGCTCTGTCTGCCAGACTGCAGTGCAGTAGTGTGATCTTGGCTCACTGCAACCTCTGCCCCCCGGGTTCAAGCGATTCCCCTGCCTCAGCCTCCCAAGTAGCTGGGACTACAGGCATGCACCACCACGCCCCACTAATTATTGTATTTTTAGTAGAGACGGGGTTTTGCCATGTTGGTCAGACTGGTCTCGAACTCCTGATCTCAGTTGATCCGCCGACCCCGGCATCCCAAAGTGCTGGGATTACAGGCATAAGCCACCATGCCTGGCCTCTTTTAGCTATTTTTAAATATACAATAAATTATTGTTTAGTGTAGTCACCCTGTTGTACTGCCAAATACTACATCTTATTCATTCTAACTGTATTTTTGTACCCATTAATCATTCCTGTGCACCCTCTCCAGCCCACTACCCTTCCCAGCCTCTGGTAACCGTCATTTTACCCTCTATCTCCATGAGTTCAATTGTTTTATTTTTTAGCACCCACAAATGACTGGGAACATGCAAAATTTGTCTTTCTGTGTTTGGCTTATTTTAGTTAACATAATGATCTCCAGTTCTACCCATGTTGTTGCAAATAATAGAATTCTATTCTTTCTCACGGCTGAATAATATTCCATTGCGTATATGTACCACAGTTTCTGTATCCATTCACCTGTTTGTGGACACTTAGATTGCTTCCAGATCTTGGCTATTGTGAATAGTGTTGCAATAAATATAGAAATGCAGATATTTCTTTGATATATTGATTTTCTCTCATTTGGGTAGATACCCAGCAGTAGGATTACTGGATCATAAAGTAGCTCTATTTTTAGTTTTTTAAGGACCCTCCAAACCGTTCTCCATAGTGGTTGTACTAATTTACATTCCCACCAACAGGGTACCAGGGTTCCCTTTTCTCCACATCCTCAATAGCATTTGTTACTGCCTGTCTTTTGGATATAAGCCATTTTAACTGGGGTGGGATGATAGCTCATTGTAGTTTTGTTTTGCGTTTCTCTGATGATCAATGATGTTGAGCACCTTTTCATATACCTGTTTGCCATTTTTATGTCTTCTTTTGAGAAGTGTCTGTTCCGATGTTTTGTCCATTTTAAAATCAGATAATTCGATTTTTTGTGTTGATTTTTTTTCCCACCTGAACTCCTTATATACTCTGGTTATTAATCCCTTGTCAGATGAGTTCAGGATTGGGTTTTGACTTTTTTTTTTTTTTTTTTTTTTTGAGATGGAGTCTCACTCTATTGCCTGGGCTGGAGTGCAGTGGTGCCATCTTGGTTCACCACAACCTCCACCTCCCAGGTTCAAGCAATTCTCCTGCCTCAGCCTCCCCAGTAGCTGGTATCACAGGTGCCTACCACCACGCCCAGCTAATTTTTTGTATTTTTAGTAGAGTCGGGGTTTCACCATCTTGGCCAGGCTGGTCTTGAACTCCTGAGCTCGTGATTCACCTGCCTTGGCCTCCCAAAGTGCTGAAATTACAGGCGTAAGCCATCGCACCTGGCCTGGGTTTTGGTTTTTACACTCAATTCTAAATCATTAAATGCTGTCAGGTGGAGAACTGACATAATATTCGTATTGGAAGATCATTTTGTATATCAGCTATCTATTGCTGTGTAACAAACCACCCCAAGCTTAATGGTATAAAGTTACAATGATGCTTATTAGTCTTCTCACAACACTGGAGGCTGACGAGACTCACGTAGGCAGTACTGCCTTTGTATGTCTTATGTGGTTGCCTTCAAACAGTATGCAGTTAGAATAGTCTCAATGGTTTCCTTGCTCAAATATCTCCTGGTTAATATGGGCTGTTAGCTAGGGCCTCAGCTGGGGCTATCTGGTGGAACACCCACACATCACCTCCATACGTGGCCTGGGCTTTCTCACAAAATGGTGAATGGGTTCTAAGTGCATCCATCCCAGGAAGGACAGCCAAGTGGAAACAGTGTCATCTTTTATGACCTAACTTTGGTAGATCATGTGCAACACTTCCACTGTATTCCAATTATAGAAGCAGGGGACTAAGTTCATATTCAAGGGAAGAAAAACTAGATTTTTTTTTTTTGAGATGGATTCTTGCTCTGTCACCCAGGCTGGACTGCAGTGGCCCGATCTCGGCTCACTGCAACCTCCACCTCCCAGGTTCAAGTGATTTTGCTGCCTCAGCCTGCTGAGTAGCTGAGACTACAGACACAAACCACCATGTCCTGGTAACCCGCCTCAGCCTCCCAAAGTGCTGGGATTAGAGCTCTGAGCCACTGCGCCTGGCCCGAAACTAGATTCTATCTCTCGATGACAATTATAAAAAAAAATTGCAGACAACTATTCACAACAGTGAAGGTAAGGGATCAACCTAAGTTTTCTTCCATCAATGGAAAAAAGAATAAAGAAAATGTGGCGGCTGGGCACAGTGGCTTATGCCTGTAATCTGTAATCCCAACACCTTGGGAGGCCGAGGCGGATGGATCACCTGAGGTCAGGAGTTTGAGACCAGCCTGACAAACATGGTGAAACCCCGTCTCTACTAAAAATACAAAAATTAGCTGGGCATGGTCGTATGCACCTGTAATCCCAGCTACTTCGGGAGGCTGAGACAGGAGAGTTGCTTGAACTTGGGAGGCCGAGGTTGCAGTGACCTCAGATTACACCACTGCACATCAGCCTGGGAGACAGAGTGATACTCCATCTCAAAAAAAAAAAAAAAAAAAAGGCTGAACACATAGAAAATTCTTGATATAATCAAAGTGAATCAGAGGTTAAAAGAACTACATTAAAGCAACTGAAAAAAAATTATGGAAATTAGAGACAGTAGTCTAATACGGGGTTGTCAGTTGGTGACCCTGAGTTAGACAACCTAAAAAAATGAAACAGGGCTGGCTGGGAGTGGTGACTCATGCCTATATTCCCAGTGCTTTAGGAGGCAGAGGTGGGAGGCTAGCTTGAGGCCAGGAATCCGAGACAAGCCTGGGCAACATAGCAAGACTATCTCTACAAAAATAACAAAAATTAGCCAGTTGTGGTGGTGCACGCCTGTAGTCCAGCTACTCAGGAGGCTAAGGTGGGAAGATCCTTTGAGCCCAGGAGTTTGAGGCTGCAGTGAGGCATGAAGACACCACTGCGTTCTAGAGCCTGGGTGATAGAGCAAAACCCTGTCTTGAAAGAAAGAAGAAATGTAGGAATGGAGGGAGGGAAAGGAGGGAGAAAGGGAGGGAGGGATGGAGAGACAGAGAGAAAGAGAGAGGGAGGGTGGAAGCGAAAGGAGAGAGAGAGAGAAAAGAAAAAAGAAGAAATTAAGGAAGGCAAGAAAGAAAAAAAGGAAAAAAAAGAAAGAAGAAAGAAAGAAAAAGAAAGGAGGAGAAGTATTGCATGCGGAGATTGAGAACTATATAGTCAGTAGTCAAAGGGCACAAAGTATACCTGGATAAACTAATACAGAATGATTGGCCTAGAGTCGACCCTGGTTAAGCTGTTGAACTTCAATGATAAAGAAAGTACTCTACTGGCCTTTGAGCAGGAAAACATAACGTACATGTGAGAAGAACCTCCAGCCAGCCTCAGACCTTCACATAGCCCCAGCTAGAGCCAGATGACAATAGAGTCAGATCTTGAAGAACTGAAGAAAAGGAAAATGAATCAAGAATATTCTCCCAGGCCAGGTGTGGTGGCTCACGCCTGCAATCCCAGCACTTTGAAAGGCTGAGGCGGGAGGATCACCTGAGGTCAGAAGTTCAAGACCAGCCTGGCCAAGATGGTAAAACCCCGTCTCTACTAAAAATACAAAAATTAGCCGGGTGTGGTAGTGTGCACCTACAATCCCAGCTACTCAGGAGGCTGAGGCAGCATACTCGCTTGAACTTGGGAGGCAGAGGTTGCAGGTAGCCGAGATCGCACCACTGCACTCCAATGTGGGCGACAGAGCAAGACTCTCTCTCTCTCAAAAAAAACAATAAATAAAAAACAATGGTGATCCAAAAGCTGGGCATGGTGGCTCAGGCCTGTAATCCCAGCACTTTGGGAGGCCGAGGCCAGCGGATCACGAGGTCAGGAAATCGAGACCATCCTGGCTAACACGGTGAAACCCTGTCTCTACTAAAAATACAAAAAATTAGCCCGGCATGGTGGCGGGCGCCTGTAGTCCCAGCTACTCGGGAGGCTGAGGCAGGAGAATGGCGTGAACCCAGAAGGCAGAGCTTGCAGTGAGCCGAGATCGCGCCACTACACTCCAGCCTGGGCAACAGAGGGAGACTCCGTCTCAAAATAATAATAATAATAATAATAAAATAAATAAATAAAAAAGAATGGTCATCCAAGTGGAAATCCATTAAACAGAAACCCTCAAACATGGACCAATTCCAAAAATACAGCCACTGTGGGTGAAAATAGAAACTGCAGGTTAAAAAGAATCATGATACTTTTATCTTTTTTCATAATTTTAATGACTTGAATAAAAATGTATCACTTGCACATAGGCATTTATCTGAAGTTCAGAAATTCTCTCACCTTTAGTTTCTTCAGCTTCTGTTGTATCAAGCAAAGGAAAGTTATATATATATTTAAACTAAAACATATATAAAATACATAAAGTTATTTATTTATTTATTTAGAGACAGAGTCTCACCCTGTTGCCAGGCTGGAGTGCTGTGGTGCGATCTCACTCACCGCAACCTCTGCCTCCCAGGTTCAAGAGATTCTCCTCCCTCACCCTCTGAGCTAGCTGGGATTACAGGTGCATGCCACCATACCCAGCTAATCTTTGTATTTTCAGTAGAGACAGGGTTTCACCATGTTGGCCAGAACTGTCTCCATCTCCTGACCTCGTGATCTGCCCACTTCAGCCTCCCAAAGTGCTGGGATTACAGGTGTGAGCCATAGCGCCCGTCAGTTATTTTTAATCCATTAATCTATCTACTTATCTAAGTACCTATTTGCACAAAAAGAGGTGTGAACTATCACTTTTTTTTTTTTTTTTGAGACAGAGTCTGTTTTCCAGGCTAGAGTGGAATGGTGTGATCTTGGGTCATTGCAACCTCTGCCTTCCAGGTTCAAGCGATTCTCGTGCCTCAGCCTCTCGAGTAGTTGGGATTAAAGGCACCTACCACGCCAGCTAATTTTTGTATTTTTAGTAGAGATGGGGTTTCAGCATGTTTGCCAGGCTGGTCTTGAACTCCTGACCTCAAGTGATCCGCCTGCCTCGGCCTCCCAAAGTGCTAAAATTACAGGCATGAGCTATCATGCCTGACCATACCACCTAATGTTAAGAGTTATTTCTTGGTGGTTGAAAATTTCCTGATTTGCTACTTGCTTCTTTGTACTTTTCTTTTCTCTCTCTTGTCTCTCTCTCTCCCCCTCCTTCTCTCTGACAGGGTCTCACTCTGTTGCCCAGGCTGCAGTCTCAAACTCCTGGGTTTTAGTGATCCACCTCCCTCAGCCTCCTGAGTCGCTGGGACTACAGGTGTGCGTTACCATAACTAGTTTTTAATTTTTTATAGAGATGGGATCTGGCTATGTTGCTCATGCTGGTCTCAAACTCCTGGCCTTGAACAATCCTCCTACATTGCCTTCCGAAAGTGCTGGGATTACAGATGTGAGCTATAGCACCCGGCCTGCTTTGTACTTTTCTATAGGACTTAGATTTTACATAATAATTACAAATAATTTTTATAAAAGCAGTGTTCTAAACTTTTTAAAATTAAGCAGTGATTAAGAATGAGCTACAGAAAGTAGCAATAGTTCAGCGCCTATTATATACTAGATATTTTGCATATAGCAGATCACCTAATCCACATATCAAGGCAGGAATTATAGTCTTTATTTTCCAGTAGAGAAAACTGAGGCTTAGAAGCATTTGTTAATTCTAGAGTTACACTGCCACTGCCAAAACAAGTGGCCCCTCCCAGCAGCCTGCCCACTGCTGGTCTTATCAAATTCAAACCCCACTTCCACCCCCACATCTGTGCGCAAGAATGTTCACACACGCACACACACACACACAAACACACACACATTTCTGCAATATTTCATCTTCTTAGGCCAGGAACTTATCATGACGAACCAAATGCAATACCTATTTCCTGACCAAAGCTGTTATTCAATATCTCTATCATTTGAGAAATAGTTTGATTTCACGTTGACAAGGGTCACACTGAGGTCTTAAGAGAAGTAACAATTACAAAGCATCCTAGTCCCTGTGAAAGGGTGTGATGTTCAGATACATCCAGCCCTTTAAGATGCTCTGCTGGAAGGTGGTTGAGGTGCAAAGTACTATTGACTCATGGTCATCTTGGTCCATGGTCATTAATAATGATACTTTGTACTTCTTTTGTCTTTGTTCTAAGGGTGGTTTCAAAACCTGGAAGAAGCTTATCAGTTTCTAGGTATTCAGATATCTCTTTCACAATATATATGTGTGTGTGTGTGCGCTATGAAAATATACACACACATATATTCATATACAAATATATAACACATATACATATATATATTTACAGTATACTAATCAAAAAGCAAGTTCTTTTTTTTTCTTTTGGACAGTCTCACTCTGTCACCCAGGCTGGAGTGCAGTGACACGATGTTGGCTCACTGCCACCTCCTCTCCCCGGGTTCAAGCGATTCTCCTGCTTCAGCCTCCTGAGTAGCTGCGATTATATCACACATGGCTAACTTTTGTATTTTTAGCAGATACAGGGTTTCACTGTCTTGACTAGGCTGGTCTTGAACTCCTGACCTCGTGATCCACCCACCTCGTCCCCTCAAAGTGCTGGGATTACAGGCGTGAGCCACCGTGCCCGGCATAAAGTAAATTCTTAATGATCTATGAAAAGAAAATGGCAGGCCAGGTGTGGATCCCACCTGTAATCCCAGCACTGTGGGAAGCTGATGTGAGAGGATCGCTTGAGCCCAGGAGTTTGAAACCAGCCTGGGAAACATGGTGAGACTTCCTGTCTAGAACAAATATAAAAATTACCTGGGCATGGCGGCTCATACCTGGGGTCCCATTTATTCAGGAGGCTGAGGTGGGAGGATCACTTAAGCCAAAAAAGCAGAGTTTGCAGTGAGCCGAGATCACACCACTGCACTCCATCCTGAATGACGAAGCAGTACCCAGCCTCAAAAAAAAAAAAAAAAAAAAAAAACCGGAAAAATTGGTATCAAAGAAAAATTTAAAGTATCTATATTTACATAAATATATATAGTCATAGAATATTAAGCAAAAAGTAAATTATTAATAGTTCATGACAGAAAAATTGCAGGCAGGGCATGATGGCTCATGCTTGTAATCTCTGCACTTTGGGAGGCCCAGGCAAAAGGAATGCTTGTGTCCAAAAGTTTGGGACCAGACTGGGCAACCTAGTGAGAAAAAACCTCATAAAAAAAACAGAAATCAGCCAGGCATATTGGCATGTGCCTATAGTCTCAGTTACTGAGTTGGGAGGATCACTTGAGGCCAAAAGGCCAAGGATGCAGTAAGCCATAATGACATGACTACACTCCAGCCTGGGTGACAGAGTAAGAACCTAAGGAAAAACAAAAAGAAAAAAAGAAAAGAAAACAGTAAATAATATAAAAACAGAAGAAATGAAGTGAGAAGCTACCATCTCCGGGGCAAAGACAAAGGGCCAAAAATTCATTCCCACCCTCACCCCCAGCAGACAAAAAAACACCATGGGACATTAAATAAAACAGAAATCACTGAAACCACAGAGAAAAAATTTATTATCAATTCGTCAGAAATCCACTCTCAAGGTTAAAAGAAGAGATGGGGTTTTCCCAAGGCACTCTGGTGTGAAGTGAAAAAAATGACAGACCAGGGAAGATTTAGTCTCCTTGATGAGGTTCACCATGGAAGACGTAAAAGCTGTATCCCGAAGAAGGGAATACAAGGCAAGAGCAAAACCAGAAAACGCAATCATCAGGCAAAAGCGAGGCCTTGAGTGACCACTATGAGGCAGAAGATGGGCGTGAAGAGACAATCCTGAGACAGGGGCTGGTGTAAGAGAGGGCCCAAAAGAGGCCAGTATGGGGCAGGGGCCGCGCCCCTCAGGGCCTACGCCGGGCAGGAGGTGGGCCTGGCGAGGCCTACTTTGGGACGCTTTGGGCCACTTTGGGCCACATCGAGGAAGGCAGCTTGGGGCCGGGAGGCGCCGTCAGGCTGGGTGGGAGCTGGGCCCGGAGAGGCCACCGCGAGGCATGAGCTGGGCCCAGAGGGGCCAGCGTGAGGCAGGAGCCGGGCTGGTGGAGGCTGCCGGGAGGCCGGCACGAGCGTGGCAGGGGAAGGCCGCCGGGAGGCGGGAGCTGGGCCTGGAAAGGCTGCTGCGAGGTGAGGCAAGGTGAGGGGAGGCGAGGCGAGGCAAGACGCGGCCCTGGAGAGCTGGACTGGAGGAGGCTTCGGGCCTACGAAGGCCGCCGGGAGCTGGGCAGGAGCCGAGTCGAAGGAGGCTGTTTGGAGACGGGAGCTGGGCCCACGGGCGCAGACGCGAGCAAAGAGCTGGGCCCGGAGAGGAGGCCGGGAGGCAGCCACTGGACCGGGGGAGGCCGACTTGAGGAAGTTCTGGGCCTGGAGAGGCCACCACAAGGGAAAAGCTGGGCCTCAAGAGGCCGCAGCGAGGCACGAGCCGGGCCTAGAGAAGCCTTCGGGACGCAGGAGCTGGGCTTGTGGCGCCTGCCGGCAGGCAGGAGCCTGGCCTGGGGAGGCCGCGGCCGGGCACGAGATGAGCCTCCTCAAGAGGCCCCCGGCAGGCGGGAGCCGGGCCTGCCGGGGCTGCCGTGAGGCAGGCGGAAACGTGGCCTGGGGAGGCCGACGTGAGGCCGCAGCTGGGCCGGGAGAGGCCGCTGGCAGGCAGGAGCCGGGTCTCTCAGGGCCGCCGGAAAGCCGAAGGTGGGTCCGGGAGGCCTGAACGCAGGGAAGCCTGGGGCCTACAACGGCTGCCAGGAGCTGGGCAGGAGCTGGGCCGAACGTGGTTGTCGTGAGGCAGGAGCTGGGCCCGTGGAGGTGGCCGGGAGAGCTGGGCCTGGAGAGGCCGACGGGAACCAGTTCTGGGCCTGGAGAGGAGGCCGAGGGGCAGGAGCCGGGCCTGGAGCGGCCGCCAACAGGCAAGAACTGGGCCTGAGGTGGCCAGGCTGAGGCAAGAGCCCGGCCCCCATGGGCCACTGTGCGGGAGAAGCTATGGTTGTTCGGGCATCCAACACACGTGCTGTTCCTGGCGAGGCTTATTTCAGGACGATTTGGGCCTGCAGAAGCCATTATCAGGAGGCAGTAGCCTGGCCTATAGAGGCTGCGAAAATTTAAATTCTTGACCTGCAGAGGCCATGATCACGTAACATCTAGGCCTGGAGGGTCCACTGTCAGGCAGCGGCGCATCCTGAAGGGGCCTACAACAGGCAGGATCTCGGCCTGTGGAGAGGCATCCCCTGATCCTAAAGAGGCCAGTGTGAGTGATCACATGGCCCACAGAAGCAAGTGTCAGGCCAGATCGTCGCTTGGAGAGTCTGAGAAAGGCATGAGATGGACCTAAACAGACCATTGCGATTCAGCACCTGGGCCTATAGAGGCCAGTGTGAGGCAGGAGCTTGACCTGGAGAGGCTGGAAGACGTATGAGCTTGTCCTAAACTGTCCAGTGTGAAGGAAGAGTTTGGTCTGTCAAGGCCGTCGGGTAACAGGCTGTAACGTGGACTGGGAAAGCAACTGTGAGGCAAGGGCTGGGCCTCGGGAGGCTGGGGGAAGGCAAGACCTGGGCCTGGGGAAGCCATCGTCAGGCAGTAGCTGGGCCTGTGAAGGCCCCTGGGCAGCATGATCTGGGCCTGGAACGCTTGACTTGAGGAAGCTTTAGGCCTACAAAGGCCGCCAGGTGCTGGGCAGGAGCCGAGCCAAAATAGGTTGTTTTGAGTCAGGAGATGGGACTGTAGACCCAGCTGGGAGGAAGAACTGGGCCTGGAGAAGGCACAGGGAGGCAGCAACTTCACCTTGCGAAGCCGAACTGAGGAATTTCTGGGCCTGGAGAAGCCACCAAAGGGAAAAGCTGGGCGTGGATAGGCCGTTTTGAGGAATGAGCTGGGCTTCAAGAGGCAATGAGATGCATGAGCTGGGCCTCTAAAGGCTGCCAAAAGGCAGGAGCTTCATCTGGGGTGGCCACCTTGAGGGATGAGATGAGCCTAACCAGGCCATTAGAGGCAGGAGCTGGGCCTATCGGATCCTGCCATGAGGCAGGCAGAAACTTGGTGTGGGAAGGCCGGCATAAAGCAAGAGTTGGGTCCATCAAGGATGCCACAATGCAGGCAGAAACCTGGCGTTGGGAAGCTGCCATGAGGCAAGAGCTGGTCCTGTCAAAGCCGCTGGGAGGCCAAAGGTGGGCCTAGCAAAGTTGACTTTAAGAAGTCTGGGGCATATAGAGGCCACCAGGTGCTGGGCAGGAGCTGGGCCAAAAGAGGGTGTTGTGAGGCAGCAGTTGGGCCTGTAGACACAGCCAGGAAGAAGAGCTGGGAATGGAGTGGCTGATCTGAGTACATTGTGGGCCTGGAGGGTATGCCAACAGGCAAAAGCTGGGCCAGGAAAGGCTGCCGTAAGGCATGAGCCTGGCCTAAAGAGTCCATTGGGAAGCAGGAGTTGGACCTGTATACACCGCCAGGAGGAAGAGCTGGGCCTGAAGAAGCCACCATACAGCAGAGGCTGGGTTTATAGAGGCCGACAGGAGGCAGGAGCTCAGCCAGGTCGCAGGAGCTCAGCCAGGACAGGCTGACTGGAGGACATTTGGGTGCGCAGAAGCCACTCAGAGGCAGGAGCTGGGCTTTGAGAGGCTGCAAGAGGCAGGACCTGCCCAAACGAGGCCACTGTGGAGGAGGAGCTGACCTGTCACCACTGCCTGAAGACAGGGAGAAACGACCTGGAGAAGCCTCCGTGAGGTAAGAGCTTGGCCTGGAGAGGTCCCTCAGAGCCCGATGAGCTGGGCCTGTAGAGACCATTGTCAGGTTGGAGCTGGGCGTGTCCAGGCCAGTGGGAGGCAGAAGGTGGGCCTAGAGAGCTTGAATTGAGGAATTTTCATGCCGACAGTGGCTGCCGTGAGCTGGACAGGAGCTGGGCAGAAGAGTTTATTTGAGGGAAGTGTTGGGCCTGTAGACGGAACCAGGAGGAGGAGCTTGACCTGCAGAGGCCATCATGAGGCAGAGGCTTGGCCTCTATAGGCCAACGGGAGACAGGAATTGGGCCAGGAGTGGCTCACTTGAAGATAATATTGGAGAAAGTGACAGAGCATCAGGCATTAGATTCTCATAGGGACAGCGCAACGTAGATCCCTCACATGCATGGTTCACAATGGGGTGCATGCTCCTATGAGAATCTAATGCTGCTGCTGATCTGAGAGAAGGCAGAGCTCAGGCAGGAATGTGAGCAATGGGGAGTGGCTGTAAACACAGATGAAGCTTCCCTCATTCAACACCATTCACCTCCGGCTGTGTGGCTCCTTACAGTTCCATGGCTCTGGCGTTGGGGACCCTGCCCAAGTACATCCAGAAGGACCCTTCCACACCAGTCTTCATAGTGGTCAAGTGCAGCAGCCACTTAGCTCCCAAGGCATATGCCACAGCTGGCATTTCATCACAATCAACACTAAGTGGTAGCTTGAGTCATTGTGAGGTCACTTCCTGGAAATCAACAGCATCCCATTTCCCATTGCAAGGAGCTCAGCACGGCCCCTAAGATAACCAAACTGATCCCCAAATCCCATCTGTGTGGGTCTGTCTCCTGGGACCCTTCCCAGCATCAACTCTGTATTAGTCAGGGTCCAATCAGGAGACATAAACCACTCAAAAGCCCAAAGTGCTAAAATTTAATATAGATAATTATTCATTATAACAGGGGAACAGCATGAGAGATTGGCTAGCACAAAGTAAAGAGAATTCTAGAGAATATAGGACTAGCCAAAGTAAGGCATGGTGGCTCATGCCAGTAATTTAAGAAGCCAATGCAGGAGGATTGCTTGAGGCCAGGAGGTAGAGACCAGCCTGGGCAACACCCTGTCTCTATCCAAAAAAAGAAAAAAATTAGCTGCGTGTGGTGGTGCATACTCATAATCCCAGCTACTCGGGAAGCTGAAGTAGGAGGGTAGTTTGAGCCTGTGAGGTCAAGGCTACAGTGAGTCATGATTATGGCACTATAGTCAAGCCTGGGTGACAAAGCAAGACCCTGTCTCAAAGAACAAAACAACTATTTACACACAGAAAAGAAATAGGGCTAATAATGTATAAGATGTTGAAATGTGACAAATAAAGTAATAATAAAATCATAAAACAAAAAATAACTTATTAAATTATAATACCCTGTGCTGGCAAAGATGCAGTGAAATGGGCACTTTCTTATACAATGAGGGGTGTTTAAATTGTATGTAAGCCTTTCACGGTAAAGCTTCCAATTGTTTATTTATTTATTTATTTTTTTTTGAGATGGAGTTTCACTCTTGTTGCCCAGGCTGGAGTGCAATGGTGCGATGTCGGCTCACCACAACCTCCACCTCCTGGGTTCAAGTGATTCTCCTGCCTCAGCCTCTGAGTAGCTGGGATCACATGTGTGTGCCACCACACCCAGCTAATTTTGTATTTTTAGTAGAGACAGGGTTTCTCCATGTTGGTCAGGCTGGTTATCGCAAGCCAGAACTCAGGTGATCCACCCACCTCAGCCTCCCAAAGTGTTGGGATTACAGGCGTGAGCCACCACACCTGACCAGCAATTTTTTTAATAATAGAGACACTGTCTCACCCTACTGTCTCCTCCAAATCCTGGGGTCAAGCAATCCTCCTGCCTTGGCCTCCCAAAGTGCTGGGATTATACCTGCGAGGCACCCAAAACCTTGTCAATTTACATCAAGGACAATGAGAATGTCCATTCACCATGACTCACTGTAATCTTTCTTCTGGAAATACCTTGCAAGACAACTGAACCTAAACAAAAGGTCATCTGCACAAACACAGTGAAAATCTGGTAGTAACTGAAGACAGAGTGGTTAAGTGAAATAAGAAACAGTTATAAGAAATTAAACTATCTGGCCGGGCGCGGTGGCTCACGCTTGTAATCCCAGCACTTTGGGAGGCCGAGGCGGGTGGATCACGAGGTCAGGAGATCGAGACCACGGTGAAACCCCGTCCCTACTAAAAATAAAAAAAAATTAGCCGGGCGTGGTGGCGGGCGCCTGTAGTCCCAGCTACTCGGAGAGGCTGAGGCAGGAGAATGGCGTGAACCCGGGAGGCGGAGCTTGCAGTGAGCCGAGACTGCGCCACTGCACTCCAGCCTGGGTGACAGAGCGAGACTCCGTCTCAAAAAAAAAAAAAAAAAAAGAAATTAAACTATCTATGGTATTTATAGGCACCTGGTAGAAGGACAGTTAATGTTAGCTGCTACTTTTTTGTTGTTTTGAGATGGGGTCACTCTGTCACTCAGGCTGGAGTGCAGAGGCCTGATCATGACTCACTGCAGTCTAAGCCTCCCTGGGCTCAAGTGATCCTCCCACCTCAGCCTCCCAAGTAGCTGGGACTACAAGAACATGCCACCACACTAGGCTAATTCATGTATATTTCTGTAGGGATGGTGATTCCCTTGATTTCTGAGACCTGTCTCAAACTCTTGGCCTTGAGCCATCCTCCTGCTTCAACCTCCCAAAGTGTTGTGATTACCGGTGTGAGCCACCACACCTGGTCAGCTGCTTTTATATTATACCACTAAATTCAAAATTATTTGTCATTAAAAATTACTATTTTCAAGGCTATGGAACAATATGTGTCGTACAGCATAAGTGTAAAAACATATATGGTCGTCCGTCAGTATACAGAAAGGATTCGTTCCAGCCCCCCATCTCTGCATATACCAAAATCCATGCATACTCACGTTTCGCAGTCAGCCCTTTGGAACCCATGTATAGGAAAAGTCCAAATTATTAGTTGGGCATTGTGGCAAGCACGTACAGTCTCAGCCACCTGGGAGGCTGAGGTGGGAGGACTGCTTGAGCCTGAGAGGTTGAGGATGCAGTCAGCTGTGATAGCACTACCGCACTCCAGCCTGGACAACAGAGCAAGACCCTGTCTCAGGAAAAAAAAAAAAAAAAAAAAAAAAGGTTAGAAATTGTAATGATGTCTGTTGGGCAAAATTCCATGTAAGCAAAGTATAAATTAATGGAGCAATTGGTGATAAATCACTACGATTGACTTTCTGGAGTTTCTGACAATAAGGGTAAGAAAAATGCAAAACAAAGAGACAGAGGGTAAAAAAACAAATTAGGGAAGGATTCTACATGTTTAATAGGATGACACTGGCCATGTTCGTGCAGCAGCAGTATGTCACAATATGACATACCTTGGAGAGAAGTTAGCAGATGAGGAAGTTGACAAAAATGATGAGAGATGCAAAATACTGATAGCGATAGTCAAGTAAACCATGAAGAATTTCCATAACTGACATCAGCAAAGTGGGAATATTGTACAGTGTGTGTTGAAGTTCCTGTACAACAGTGTTTATTTGCCTTCTGTTTGTTTGTAAGGAATGTATTTACTAAAAGTTCTTCTTGCTGTCAAAAGAATATGTGTAAGTCATTAGAATTTATTCTTCTGTTTTTCTTTTTTAGAGATAGAGTCTTGCCCTGTCACCCAGGCTGGAGTGCAATGGCACGATCTCAGCTCACTGCAACCTCCACCTCCCAGGTTCTAGCGATTCTCCTGCCTCAGCCTCCCGAGTAGCTGGGATTACAGGCACGTGCCACCACGCCTGGCTAAATTTTTTTGTATCTTTAGTCGAGACGGGGTTTCAACATGTTGGCCAGGCTGGTCTCGAACTCTGACCTCGCGATCCACCCACCTCGGCCTCCCAAAGTGCTGGGATTACAGGCGTGAGCCACCGCGCCCGGCCTATTATTCTGTTTTTCTACTTTATCTTCTGGCCATCATCCCACAGCCTTAATTTGGAAATTTGTTTTTTAGAAAATCGAACAAGTGCTTGTTGTGGTGGCTCATACCTCTAGGATGGGAGGCAGGGGTAGAAGGGTCACTTGAGGCCAGGAGTTTGACACCAGCCTGGCCAACAAAGTGAGACCCCATGTCTACAAAACAATTTAAAGAATAGCCAGGTGTCATCATATATAACTACAGTCCCAGCTACTCAGGAGGCTGAGGCAGGAGGAGCCTTAGCCTAGGAGTTCAAGGCTACAGTGAGCTGTGATTGCACCACTGTACTCCAGCCTGGGTTGCAGAGGAGACCCCATCTTCTAAAACAAAACAAAACAAAAAAAGGAAAGAAAATAGGTAAAGTAGCAAGTTGTACGTGGCTTACTCTGAATATGTCTAAACTACATGTTCCCAATCTTTTTGGGTCTAGCATCCCTTTACATTTTTTAACTCTATTGAAGATCTCTTAAGCCTTTTTCTTTATATAAATAATTATATTAAAATTAGAAAATAAGACAAATTTTAAAATATTATTCATTACATATTAATAATAAAACCATTTCATGTTGATATAGTACAGGACAAATTTTTAAAATATACATTCATTACACATGAATAATAAAACCATTACAAGTTGACGTAAGTAGTACTTTTTTTTGGGGGGGAAACAAAGTCTGACTTACGCACGCTGGAGTGAAGTGGCACGATCTTGACTCACTGCAACCTCCGCCACCTGGGTTCAAGCAATTCTCCTGGCTCAGCTTCCCAAGTAGCTGGCATTACAGGTGCCCACCAACATGGCTGGCTAATTTTTATGTTTTTTTAGTAGAGATGTGGTTTAGCCATGTTGGCCAGGCTGGTCTCGAAATCCTGACCTCAGGTGATCACCTGACCTCAGGTGATCACCTCGGTCACCCAAAGTGCTGGGATTACAGGCGTAAGCCATTGTGCCCACACTGATTAATATATATAATTATATATATTACATATATTAATATATATTTACATATACATTAATGTTTACATACATATTAATATATATTTGCATGTATATTTATATATTAATATATTTACATATATTTTTATACATTATATATATTTACATATATATTTATTTATATATATATATATTTTTTGAGACAGAGTCTCGCTCTGTTCCCCAGGCTGGAGTGCAGTGGCACAATCTCGGCTCACTGCAAGCTCCATCTCCCAGGTTCATACCATTCTCCTGCCTCAGCCTCCCCAGCAGCTGGGACTACAGGTGCCCACTGCCACGCCCGGTTGATTTTTTTGTATTTTTAGTAGAGATAGGGTTTCACCGTGTTAGCCAGGATGGTCTAGATCTCCTGACCTCGTGATCCGCCCGCCTCGGCCTCCCAACAGATTCATATATTTTTTAAAACACTGATTAGTCAGGCAGCAATACTGGGCAGGGGTCTCTTCATTCCCAGCAATGCAAATCCCACTGCACGGCTCCGGGGTTGCAAGGGCTACAAAGCCTAAAGGCTCTAACTTATGATTTCATTACTTAATTTGTATTGTGACACGGTCCTGCTCTGTCGCCCAGGCTGGAGAGCACTTGTGCACTTATAGCTCACTGAAGCCTCGACCTTCTGAATTTAAGCCATCTTCCTGCCTCAGCTCCCCACTGGCTGGTACCACAGTTGAGTGCCACCATACCTGGCTATTTTTTAAATTTTTTTTGCAGAGTGAGGGGTCTTGCTATGTTGCCCAAGCTGGCCTCAAACACCTGACCTCAAAAGATCTGCCCACCTCAGCCTCCTGAGTAGCTGGGACTACAAGTACACATCAGCATGCCTAGCTACATTTCGTTTTACTAAATTTTGAAAAATATATTTATTGAGAGGAGGTCTTGCTATGTTGCCCAGGCTGGTCTCGAACTACTGCCCTTAAAAGATACTCCCATCTCTGCCTCCCAAACAGCTGGGACTACAGGCATGAGCCACTGCACTGAGCCTGAAGATATTTCTTTAATCTAGTATCCCATACTTAATAGGACTGGGAAAGACAGTAGTGTTTTTTAAAATTACTTAATAATTCGGTAAGAATCTAACTCAACCCTGACCCCTGCCTTCTCTCACATTCCACATCCAGTCTGACAGGAAATCCTGTTGACTGTCTTCAACACGTACTGAAGATCCCCACCCAGCAACTCCCTGGCCTCCTCCCCTACTTCTCTCCTCTGACCATCTCTCAACACCACCATGACCCTGGTCAAGACCACTATCATCTCCCACCTGGATGTTGCCACAGCTTGGCCCCCATGCTTCTACCCAAATCTTCCCACAGTCTTTCTCAACTCAGCAGCCAGAGAATGCTTTTAAATCGGCAGACATATCACGTGGCCTCTCTGCTCAGAACCCTCCTGAATTTCCTATCTAGCCCAGCAATAACCTCCCAGGGCTTACACGGTATGTACTGATCCCTGCCCAGCAAATCTCTGGCCTACTGCCCTAATTCTCTCCCTCTCTCCTGCTCCACTGGCCTCCTTCCAGAGCCTCAGACACACCTCAGACACCTTATTCTGTTTTTTCTACCTACAATGCTCTTCCCTCAGCACCTTGGCCAACTCCTTCCCCTCCTTCAAGTCTTTGCTCAATTTTTACTAAGGAGGCCACCCCTGACTATTCTATTAACATTGCCATCTGTCCCCATGCCTACCATACTTTTTTTTTTTTTTTGGAGACAAGATCTCACTCTGCCACCAAGGCTGGAGTGCAGTGGTGCAATCACAGCTCACTGCAACCTCCAATTCCTGGGCTCAAGCAATCCTCCCACCTCAGCCTCCCTAGTAGCTGAGACTACAGGTGCATGTCATCATGCCTGGCTGATTTATTATTTTATTTCATTTTATCTTAAGATGGAATTTCGCTCTTCTTGCCCAGGCTGGAGTGCAATGGTGTGATCCTGACTCACTGCAACCTCCACTTCCCAGTTTCAAGGGTGTCTCCTGCCTCAGCCTTCCTAGTAGCTGGGATTACAGGCGCGTGCCACCATACCTGGCTAACTTTTGTATTTTCATTAGATATGGGGTTTTGCCATGTTGGCCAGGCTGTTCTTGAACTCCTGACCTCAGGTGATCTGCCTGCCTCAGCCTCCCAAAGTGTTGAAATTACAGGCACAAGCCACTGCACTGAGCCATTTTTTAAATTTTTTGTAGAGACAGGGTCTCACTATGTTGCCCAAGCTAGTCTTGAACTCCTGGCCTCAAGTGATCCTCCTGCCTGGATTCCTAAAGTGCTGGGATTACCAGCATGAGCCACCATGCCTGGCTTTATGTTCATTTCTTCTTGTGGCTGCAACAAACTTTCCTACATTTAGTGGCTAAAAACACCACAAATCAACCATCTTTACAGTTCTGGGGGCCAGAAGCCCAAACTAGGTCTATTAAAGCTAAAGTCAAGGTGTCAGCAGGGCTGCATTCCTTTTGAAGGCTCTAGGCTCTAACATTTTCTCTTGGCTTTTCCAGCTTCTAGAAGCCACCCCCATTCCTTGGATCATGGCCCCTTACTCCATTTTCAAAGTCAGAAGTGAAGCATCTTCAAATCTCCCTCTCTGACCTCGGCTTCCATCACATCTCCTGCTCCAGTTCTGACTCTCCTACCCTCTTTCTTTTATAAAGATCATTGTGATTCACCTAAGGTCAAGAGTTTGAGACCAGCCTGACCAACAGGGAGAGACCTCGTCTCTACTAAAAATACAAATATTAGCCGGGTGTAGTGGCGCATGCCTGTATTCCCAGCTACTCTGGAGGCTGAGGCAGGAGAATCGCTTGAAGCCAGGAGGTGGAGGTTTTGGTGAGCCGAGATCGCGCCACTGCACTCCAGCCTGGGCAACAAGATCGAAACTCCGTCTCAAAAAACAAAAAAACAAAAAACCAAAAAAAAATCCTTGTAATTGCTGGGCGTGGTGGCTTCCACCCATAATCCCAACACTTTGGGAGGTCAAAGCAGGAGGAACACTTGAGGCCCAGAGTTTGAAACCAGCCGGGACAACATAGTGAGACCTCACCTCTATGAAAAAATAAAAATAAATATTAGCCAGACATGGTGGTGTGTCCCTGTACTCCCAGCTACTTGAGAGGCTGAGGTGAGATCGCTTTAGCCCAGGAGTTTGAGATCAGCCTGGGCGACATAATTAAATTTCATCTCTACAAAAATGAGCTGGGCATGGGTAACATGCATGTGTAGTCCCAGCTACTTAAGAGGCTCAGGTGGGAGGATCACTTGAGCTCAGGAGGTCAAAGCTATAGTGAGCTATGATCACAACACTGCACTCCACCCTGGATGACATGGGGAGATTTTGTCTCAAAAAAAGAACAGAAAAATATATTTGGTCTCTGTCCCTGGTTCCTGGCACAGAGCTTCTAAAGCTCTTATAAAGACCTCAGTGTTAGAGGTGATAGGAGCATCTTTTGTTTTAATATTTGGTCTTTGTCCCAGGTTTCTAACACAAGAGACTTTAAGAACTTTGGGATCTCCAGCATGACAAGAATGCATTTGGGGATATTGTTGAGATGATGAGTGGCTGCAAGCTCCTAGATTTCTTTAGGAGAAGGGCCGATTGCCAGAAAAAGCAACGACATGATTAGAGGCTTGGAACTTTCAGCCTCACCCGCTTAACTCCAGGAGGCAAGACGGGCTGGAGATTGACTTAATCACCAATGGCCAAGGATTTTATCAATCGTGCTTGCATAATAAAGCCTCCATAAACACCCTGAACAACAGGGATTGCAGAGCTTCTGGGTTGCTGAACATAGGAGATGCTGGGAGGGTAGCATGTTCAACAAAGTGCATGGGAGCTCTGTGCCCCTCCCCACTTACCTTGCCCTGGGCATCTTTTTTTTTTCTTTTTCTTTTTTTTTTTTTTTTGAGAAAGTGTCTGGCTCTTTTATCCAGGCTAGAGTGCAGTGGCACAATCTTACCTCACTGCAACCTAAGCCTCCCCAGTCCCCAGATCAAAACATCCTCCCACCTCAGCTTCCCTAGTAACTGGAACTACAGGTGCATGCCACCACACTCAGTTATTTATTCATTTATTTATTTATTTATTTATTTAATTTATTGAGATGGAGTCTAGTTCTGTAGTAACTGGAATTAGTAACTGCACACCACCGCACTCGGTTAATTTATTTACTGAGACAAGAGTCTAGCTCTGTTGCCCAGGCTAAAGTGCAGTGGTGTGATCTCAGCTCACTGCAACCTCCACCTCCCAGGTTCAAGCGATTCTCCTGCCTCAGCCTCCTAAGTAGCTGGGATTGTACGTGCGTGCCACCACACCTGGCTAACTTTTGCATTTTTAGTTGAGACGGGGTTTCACCATGTTTGTCAGACTGGTCTTCAACTCCTGACCTCGTGATTCACCCACCTTGGCCTCCCAGAGTGCTGGGATTACAGGCTTGAGCCACCGTGCCCAGCTTTTTAAAAATTTTTTACAGAGACAGGGTTTCACCGTGTTGCCCAGGCTGGTCTCAAACTCCTAAGTTTAAGCAATCCTCCTACCTCGGCCTCCCAAAGTGTTGGGATTACAGCGTGAGCCACTGCATCTGGCACATACATCTCTTTCATTAGCTGTTTCTGCGATGTATCCTTTACAAGGAACCAGTAATAGGAAATGTGGTGGCTCACATCTGTAATCCCAGCACTTCAAAGAGGCTGCGGTGGGAGGATTGCTTGGGCCCAGGAATTTGTGGCCAACCTGTGCAACATAACAAGACGCCATATCTACAAAAAATAAATTAGCCAGAAATGGTGGTGCAAGCATGTAGTCTCAGCTACTAGGGAGGCTGAGGTGGGAGGACCACTTGAGCCCAGGCAGTCAAGGCTGCAGTGAGCTATGACTGCACCACTGCACACCAGCCTGGACAACAAAATGAGACCCTGTCTCTCAGAAAAAAAGGAAACAAACTGTTTTTCTGAGTTCTGTAAGCTGCTCTAGCAAATGATTAAACCCCAAGAGGGGGTCATGGGAACCCCTGATTTGTAACAGGTTGGTCAAAAGTGCAGGTGACAACCTAGGACTTGCCATTGCAATGTGAAGCAAGGGTGGTCTTGTGGGACTGAGCCCGTAACCTGTGGGGTCTACGCCAACTCCAGGAAGTGTCAGAATAAAATTGTAGGATACCCAGTTAATATCCAGAGCATTGGAGAACTTGGTGTAGAAATTCCACACACACATTCAGTCGGAAGTGTGTGAGTAGAGACTAACATGGGCTTTTCTTTCACCTGTCTACCTGCTTAACTGCATAGGAGAGGCAATACGTGGTGCTCATGAACAAAGCAAACATTAAAGTCAGACCAGACCCCACATTTGACTCAGTCTTAATATCCAGGTGAGCTTGGGCAAATCACTCATTATTCCTAAGTCTTCATCACTTCATTCACAAAATGGGGATAACTGTGGCACCTACCTGTGATTTTGTGAGAATTAATGAAATATTATGCTTGATGTTATTGTGATCATTATACCTATTCCAAACTATTTGGCAAGGACAGTGATAGATGATAACATCAAAAGATTAGAAACTGTAATGAGGCCTCTTGGGCAAAATTCCATACAAGCAAATTACTATCTCTCCAAAGCATTCCTGCCACACTTAATTCACCATTCCCTGAATAAAATGTGCCGTCTTTATCGTCCAGGTCTTTACAGTGCTGGTCTCCCTACTTGAGCAGCTCACTCCATCCCAGCCCATTCCCCATCCCTCCACCTCCCCCTTCTCTGCCCACTCTCATACAATTCTTCCTCATCTTTCAGGACCCAGCTTCAATGTCACCTTAACTGGATGCTTCTCTCACCCTCCAGAAGTACTTCCTATTGCATTTGATGCATGAACTATTATTTGATCATTTTTGAGTCATAGTCCAAGTCTTTTTGTAACTGAATAACATGTTGCCCAGTCAGTCTCTCTTCCTGGACTCTGAAGTCTTTCATGGTAGATCCAGCTGGAAGTGACAAAAAGATATTCTTTAAAAAAAAAGGATGACACAGACAGACACAAGTTCTTAAACGTTTTAAATGGTATATGAAAAGCAAACAAAATTCAGAGGCTTATGGGGAACACTTAGGAAGCAAAGAATTACTGGGAACTTCATAAAGGGTTAATTTTTTTTTTTTTTTTTTAAAGACAGAGTCTTGCTCTGTTGCCCAGGCTGGAGCGCAGTGGCGCGATCTCGGCTCACTGCAAGCTCTGCCTCCCGGGTTCACACCATTCTCCTGCCTTAGCCTCCCAAGTAGCTGGGACTACAGGCACCTGCCACCACACCTGGCTAATTCGTTGTACTTTTAGAACAGACGGGGTTTCACCATGTTAGCCAGGATGGTCTCGATCTCCTGACCTCGTGATCTGCCTGCCTTGGCTTCCCAAAGTGCTGGGATTACAGGCGTGAGCCACCATGCCCGGTCTAATTTTTATTTTATTTTATCTTATTTTTTGAGACTGAGTCTCATTCTGTTACCTACACTGGAATGCAGTGGTGCAATCAGGGCTCACTGCAGCGTCAACCTCCTGGGCTCAAGTAATCTCCCATAATTTTTATTTGGTTTAAGAAACTCAGTCTTGGTTGAGCGTGGTGGCTTACGCCTGTAATCTCAACAGTTTGGGAGGCTGAGAGGGGTGGATTACTCGAGCCCAGCAGTTTGAGATCAGCCTGGGCAACATATTAAGACCCTGTCTCTACGCAAAAAACAGAGTGAATTTGTGAAAGGCAATTTTTTCCACAGACTGGGGGTGGAGGGAATGACTTCAGGATGATTCAAGTGTGTTACATAGATTGTGCACTTTATTTCTATTATTATTGCATTGTAATATACAATGAAATAATTCTACAACTCATGATAATGTACAATCAGTGGGATTTCTGAACTTATTTTCCTGCAACTAGACTGTCCATCTGGGGTGATGGGAGAAACAGGCATTAGATTCTCATAAGGAGCGTGCAACCTAGATCCCTTACACGCACACTTCACAACAGGGTTCGTGCTCCTATGAGAATCTAATGCTGCCACTGATCTGACAAGACATGGTGCTCAGGTGGTCATGTGAGCGATGGGGAGGGGCTATAAATACAGATGAAGTTTCCCCTCACTCACCCACTGCTCCTCTCCGGCTCTGTGGCCCTGCGGATGGAGACCCCTACTCCAGTGCATTCGAAAGTATCCATCCCATACCATTCTTCAGACTCATCTATACTACCGCAGCGGTCAAGTGTAGCACCCCTTAGCTTGAATGGCATATGCCTTGGCTGGCATTTCATCACAATCAACAGTAAGTGGTAGCTTGAGTTATTGTGAGGTCACTTCCTAGAAATCACCAGCATCCCATGTCCCACTGGCAAGGAGCTCAGCTCTGCTCCTTGGATAACCAAACCTATGCCCAAATCCCATCTGTGTGGGTCCATCTCCTGGTACCCTTCCTAGCATCAATTCTGTATTTCTAGGAGTCCAATCAGGAGATATAAACCACTCAGAAGTTTAAACTAAAATGGGCACGGTGGCTCACACCTGTAATCCCAGCACTTTGGGAGGCCAAGGCAGGTGATCGCTTTGAGCTCAGGAGTTTGAGACCAGCCTGGGAAACACGGCGAAACACCATCTCTACAAAAAACACAAAAATTAGCCAGGGGTGGTGGCACATATCTGTAATCCCAGCTACTCGGGAGGCTGAGGAAGGAGAACTGCTTGAGCCTGGGAAGTGGAGGTAGCCGTGAACAGAGATCGTGCCACTGCACTTTAGCCTAGGTGATCGAGACCCAGTACCAATAAAAAACAAAAAAAAGTAAAAAATATATATATAAATTTAATATGAAAAGTATTAATTATAACAGAGGATTGGCGTAATGACTGACACACTAGCACAAATGAAAGACGACTCTAGAGAATACAGAACTAGCAGAGGCCAGGCATGGTGGCTCATGCCTGTAATCCCAGCAATTTGGGAAGCCTAGGCAGGAGGATCGCTTGAGGACAGGAGTTGGAGACCAGCCTGGGCAACATAGTGAGACCCTGTTGTCTACCAAAAAATTTTTTTAAATTAGCCAGATGTGGTGGTGGTGCCCACCTATAGTTCCGGCTACTTTGGAGTCTGGGGTGGGAAGATCCCTTGAGCCTGAAAAGTCTAGGCTGCAGTGGGTATGGGTGGATTTTGGTATACACAGAAATGGGGGAGCTGGAACTAATCCCCCCCATATACCAAGGGACAAATTGTATCTGTTTTTACAATTATACTGTAGGATACATTATGTTCCATGACAATGGTAATTTTTAATGACAGTTTTTAATTGAGTGGAATTACCATAAAAATAATAAAAGTAGCAGCTAATATTTACTGAGCCGTTACTAGGTGCCTATAAATACCATAAATTTTTATTTTTTTTTTTTATTTTTTTTTTTTCCAGCAATTGGATTTCTTTTTATTTTATTTTATTTTATTTTATTTTTTTTTTTTATTGATCATTCTTGGGTGTTTCTCGCAGAGGGGGATTTGGCAGGGTCATAGGACAATAGTGGAGGGAAGGTCAGCAGATAAACAAGTGAACAAAGGTCTCTGGTTTTCCTAGGCAGAGGACCCTGCGGCCTTCCGCAGTGTTTGTGTCCCTGGGTACTTAAGATTAGGGAGTGGTGATGACTCTTAACGAGCATGCTGCCTTCAAGCATCTGTTTAACCAAGCACATCTTGCACCGCCCTTAATCCATTTAACCCTGAGTGGACGCAGCACATGTTTCAGAGAGCACAGGGTTGGGGATAAGGTCACAGATCAACAGGATCCCAAGGCAGAAGAATTTTTCTTAGTACAGAGCAAAATGAAAAGTCTCCCATGTCTACTTCTATCCACACAGACCCGGCAACCATCCGATTTCTCAATTTTTTCCCCACCCTTCCCGCCTTTCTATTCCACAAAACCGCCATTGTCATCATGGCCCATCCCCAATGAGCCGCTGGGCACACCTCCCAGACGGGGTCGTGGCCAGGCAGAGGGGCTCCTCACTTCCCAGTAGGGGCGGCCGGGCAGAAGCGCCCCTCACCTCCCGGATGGGGCGGCTGGCCGGGCGGGGGCTGACCCCCCACCACCCTCCCGGACGGGGCGGCTGGCCAGGCAGAGCGGCTCCTCACTTCCCAGTAGGGGCGGCCGGGCAGAGGCGCCCCTCACCTCCTGGATAGGGCGGCTGGCCGGGCGGGGGGCTGTCCCCCCTACCTCCCTCCCGGACGGGGCGGCTGGCCGGGCAGAGGGGTCCTCACTTCCCAGTAGGGGCGGCCGGGCAGAGGCGCCCCTCACCTCCCGGACGGGGCGGCCGGCCGGAAGGGGGGCTGACCCCCTCCACCTCCCTCCCGGACGGGGCGGCTGGCCGACCCCCGCCCGCCTCCCTCCCGGACTGGGCGGCTGGCCGGGCAGAGGAGCTCCTCACTTTCCAGTAGGGGCGGCCGGGCAGAGGCGCCCCTCACCTCCCGGACGGGGCGGCTGGCCAGGCGGGGGGCTGATCCCCCCACCTCCCTCCCGGACGGGGCGGCTGGCCGGGCGGGGGGCTGACCCCCCCACCTCCCTCCCGGATGGGGCGGCTGGCCAGGCGGGGGGCTGATCCCCCCACCTCCCTCCCGGACGGGGCGGCTGGCCGGGCAGGGGGCTGACCCCCCACCTCCCTCCCGGACTGGGCGGCTGGCCGGGCGGGGGGCTGACCCCCCCACCTCCCTCCCGGACGGGGCGGCTGGCCGGGCAGAGGGGTCCTCACTTCCCAGTAGGGGCAGCCGGGCAGAGGCGCCCCTCACCTCCCGGACGGGGGCTGACCCCCCCACCTCCCTCCCGGACGGGGCGGCTGGCCGACCCCCCACCCCCGCCTCCCTCCCGGACGGGGCGGCTGGCCGGGCAGAGGGGCTCCTCACTTCCCAGTAGGGGCGGCCGGGCAGAGGAGCCCCTCACCTCCCGGACGGGGCGGCTGGCCGGGCGGGGGGCTGACCCCCCCCACCTCCCTCCCGGACGGGGTGGCTGCCGGGCGGAGACGCTCCTCACTTCCCAGACGGGGTGGTTGCCGGACGGAGGGGCTCCTCACTTCTCAGACGGGGCGGTTGCCAGGCAGAGGGTTTCCTCACTTCTCAGACGGAGCGGCCGGGCAGAGACGCTCCTCACCTCCCAGACAGGGTTGCGGCCCAGCAGAGGCGCTCCTCACATCCCAGACAGGGCGGTGGGGCAGAGGTGCTCCCCACATCTCAGACGATGGGCAGCCGCGCAGAGACGCTCCTCACTTCCTAGATGGGATGGAGGCGGGGAAGAGGCGCTCCTCACTTTCCAGACTGGGCAGCCAGGCAGAGGGGCTCCTCATATCCCAGACGATGGGCGGCCAGGCAGAGACGCTCCTCACTTCCCAGACAGGGTGGCGGCCGGGCAGAGGCTGCAATCTCGGCTCTTTGGGAGGCCAAGGCAGGCGGCTGGGAGGTGGTTGTAGCGAGCCGAGATCACGCCACTGCACTCCAGCCTGGGCACCATTGAGCACTGAGTGAACGAGACTCCATCTGCAATCCCGGCACCTCGGGAGGCCGAGGCTGGCGGATCACTCGCGGTTAGGAGCTGGAGACCAGCCCGGCCAACACAGCGAAACCCCGTCTCCACCAAAAAAAAACGAAAACCAGTCAGGCGTGGCGGCGCGCGCCTGCAATCGCAGGCACTCGGCAGGCTGAGGCAGGAGAATCAGGCAGGGAGGTTGCAGTGAGCCGAGATGGCAGCAGTACCGTCCAGCTTTGGCTCGGCATCAGAGGGAGACCGTGGAGGGAGAGGGAGGGGGAGGGGGAGGGGGAGGGGGAGAGGGAGAGGGAGAGGGAGTATACCATAAATTTTTAAATTCCCCATAACTCTTCCTTATTCCACTTAACCACTTTATCTTAAATTACTCATGTTTGCTTCAGTAGCACATATACTAAAGTTGGAACGATAGATTGGCATGGCCTCTGTGCAAGAATGACATGCAAATTTGTGAATCATTCCATATGTTTTTAAAAAGAAAAAAATTACATCCGGATTTTCACTGTGTACATATGACCTTTTGTTTAGGTTGAATTATATCCAAAGATGGTATTTCCAGAAGTGAGATTACTGTGAGTCACAGGGCATGAGCATTCTTATTACACTTGATGTAAATTGTCAAGTTTTCAGGCATGGTGGCTGTCTGCTTATAATTCCAGCACTTTCAGAGGCTGAGGTGGGAGGACTGCTTGAGCCCAGTAAGTTGTGGCTGCAGTGAGCCATAACTGCACCACTGCACCGCTGCACTCCAGTCTGGGCAAGAGAGTGAGATAGAAGGTTGACTTTTTAATAGAATTTTTCTGTTCACTTAAAGATATGGCCAGGACTGTGCTATATGAAAATTTTCATAAAATAATTATCTCATCCAATTAATGTTGGAATTGGGAACAGAAAATGTTTTGGTGACTATTTATTCCTTCACTTGCTGTTATAGAAACTATTGCCAGTGGGCACTTAACAACGAAGTGTCATCTCTGAGCTACTCACAATGAAAGGTGATGTCTGGGGCCCAGGTGTGTTGAGGTCCCCATGTCTGGGCTATGGGTGCTGAGTGGGACTTACTTGTCCATCCATTTTCTGTATTCCAGCACTGGGAAACTTGCGTTTATCCATCTTGATAAAAGGTCATTTAAATTCCACCTGGCAAAAACCACAAATGGAAAAAAGGCCATGAAACTACAGGCTAGCCCTTGTTCTCAAAAGAATATTTAGCTAAGGTGGTTCTGTAAAAGAGGAATCACATTGTTGAAAACTCATCGCAGGTCAGGTGAGGTGGCTCACACCTGTAATCCCAGCCCATTGGGAGACTAAGGCAGGAGGATATCCCGTGAGGCCAGAAATTCAAGACCAGCCTGAGCAACAGAGCGAAACCTCATCTCTGCAAAAAATTAGAAAATGAGCTGGGTGTGGTGGCACATTCCTATAGTCCCAGTTACTTTGGAGGCTGAAGTGGGAGGATCAAAGTGGAAGCTGCAGAAGTAGAAGCTGCAGTGAGCTCTGATCTCACCACTGCACTCCAGCCTGGGTGACAGAGTGAGACCCTGTCTCAACATACACACACACACACAAACACACACACACACACACACACCCCTCATCTCAGTCTGCCCAGCCTTGACTAGTGAAAAGGGTCTTCTGGTTACAGAAGAGGTATGCTCTTTTTTAGGACAGGGAGGGACCAGCAAGCTTGTTCACAGCCTTTCCCTCATTCTCTGCTTAGTTTTCCAAGAACCTTCAGGTGGAAAGGGAGTCCCTGGAGAAAAGACCTAACTCATCAGGTTACCAAAGGAGAAATATGCATCCTTTGTCAATTAATAAATGGAACACCTGCCTTAAAAACCAGGGAGTTCTGCTAGGGTGAATCACTCCCTACGACCCTGACCTATGTAGGGAACATAAAAACCTGGAGTTTGGGGACCTATAATATTGAAGGCCACATTGCAGTTGTGGAGACCTTACCAAAGTACAGCCTTTCCACAAGCAACTACCAAACACCAGCTGCCTCTCTCCATGGGGCACAGCTGTATCTCTGGCTCTCGTTTCCCCCGGAGATGCTCTATTCCAGCCTTCTCTTACATTTTGTATCCCGCACAGTTCCTGGCATAAGGACTTACAACATAGCAGGCTGCTATGTTAATGGTGATATACTGCAGATCCAACCTGAAATTCCAGCAGGGCGCTTTGTGTTTGAGAAATTAAAGGGGAGAGAATGGACCCAGCCTGCTAGAATATAAAAAATTTAAAGAAGAAAAAAATATTAAAATAAAATTTTCTCCTAAAGAGCACTCAAAAGCACACTCCCACCAATGCTGGATCTATTTATCTCTCTCTTGCTTTTTTCTTTCTGAGATAGGGTCTCACTCTGTCACTCAGACTGGAGTGCAATGGCAAGATCACCGCTTACTGTAGCTTTCAATTCCTGGGCTCAAGCTATCCTCCCACTTCAGCCTCCCGAGTAGCTGCGATTGCAGGTGCATGCCACCATGCCTGGCTAATTTTTAAATTTTTTGTAGAGATGGGGTCTCACTATGGCCCAGACTGGTCTTGAACTCCTGGGTCAAACTAATCCTCCTGCCTTGGCCTAGTGCTAGGATTATAGGCTTTAGCCACTGAGCCCAGTCTATTTATCTTTCTATAACTCACATATTAAATCTTCCTCCTTAAATCACCTCCTACCCACCCATCTGCAGGGACAGCAAACACAGGTCTCAGAGGGTCAGGCAACCTACAGGAGGGAATGAGGCCAGAGTAATATGGGAGACCGGGGGGAACTGTAGCAAACTGCAAGGTATTCACTTCAACAGTTCTTCAACACTGTGATGGTCAAACCAAACACAGAAACAGGAAGCCCAGTTCAATCACCAGCAGCCAATGTGGGATATTTGATCCACATGCTACAGGGCAAACTGCTTACGATAAATGACCTGGTCTCCACCAACCTGCTCTTGAAGTCTAGCCGCTCCTGCCCAACTTCCTACACTCTACTGACATGACCCACATTCACAGTACTCTCCTGAAACTTTGCTTGTTCACTCTTTTATTTTCCCAACGAATATTTTTCTTTTTCTTTTTTTTACTTTTTTTGAGACACAGTCCCCTTCTGTCACACAGGCTGAAGTACAGCAGGATGATTATGGCTCACTGCAGCTTCCATCACCTGGGCTCAAGTGATCCTCCCACCTTAGCCTCCCAAGTAGTTGATATTACAGCCATGTAACACCACACCCAGCTAAATTTATTATTTTTTCTTTTTCTTTTTTTTTTTTTCAGACGGAGTCTCGCTCTGTCGCCCAGACTGGAGTGCAGTGGCATGATCTCGGCTCTCTGCAACCTCTGCCTCCTGGGTTCAAGCGATTCTCTTTCCTCAGCCTTCCGAGTAGCTGGGATTACAGGTGTGTGCCACTATGCCCGACTAACTTTTATATTTTTAGTAGAGACAGGGTTTCACCATGTTCGCCAGGCTGGTCTTGAACTCCTGACCTCAGGTGATCTGCCCACCTCAGCCTCCCAAAGTGCTGGGATTACAGGTGTGAGCCACCGTGCCTGGCCAGTTTATTATTTTTTCTAGAGACAGGGTCTCACTATGTTGCCCAGACTGGCCTTGAACTCCTGGGCACAAGTAATCCTCTGGCCCCCACCTCCCAAAGAGCTGGGATTACAGGATTGCACCAACACATCAGGCCCTAACAAACACTTCTTGAGCTCCTACTAAATACCAGGCACTATAATAGGTGCCCAGGAAACAGCAGTGAACAAGGTATAAGAGTTTCTGCCCTTGGCCGGGCGTGGTGGCTCACGCCTGTAATCCCAGCACTTTGGGAAGCTGAGGCAGGTGAATCACCTCAAGTCAGGAGTTCGAGACCAGCCTGACAAACATGGTGAAACCCTGTCTCTACTAAAAGTACAAAAATTAGCAAGGCATGGTTGTGCATGTCTGTAATCCCAGCTACAGCTACTCGGGAGGCTGAGGCAGGAGAATCGCTTCAACCCAGGAGGCGGAGGTTGCAATGAGCTGAGGCGCTGCACTCCAGCCTGGGCAACAAGAGTGAAACTCCGTATCAAAAAAAAAAAAAAAAAAAAAGTTTCTGCCCTCGCAGAGCTTATAGGGTAGCAGGAAATTGATATAGCTTGAACGTTTGTCTCTTCCAAATCTTATTGAAATTGAATCCCTAATGTTGGAGGTGGGGCCTGGTGGGAGGTGTGTGAGTCATGAGGGCAGATCCCTCATGAATGGCTTGGTGCCCTCCCCAAGGTAATGAGTGAGTTCTCTCTCTACTAGTTCACATGAGAGCTGATTGTTTAAAGAGCCTGGCACCTCCTCCCCTCTCCCTTGCTCCCTCTTCTCAACAAGTGACATGCCGGCTCCTCCTTCATCTTCCGCCATGAGAGGAAGCCTCCTGAGGTCCTCACCAGCAGATGCTGGTACTATGCTTTTTTTTTTTTCCTGAGACAGAGTCTCACTCTGACACTCAGGCGAGAGAGCAGTAGTGTAATTATGGCTCACTGCAACCCTGACATCCCGGGCTAAAGAGGTCTTTTTACCTTAGCCTTTCAAGTAGCTGAAATCACAGGCATGCATCAGTGTACCATCATACTTGGCTATTTTTTTTTTTATTTTTAGCAGAGACAAGATCTTATCATGTTTCCCAGGCTGCTTTTGAACTTCTGGGCTCAAGCAATCCTCCTGCTTCAGCGTCCCAAAGTGCCGGGATTACAGGTGTGGGCCACTGCTCCCAGCCTGGCACCATGCTACTTGTATAGTCTGCAGGACTGTGAGCCAAATAAACTGTTTTTCTTTATAAACTACCCAGCCTGAGGTGTTTCCTTACAGCAATGCAAAATGGACTAACCTAGGAATCACAGGCCAACACTTACCAGACTGTGATGAGCACATGACAATAGTACAGACTGGGACTGAAACATTCCCCAGGGGCTTCTTGTTGCATCATAGAGAGTAGGGTGAGACATCTTGGCTGAGGCTAAAGATGAGCAAAGATGAGAGTGAAAGAGTGATGATGGAGGTAGGGAGAGGGATTCCTGAAGGACCAGTGAAGTCCCCCAAGGAAACTGACATTCCTGTGGCTGGAGGGTAGGGATTTGGGGAGGCTGGTGCAGGATAAAACTGGGAAGGTGAGCAGAGGCCAGCTCTTACCAGGCCCTGTGGCCAAATTAGTTTGGACTTTGTCTTAAAGGCAATGGGCAGTCACCAGCAGGTTTTAATCAAGAACTATTTTGATCCAAATTTGCCTTTTAGGAGAATTCCTCTGGCTTCAGTGAACAGGCCGAAGTGAGCAAGCCTAATAGGAAGACAATTGGAGGCCCTCACAATAAACCAGTGTAAAAGAGAATAGGGCCGGGCATGGTGGCTCCTGCCTGTAATCTCAAAACTTTAGAAGTCCAAGGTGGGTGGATGGCTTGAGCCCAGGAGTTTGAGACCAGCCAGAGCAATGTGATGAAACACATCTCTACAAAACACAAAAATTAGTTGGGCATGATGGCTCGTACCTGTTGTCCCAGCTACCCCAGAGTCTGAGGCAGAAGGATAGCTTGAGCCTGAGAGGTTGAGACTGCAGTGAGCCAAGATCAAACCACTGTGCTCCAGCCTGGGCAACACAGGAAGACTGTCTCAAAAAAAAAAAAAAAAAAGAAAAGAGAAAAAGTTCCCATTCTTCACTTATTAGTGCCCTAACATTATCATGAGAACCCTGGTGACACAGTGAATTCAACTGTCATGGTAATTCAGCAACCAACACGTTTAATAATTATTGATTACCAATTGATATTGATTACCAATAATATCACCCCTGTGGATACAAGAAATAAGGAATTGTGTTTGTGCTATCATGGGAGCTCTCTGGATCTCAGACCATGACTTATGCTGAGAGGTAAAGACTTGAGCTTTTTGCTTTTCTCTCTGTAAGTGCTCAAGTGCAGCGGTCTCCAATTTTGGGGGGACCAGGGACCGGTTTTGTGGAAGACAGTTTTTCCATAGACTAGGGGCAGCGAAGGTCAGTTTTGGGATATATAAAGCACATTACATTTATTGTGCACTTTATTTCTATTATTATTACATTGTAGCATATAACAAAATAATTACATAACTCACCATAATGTAGAATGAGTGGGAGTCTTGACCTTCTTTTCCTGCAACTAGATGGTCCCATCTGGGGGTGATGGGAGACAATGACAGTTCATCAGGCATTAGATTCTCCTAAGGACAGAGCAAGATAGATCCCTTGCATGCACAGTTCACAATAGGGTTCGTGCTCACATGAGAATCTAATGTTGCCACTGATCTGACAGAAGGCAGAGATCAGGTGGTAATGTGGGGAGCGGCTGTAAATACAGATGAAGCTTCGCTCACCCACCCTTACTCACCTCCTGTTGTGTGGCCCAGTACAGGCCTGTGACCCAGGGATCAGGGGTCCCTGCTGAAGTGCATCCAAAAGGATTCTTCCCACACCAGTCTTCATAGTGGTCAAGTGCAGCAGCCACTTAGCTCCCAAGGCATGTGCCTCCACTGGCATTTCATCACAATCAACAGTAAGTGGTAGCTTGAGTCATTATGAGGTCACTTCCTGGAAATCACCAGCATCCCATTTCCCATTGGCAAGGAGCTCAGCGCTGCCCCTTGGATAACCAAACCCATCCCCAAATCCCAGTTGTCTGGGTCTATCTCCCGGGACCCTTCCTAGCATCAATTCTGTATTTGTCAGAGTCCTAACAGGAGACATAAACCACTCAAAAGTTTAAAGTGTTAAATTTAAAATAAAAAATTATTAATTATAACAGGGCAACAGCATAATGAGAGATTTGCTACCAAAAAGTAAAGAGAATGCTAGAGAATATAGGACTAGCAGAGGCCAGGCATGGTGGCACATGTTTATAATTTCAGCAATTTGGGAAGCCAAGACAGGAAGATTCCTTGAGGCCAGGAGTTTGAGACCAGCCTGGGAAACACAGTGAGACCCTGTCTCTACCCAAACAAACTAACTAACAACAACAACAAAAAACCTGGGTGTGGTGGCACACACCTATAGTCCTACGTACTTAGGAGACTGAGGTGGGAGGATTGCTCGAGCCAGGGCAGTCAAGGCTGCAGTGAACCATGATTTTGCCACTGCACTTCAGCTTGGGCAACAGAGGGAGACCCTGTCTCCAAAAAGAGTATAGGACCAGCTGATATAACAAGCAGTAACTGTCCCTACTGTCCCAATGCTGAGATACTGTGATCAAGGAAAAGACTCCCCCACTATGGCTGAGATCCAGCCCCCACTTGGAGAGAGCACAGTCATGGGTAATTCAATAGCAGAATTGCTGCATTACCACATGGTCGAACATGCTAGCAATCTGCCCTCTGGAATTTGCTGAAAATTCACCCTCTGGGGTGCTAGATTAAGCTATTAATGAACAGTTGTCTCACTACAAATCCACCCAGGCAGGTGCAGAGAAACTGCTGGTCACTGGGTGCTGCTGAGCACCGTGCAGGGCAAGAGCCCGGTACTGGAGAAGCTCAGTGCCTGTGGAGATTCGCACACCACAACCAGAAAGAAAAGCCTCTTACAAGGTCCCTCTAGTACTATGTACTGACAACATTTAATCATGTACCAGCTGACAGAAGAAGCATTTAAGGAACCCACCTCTATGTTTGCAGATCAGGCAGTGAAGGGTGAATATGGAACTGATGGGCAGTCATTGGATGGATAGCTGGTACATGACACGTTTCCTTCTACCAAGAAAGAAAGGGAAGAGAGAGAAGAGAGAGAGGACCAGGCATGGTGGTTCACACCTATAATCCCAGCAGTGTGGGAGGCCAAGGAAGGTGGATCACTTGGGTCCAGGAGTTAGAAACCAGCCTGGGCGACATAGTGAAATCCTGTCTCTACTAAAAATAAAAGAAATTAGCTGAGTGTGCTGGAGTTTGACTGTAGTCCCAACTTCTCAAGAGGCTGAAATAAAAGGATCACGAGTGTCTGGGGGTTCGAGACTGCAGTGAGCCGTGTTCACACCACTGCACTCCTGCCTAAGTGACACAGCGAGATCATGTCTCAAAAAAAGAAATGTTGGTGAAAATGTGGAGAAATTGGAACCCACATACATTACTGGTGGGAACACAAAATGGTTTAACTACTTTGGGTGTTTCTTTTCTTGTCATTTTATTTATTTATTTATATTTTTACTTTTTTTGTGTGACAGAGTCTCACTCTTTTGCCCTGGCTGGAATGCAGTGGTGTGATCCTGACTCACTGCAACCTCCACCTCCTGGGTTCAAAAAATTCTCCTTGCCTCAACCTCCCGAGTAGCTGGGATTACAGGCATCTGCCACCATACCCAGCCAGGCTGGTTTTGAACTCCTGACCTCAAGTTATCCACCCACCTCAGCCTTTCAAAGTGCTGGGATTACAGACATAAGCCACCGCACCTGTCTTCTTGTCATTTTAATTTGATTTTTCAAAAACCGAGACAGGGTCTTGCTATCTTGCCCAGGCTGGTCTCTCTTTACTCATAGGCTCAAGTGATCCTCCCACCTCAGCCTCTCATGTAGCTGGGATTACATCAGTCACTGCACCTGACTGGTGTAACCACTTTGGAAAACAGTTTCTCAAAAGGCTAAATGTACAACATCATAGAATGCAACAATTTCTCTCCTAGGTATATATCCCAGAAAAATAAAAATGTATGTCCACACAAAAACTTGTACATGAATCTTCATAGGAGCATTATTCATTAACAGCCAATACATGGAAACAACCCAAATGTTCATCAACTGAAGAATAAATAAAATGTGGTGTTTCTGTACCATGGAATATTATTCAGCCATAGAAGGAACGAAATACTGACACATGCTATGACAGGAAGGAACTCTGAAAACACTGTGCTAAGAGGGAAAAAAAAAAACAGCCACAAACAATCACATATTGCACAACCCTATTTATATAGAAGGTCCAGATTAGGCAAATCTATGGTGACAAAAAATAGATCAGTGGTTGCCTATGGGGAACACAGAAGCGTTGAGGGGAGTAAGCCACTAGCTTACTCCCCGCCATGTTCTTAGCTAGTGGCAAAGAACAGCGGATTTCTCTATAGGGTAATGAAAGCTTCTAAAATGGATAGTGGTGATAGATCACAGCTCCATGAATATTCTAAAAACCACTGAATTGCATACTTTGATAAACAAATTGCATGGTATGTGAACTACATTTCAATAAAGTTGTTATTTAAAAAAAGAAAATAGCAGACTGGACCCAGATGGCCCATGGCTGCCTATAATCCCAGCACTTTGGGAGGCTGAGACAGGAGGATCAATTGAGGACAGGAGTTTGAGATCATCCTGGGCAGCATAACACGATCCCATCTCTACAACAAAAAAATAAAAAATTTAGCTTTGCATGGTGGTGTACGTCTGTAGTCCAAGCTACTTGGGAGGCTGAGGCGGGAGTACTGCTTGAGCCCAGGAGTTTGAATCTACAGCGAGCCATGATCACACCACTGCATTGCAACCTGAGTGACAGAGCAAGATCCTGTCTCTAAAAAGGAAAGAAAAGAAATGCAAGTTTTTATCACTTTGTGAGAGTAACCAAGTTTGTAGAGAAACACATAAGAACAAGAGCACTGAATGGTGAGAGTGGGAGGCTGGTTAGGCTCATTGCTAGCTAAGGGACTTCTGAAAAATTCATTAGTAAAATCACAGCTCTGGGGGTCAGTCAGGCAGCCAAATGATGAATGTTAAATCCATTACAAATGCCCATCGTCTTTCTTTACATCCCTTCTAATGAAAAATTCCTAACTGCCTAAATAGCAAGTGTTCTCAAATGATAGCAGCTGTTTATTAAAGAAATAACACCTCAAATTTTAAAAACCATGAGTCAAATATTATTTTCTTCCTCCCATTTTATATGTGTGCAACCTAAAGAATAGAGAATTTAAGTAATTTTTCTAAGTGGCAGAGCACAGATTTAAATCCTATTACCTTGGCCTCAGAGTTTGTGCTTTATTTTATTTTATTATTTTAAAATTCACCTTTTTTAAAACCAAGAGGCTTATGCAAAATTCTGCTAGGATTCAAAAAAAGCCTCTTGCTTTTCCTGACTGTGGGTGCAGGCAGGGCTCATGCTGCATTTTCTTTACTTATAATTGGATGGAGACATGATGGATGGAGACATGACGACAGGAGCTCTCTTGGTCATTGTGCACCAGAAAGGAGAGTGAAGAGAGGCACAGGGAAGCCAGTCTTACCATGTTTGAGCAACTGAACCAATGTCAGCCTCAGCCTACCTGCACAATTACTTTTATGTGAGAAAAACAGGCATCTCCCTATTTTGATAATCACAGCTAGCTATAGTAGCAAACAATCCTCAAGTTATTCTTGGTAACATTATTCCTACAGCCTCAATCCTTTTAACTCATTATATTAGCTGTTCATTTCTCTGTTTTTCCTGACATCTAATTGACAACCAAAAGCTTATGTTATTAAATAAGCTTTGGATTAACGGGATCAATGAATGAAGAGTTTAAAGATAGCAAAAAAAAGTTCACAGAAGTACCTGCCAAATGTGCCAACTGACTACTATGAACTAATTTACTTTTGAGAAACATGCTATTTCTTATATGCTACTGACAGTGCCTATAAAAATGGTGCACATTAACTGGCTGTTTTATTTTCTCCCCAATCTTAATATCTAATATCCACAGACTGAGATTAGAGCACCAACGTATACAATGTAACTTCATACTAGAGTTAGAAGGGGATACAAAGTGTAGAAATCATAATCTTCTCCATAAAGTTCCTGTCACCTTGGAATTAACCTCCCCTTTACATAGTCTCATTGTTCACCTTGTTCACATCTTCATGGGTTCAGGCTCAGGTCTCTGTGGTCGCACAGTGTGTCTTTTTACCAAAAGGAACACCTCATGCACTTTTCCAAAAGGAGAAAAGTAAAGGTTTGAATGGATTTTTAGTTCTCGGCATTTTTGAACAGAAATAATCAGGTATTAAGTTGCTCAAAGATCCCCACAAGCTTTCATAGGAGAAACATCTAATTCATAACCAAGAGTTTATGTTATTAAGTAAGCTTTCCTTTAACAGGATCAATGAATGAAGAGTTTAAATACTCGCTCTAATCCCCATTCAGTCATCTGGTATACTCTCTGTGAGATATACTCTCAGTCATCTGGTATACTCTCTGCGTATGCCAGATGATTAAATGGAAATTATTGCACCACTAAACACCAGTACTGCAAACTCTTATTTAAAAAATCAACACCTAGGACAGAAAAAAATGATCCTAGGCTGGGCGCGGCGGCTCACACCTGTAATCCTAGCACTTTGGGAGGCCGAAGCAGGCAGACTGCCTGAGCTCAGGAGTTTGAGACCAGCTTGGGCAACATGGTGAAACCCCATCTCTACTAAAATACAAAAAATTAGCCGGATGTAGCCAAGCGCGGTGGCTCACGCCTGTAATCCCAGCACTTTGGGAGGCAGAGGCGGGTGGATCATGAGGTCAGGAGATCGAGACCATCCTGGCTAACACAGTGAAACCCCGCCTCTACTAAAGATACAAAAAAAAAAATAGCCAGGCTTGGTGGCGGGCGCCTGTAGTCTCAGCTACTCGGGAGGCTGAGGCAGGAGAATGGCGTGAACCCAGGAGGCGGAGCTTGCAGTGAGCCGAGATCGCGCCACTGCACTCCAGCCTGGGCGACAGAGCGAGACTCCGTCTCAAAAAAAAAAAAAAAAAAAGAAAAAAAAAATTAGCCAGATGTGACAGTGTGCGCCTGTAGTCCTAGCTACTCGGAAAGTTGAGGCAGGAGAATTGCTTGAACCCAGGAGGCTGAGGCTGCAGTGAGCAGAGATCATGCCACTGCACTCCAGCCTGGATGACAGAGCGAGACTTTCATCTCCAAATAAAAAAGAATGATCCTAACGCAGTTATTTCCTTTTGCAATTATGAGGAGATGGAAGAAATACCCATATTTGATGGTTGGTTGGGAACTGTCTTTGGTATTGTATGAAGTATTTTAATACTGTGAACATGAAAAGATGAGAACCCTGCAGACCCCGTGGGCATGGAGAGAAGGAAGTACATTAGAGGGTGTCGTAGGAAATACTTTGATTCCAGGCACTGCTGTTTAAACCACCCCTCAACTTCCTTTCCTTAAAAGAATAAAAAAAAAAAAAGCAGACAAAAGATGAAACATTCCATGTGACCCTCTGCACCCTTATTTGTTGTAATAAAGGAAAAGCATTTTAGGGATTTTCTTTAGTGCAGTTTATGATGTGATCCATGTTATTTACTCCCTGTTAATAATTTTCAAAATTTCAATTAAAGACATTCAGAAATTTAGCTTTATCACAGGCAGCTGTTCACAGGTAAAACTAGTTTGGTTACCTTCATCTGTATAAACATGAAGCTAGTGAATTGACATAACTATTAAACTGGAGAATTAACAGAAACATGGCAAGGACTGGCCCTTACCTTCCACAGTGACCTCAATTTCAGGAACCTTTTCATTACTCTCAGGGCTTCGTGGTCTTTTTAGAAACTGCGAAGCTGTAAAATAGAGCACAGAATTACTTTAGTATATTGTAGAAAAAAATACAGAAGGAGATGCTTTATAAGAGCAGAGCATTAAAATTCTTTCAGTTTGACTCTTTTCAAAGAAACCTGCAGAATTAAACTTGTAGTGTAATCCTCCACAGGGGGCTCAACAAAGCCATGGAAACATGAGTGAAGTGGGATTGCAAATGTGACACTTCCAACAAAATTTTTTTAAAGAAAAAGAAGTCCATTAAATAAAATACCTTAAAAAGGCAAGAAACTAACTGCAAGTCCCACAAAGATAGTGGACAATGATTCTGTGTGATTTAAAAAATGCTGATATAGAGTGTCTTAATGCAGTGAAATATAATACGAAATACAGGTAATCTCTTACCTTTAGTGTTTATTTTATTAGCCACTCCAGGAGGTAACTAGGAAATAACTAGTTCAGGTCTAGAAAGAAACTTACTTTTTACCAACAATGGTGGCCTCACAGCTAGTAAAACGGTTGTGATATGACCAGGGTTTTTTCCTAAAGCTGATCACAGAGTCATCCTGTAATGTCACAATAATTCCTATCATTGTGGATGAAAACCCTGACTTTTCCTTCCTATGACTGGCAAGTAATTGTCTGAAGAGTAAATTACTTCTTTCATGAAAAAGAAAATTAACACTAGTGTACTTTCTTCAGCCACTAAAGTTCTGCAGAAATGCAGATATAATAAGAAAAACTCAATCATCAGGCCAGGCATGGTGGCTCACACCTGCAGTCCCCATACTTTGGGAGGCTGAGGTGGGTGGGTCACCTGAGGTCAGGAGTTTGAGACCGGCCCGACCAACGTGGTGAAACATCATCTCTACGAAAAATACAAAAATTAGTCGGGCATGGTGGTGCATGCCTGTTATCCCAGCTACTTCAGAGGCTGAGGCAGGAGAATCACTTGAACCTGGGAGGCAGAGGTTGCAGTGAGTGGAGATCGCGCCATTGCGCTGCAGCCTGGGCAACAAGAGTGAAACTCTGTCTCAGAAAAAGGAGAAGAAACTCAATCATCAATATTTACTTGCTAATAAGATTGACCCAGGAATAACAGAGCAGAAAAAACCCAGCAGATTAAACTTCATTCAAGTACTTAGGTATAGTGCATGCCACCACAGTGTGTCTGAACATCGTGGAGGCAGCGGTCACTATTCTTGCACTGATGAAGATGACTGAGTACGGGATGGGGAATGGCAGGGGCAATGGAGAGTGCCAGGACTGTGGCTCAGAGCCAGGCTTTTCCATCAAGGACTTACAGCCACACCTGTCACCTCTAGCTAGAAAAACGTTTTAGTAGAAATGTCATTTTATTGTTTTAATTCCAGAAATGACGACAGTGGCAAATAAAACTTACTTTTTATTGTTGTTGTTGTTGTTGAGGCAGAGTCTCGCTCTGTCACTCAGGCTGGAGTGCAGTGTTGTGATCTTGGCTCACTGCAGCCTCTGCCTCCCAGGTTCAAGTGATTCTCCTGCTTCAGCCTCCCAAGTAGCTGGGATCACAGGTGCCCGCCCCCATGCTCACCTAATTCTTTGTATTTTTAGTGGATACAGGGTTTTCCCATGTCTGCCAGGCTGGTCTCGAACTCCGGACCTCAGGTGATCTGCCCGCCTCAGCCTCCCAAAGTTCTGGGATTACAGACATGAGCCACCACACCTGGCCTAAAACTTACTTTTTACCAACAGACTTGATGTTATTACTCCCACGGACGATCCTTTTAAGTCATGGAATTCCAAACCAGGAGGGCTTCAAAAGGGAATCCTGTCTGGCAAACCTTCTAAACATACAGGAACTCGGGGTTTGATTCAAACACAGGATATGGTTCTTTTACTGCCTCAGTGAGTCCAAGAGCTTAAGCTGAAAGAGAACATAATTTGTGAAAAATAAAATTTGACACAGACATTCTTTTATTTTTATCTGCATTCTCAAGTACATTATGGACAAGTTCCCTACAATCAAGCAATATTCACTTCATATTGAAGGCATTTTGCTTAGGATATTGGGCACATCTGAAGAACAAGCCTAAAAATTAAGTACTTTTGGGAGGAACATTTTAACCCTTTCACTCAAAAGAAGAGTTATGTTAGTAGCCAAAATGACCTCTGTGTTCTAAGCAGAAATGACCGAAGGCCATTCCACACACCAGTGGCCCTCGGCAGCCTTTGCATTCCATCAAGAGTCAGGGTAGCTGTTCAAAGACAGGTGGTGTCTATGATGCAACTAAGCAGCACTCAGTAAGTTCATGTCATCAGACACACAGTAGACAGGATTCCTGACAAGAGACAGGAAACATCAGCACCAGGTATTGAAATAATGGACAGGAATGCCCCAGGAATGCTGTGAGTGCTCCCCAGTCCTTACTTCCTTCTCCATGACAGATACACCTAAAACTGAAACATACTTTCTTGCTGAGCCTGTTCAGAATCGTTCAAGACAGCACTCCAGGAAACCTCTGTCAACAAATCTAAGTATTTGCCACACGTGTTAGCCAGATTTGAAGTACAGACAGTGGAATGACACTTATCCCAACGCCTCCCTTCCTCTCCCATCCTGACACATGAGAAAGCTGAATCCAAGAGAAATGAAGTCACCTGCTTGGTTTCGATAGCAAGTGTAGTAGTAAAAATAAACCAAAGCCCAGTTTCTGGGACCTTCCTTTTTTAGGTCCTAAACTTCTATAATTCATTCAGACATAACCCTTTACTGATACGTTATCAAATTAAAGACCAACAACAGGTGAAGGACTATGAGTCCCTTCATGTTCATATGAAAGGGCAAGACTCTTATCTCCAAAAAATAAAAAATAAAAAAATATTTCAATTTAAAAAAATAGTGTGATGGTCTTTGGCAATGTTTAAATAGAAAAGAAGAGTATCACTTTCAAATAAGCTGACACTTTCTGAACATGTAATAACCAGGGTCACAGAATCACAGAGGCCAGTGAGAAGACTAAAAAGTACCCCTGTGAGCCCCAGTGATACATACACCACCAGGAAAATTTCCTGTTCCTGTCGCTCCAACGAATCCACAGCAACATAATGTCGGCAAGTGACATGATCTGCCTCCCCTACCTCCAGGCAGCCACAGGGAAAGTGGAGAGCAAAGGGACCATTCCCTGTGTCACTGATAAATGAGGCTCAATGGGAAACACGAAGCATGAGGGGCACCCAAAGTTAGATGACAAGTTCAGTATCTCCCCTTTGTCTTCCTGCTTCAGGTATTATCTGCATCTTCTCTTTTCATGATAAGGAAAGAAGCAGCAATAGCAATAGCGTGTCTAAATGTGGGACTACCCATCGAGCATCATGGAACTTAATATAGAAGTTTATACAACCCTGAGAGCTTTCAGAACCTGGTGTCCTAACATGTACATCCAAGTTTTCTAAAGCTCTTGACCAGGCAGTAGACTATGAGCCCCCAGGAGTTCACGCAGGTTTTCTAGGATCTTCACACTGCTAACCACAGTCATGGCAACGCCTTCATTGCCTTTTTAAACAATTGTTTTCCCAATTGTCCCCTTAAAATTGGGCAGTTTAGGCTGGGCACGGTGGCTCACGCCTGTAATCCCAGCACTCTGGGAGGCCAAGGTGGGCAGATCACATGAGGTAAGGCGTTTCAGCCTGGCCAACATGGTAAAACCCTGTCTCTACTATGAAATACAAAAATTAGCTGAGCATGGTGGTGGATGCCTATAATCCCAGCTACTCAGGAGGCTGAGGTATGAGGTATAAGAATCCCTCGAACCCAGAAGGTGGAGGTTACAGTGAGCTGAGATAGTACCAGTGCACTACAGCCTGGGCAACAGGAGTGAAACTCCATTACACACACACAAAAAAGAAGCAGGCCCAAATATATATTTTTTTTGAGACGGAGTCTTGCTTTGTTGCCCAGGCTGGAGTGCAGTGGCGCGATCTCGGCTCACTGCAAGCTCCGCCTCCTGGGTTCACGCCATTTTCCTGCATCAGCCTCCGGAGAAGCTGGGACTACAGGCTGCCGCCACCACGCCCGGCTAATTTTTTGTATTTTTAGTAGAGACAGGGTTTCACCATGTTAGCCAGGATGGTCTCGATCTCCTGACCTCGTGATCTCCTGACCTCCCACCTCAGCCTCCCAAAGTGCTGGGATTACAGGCATGAGCCACGGCACCCAGCCAGGCCCAAATCTTAAAGTAAAACTTTTAGCATAGAAAATAAGAATTGGTGAGAACTCCATTCCCTGGTTACTTACCCCATAGGCTGAAGAGCTGCCTCTGCCTCTAAGGATCAGGGCATTCTGTTTTTGATGGCAGAATCTAAGTCAGAATGCAGCACAATCCCTGAAAAGTGAGAACATCAGGGTGAGTTATCCTGACCTTGAGACTGCTTCTCTCTTTCATTAAAACAAAACAAAACAAAATATATATATATACACGAACCAAGAAGCCGATCCCCTCTTGCCACCTCAGTTATTTGAACTCAGCTACTCAAGGTCTATTTTGTCGAGATCAAGGGCTCCCATGAGTGACTGTGAGGCAGATCTGATCACTCAGAGGGGGAAAGGTAACCTCATAAAACCTGAAGATGTGAAAGGAGAACATAGCTGCTGCTCAGAAACTCCACTAGCCCATCTTGAAAAGAAATTATCTACGAACAGAGTAATTCCCAGTTTCCAATTCTAGGCCTTATAGTTTTGCTGAGTGTCCCTAAACTTTTCTTTTCTTTTTTTGGAGACAGAGTCTTGCTCTATCCCCCAGGCTGGAGTGCAGTGGTGCAATCTCGGCTCACTGCAACCTCCGCCTACTGAGGTCAAGCAGTTCTGATGCCTCAAACTCCCAAGTAGTGGAGATTGCAGGTACATGCCACCATACCCGGCTGATTTTTGTATTTTTAGTAGAGATGGGGTTTCACCATGTTGGCCAGGCTGGTCTCGAACTCCTGAACTCAGGTGATCCGCCTGACTCAGAAACCCAAAGTGCTGGGATTACAGGCATGAGCCACCACGCCTGGCCTTCTGCTCTTTCTTATTTTGCCCACCTAATGTAAGAAAACTAAGGTAAAATACATTTTTTAAGCAAACTAAAAGGAAGCTCTCTAGGTGGTATGGCTACTATACTCAGGAGACTTTAACTTCCCTTGACCCAAAAATGGCTATCTGGAAGTCAGCATCCTCAGAGTACACTTCAGATGCAAACTAGAATACATCAGTGTAAACTAAGGAAGTCCACAGCCTTTGCTTGAGTAAAACTAGATGCAACAGGCCGGGCGCCGTGGCTCACGCCTGTAATCCCAGCACTTTGGGAGGCCGAGGCGGGCAGATCATGAGGTCAGAAAATCAAGACCATCCTGGCTACCACGGTGAAACCCCGACTCTACTAAAAATACAAAAAAATTATCTGGGCTTGGTGGCGGGCTCCTGTAGTCCGAGCTACTGGGGAGGCTGAAGCAGGAGAATGGCATGAACCCGGGAGGCGGAGCTTGCAATGAGCCGAGATCGCGCCACTGCACTCCAGCCTAGGCGAAAAAGCGAGACTCCGTCTCGGGGGGGAAAAAAATACACCAAGCGTGCACCACGCCTGGCTAATTTTTGAAACTTTTCTACAGACGGGGTTGCGTCACGTTGCCCAGGGCAGTCTCGAACTCCTTAGACCAAGCCATCCTCCCCCTCGGCCTCCCAAAGTGCTGGGATTATAGAGTCCAGCCAGCCTCATGTTTTCTTTAAGCAGTCCCTCCCTGTTGCACAGTTGGATAGTTTATTTTTTTATTTTTTTAGACATGGTTTACCTCAGTCTCGCAGGACGGAGTGCTGTGATGGGATCACAGCTCATGGCAGCCTTGAACCTTGGGGTTCAAGGAGCTGGGAAGTTGAGGTGAAACTACTGAGACTGGGTCGCGCCACGTTGCTGAGGCTGCTCTTTAACTCCTGGCCTGAAGGGATCCTTCCGCCTCGGCCGCATCCAGACATAGTTTTCTAGTTTTGACCCACAGAAACAGTGCTGGGTCGGAGTTTGTCAACTACCCATCTCCAGACAGCAACACAAAGGACCTGGCAGGGAGGTCGCGGTTACCAAGCTCCACTCTAAGGAGAAAACAGCCTAGCTCCAGGCACTGTACCGTCACTGTGACGTCGCGGAAGGCCCGGTGCTGTGACATCGCCGAAGACACGCGCCTTCGGCGAACGCCCGTCCCCGTGACGTCACCAGAGGTGCGCCCAATCGGAACTCGAGGCGGGGCTGCGGGGGAGGGGGGCCTGGGTCTTCCAGAAGCGCGCATGCGCAGGCGGGTGGCCACAGGCAGCTGTCAGCTTCTGCAGGCTCGGACCCGGCGGCAGGCAACAATAAGCTACAAGGGGAGCTTTACCACTGCCTGGATTACTACTACCTGCGCGTTGGGCGCAGCAAGGGCTTGACGCTACTGGAGCACGCGCTGCGCACCAACCTGCTGGCGCCCAGCGGGCACAAGCACAAGGTGGCGCAGAAGCTCCTCAATGGACAGCACAAGCCCGCTAGAGCCAGCTGCAGTCCTTGCCACGCACTCGCCTCACCTGAGGCTGTGTAGGTGCGGCCCCCAACACCTAACCCAGCCAGGTACCGGGGACCACAGCAGCGTCCCCTGCCGCCCAGCGCCGCTCATACTGGGCAGGGTTGGCCCCCTCTGAGGCTGCCCCGCATTAGGGAGCTGCACCCCCTAGCTTGACATCTGATGGCTGTTGCAGCAACATTAAAATCTTTGGAAATTTGTAGGGTGGTAGAAGGGGCTAGGAAACGAAGAAAACATCTTATTAAAAATAAAAGCGATCGGGCCAGGCGTGGTGGCTCACGTCTGTAATCCCAGCACTTTGGGAGGCCAAGGGAGGTGGATCACGAGGTCAGGAGTACAAGATCATCCTGACCAGGATGGTGAAACCCCGTCTCTACTAAAAATGCAACAATTAGCCGGGCGTGGTGGCGGGCACCGATAATCCCAGCTACTAGGGAGGCTGAGGCAGAGAATTGCTTGAACCCGGGAGACGGAGGTTGCAGTGAGTCGAGATCGCTCCACTGCACTCCAGCCTGGGCGACAGAGCGAGACTCCGTCTCAAAAAGAAAAAAAAAAGAATTGCTTGAGCCCGGGAGGTTAAGGTTACAGTAAGCCGACATTACGCCACTGCACACCAGCCTGGGTGACAGGACAGAGTGAGATCATGTCTTTAAAAAAATATATATGCAAGTGACAGCTTTTCTTCCAGTGCTAATGCTCAAACTGAGTAAAGTAATTGGGCCGGCCCCGTGGCTCAGGGGCCCTTAATTCCAGCACTTTGGGAGGCTGAGGTGGGCGGATCGCTTGAGCTGAGGAGTTCCAGACTAGCTTGGGCAACATGGTGAAACCCTGTCTCTACAAAAATACAAAAAATTAGCTGGGCATGGTGGCGCGGGCTTGTAGTCCGCACTACTTGCGGGGCTGAGGCAGGAGGATCGCTTGAGCCCAGGAGGTGGAGGCTGCAGTGAGCGGTGATCTGGCCACCGCACTCCAGCCTGGGCGACAGAGTGAGACACTGTGTCAAAAAAGAAAAAGAAAGTAACTGATCTATGTTTTTGTCTGATTTCCTACAGGATACCAAAGGACCTGTTCAAAGTATTTTCTGTAACTCCAACTGTAACTTGGTTCTAGAAGGAGAGAATCCATGTTTGGTCAACAGAACTTTTCACCCTGACTTCAGTTTACTGCTTCGATATCTTTTCCTAATTGATTGTTAATTAAGTTCTGCCTAGCAAGTATAAAAACCTCTGCCTCCTGGGTTCAATCAATTCTCCAACCTCAGCCTCCGCAGTAGCTGGAATTACAGGTGCCCACTACCACGCCCGGCTAATTTTGTGTGTGTGTGTGCGTGTGTGTTTTTTTTTTTTTTTTTTTTTTTTTGAGATGGAGTCGCGCTCTGTCGCCCAGGCTGGAGTGCAGTGGCGTGATCTCGGCTCACTGCTAGCTCCGCCTCCCGGGTTCACGCCATTCTCCTGCCTCAGCCTCCGAAATAGCTGGGACTACAGGCGCCTGCCACCACGCCCGGCTAATTTTTTGTATTTTTAGTAGAGACAGGGTTTCACCGTGTTAGCCAGGATGGTCTCGACCTCCTGACCTCGTGATCCGCCGGCCTCAGCCTGCCAAAGGGCTGGGATTACAAGAATGAGCCACCGTGCCCCGCCCACATTTTAGAAAACGAATTCTAAGGCACAGAGAGTTCAAGTACCTTTCCAAAGATGACACAGCTAATTAGACAGTAGACCAGGTGGCCTGACCCCAGGACTTTTGCCCTTGACCTCTACACTACCATGTTGAGCACAGCAGTAAATATTTCATACAGTTTTATACAGATTTTTCCTGTTGGTTGTGGTAAACCACGTATTGTTGTTTTGAGACAAGGTCTTGCTCTGTTCCCCAGGCTGCTAGTGTGAAGTGACACAAACATGGCTCACTGCAGCCTCAACCTCCGGGGCTCAGGCAATCCATTTCAGCTTCCCAAAGTGCTGGGATTACAGGAATGAGCCATCATGCCTGGCCTCACACTATATTTTAATGCTTTTTTTGAAAATAGAAACTTTTACCAATGACTCACTTCAAACTAATGATAAGGAAATGATGTTATTCTCTTTTGTTTTGTTTTTGCATTTTTTTTCTTGAGACAGGGTCTTGCTCTGTTGCCCAGGCTGGAGTAGGTAGTACAATCATGGCAGCCTCGACCTCCCAGACTCAAGCAATCCTGCCCCTGCTTCCCAAGTAGCTGAGACTACAGGTGCATGCTACCACGTTTGGCTAATTTTTGTTGTAGAGACAGAGTTTCACCATGTTGCCCAGGCTGGTCTCAAACTCCTGGGCTCAGCTATCCTCCACCCTCAGCCTCCCAAAGTGTTGGGATTACAGGCATGAGCCACTGTACCTGGTTGATGCTGTTCTTTTAAATGCATTTTTACTTTTTTTTGAGACGGAGTCTCACTCTTTCTCCCAGGCTGGAGTGCAGTGGTGCAATCTCGGCTCCCTGCAGCCTGGTCTTGAACTCCTGACCTCAGATGATCCACCCACCTCGGCTGCACACAGTGATTTTGCTCATTTTAGATACTAGAACTTTTTAATTAAAAAAAAAAATTCTTTTTTTGAACTGCAGTGCAGTGGCATTATCTCGGCTCACTGCAACCTCTGCCTCCCAGGTTCAAGCGATCCTCCTGCCTCAGCCTCTTGAGTAGCTGGGACTACAGGCACATGCCACCAAGCCCAGCTAATTTTTGCATTTTTAGTAGAGACAGGGTTTCACTATGTTGGCCAGGATGGTCTCGATCTCTTGACCTCATGATCCGCCTGCCTCAGCCTCCCAAAGTGCTGGATTACAAGCATGAGCCACTGCGCCTAGCCAAAAATAAATAAATAAATAAATTTGAGACAAACTCTAACTCTGTCATGCAGGCTGGAGTACAGTGGCAGAGTCACACCTCACTGAAGCATGAGTCTGGGAGCTGAGGCTGCCTTGAGCCATGATTTTGCCATTGCACTCCAGCCTGGGTGACAGAGAGGTCTTGTCTCAAAAAATCCATCCATCCATCAATCAATCGTTCCACTATAGGTAATCTGTCATTTGCTGTTTAACTACTTTCAAGGTTTTTTTTGTCTTTAATTCTGAGAGGTTTGTGACATATCCTTGCATAATTTATTTAATTTATCCTGTTTGTGGTTCATTCTCCTTCTTAAATCTACAGCTTTCTGCCTTTGAAAATTTGGGGGAGATCTTCAGCTGCTATTTAATTTTTTAGCCATATGCATTTTTCTCCTCTCCTTCTAGGACTCCAGTGACAAGAATGATAGATTTTTTTTTTTTTTTTTTTTTTTTTACCGTCCCACCTGTCCCTAAGCCTACACTTTAAAGGTTCAATTTTCTCTCTGTTGTTCACATTGGGAATTTCTATTGATCTATATCCCAGTTAATAGATCCATTCTTCAGTCACTGCAATTCTAATATGAATTTTTTTTTTTTTTTTTTTGAGATGGAGTCTCTCTTTGTCGCCTAAGCTGGAGTGCAGTGGCACCATTTTGGCTCATTGCAACCTCTGCTTCCCAGTTCAAGTAGTCATTCTTGTGCCTCAGCCTCCCGAGTAGCTGGGATTACAGGCATGCACCACCGTGCCCAGCTAATTTTTGTATTTTTAGTAGAGACAGGGTTTCACCACATTGGCCAGGCTGGCCTCGAACTCCTGAGCTCAGGTGATCCACCCGCCTCAGCCTCCCAAAGTGCTGAGATTACAGGTGTGAGCCACCATGCCCGGCCCTCTAATACGAAATTTAAGAACTTCCAGTTATTATCAGTTGCGATTCTAAAATTTCCATTTGGTTCATGTCTCCAGTGGTTTTGCTGGGGTTTTTTCATTTGTTTGAAGCATGTTTCTCTTTACTCATTGGTGAATTTTTATGATGTTTTCTTTAAAATCTTTGTCAGGTAATTCCAACATATGTGTCATTTGGTTCAGATATGATTTTTTTTCTTGACACAGAATCTCGCTCTTGTCATGCAGTCTGGAGTGCAGTGGTGCGATCTTGGCTCACTGCAACCTCCACCTCCTGGGTTCAACCTATTGTCCTGCATCAGCCTCCTGAGTAGCTGGGATTTTACAGGCTCCCATCATCGTGCCTAGCTAACTTTTGTACTTTTAGTAGAGACAGGGTTTCGCCATGCTGGCCAGGCTGGTCTCAAACTCCCGACCTCAGGTGATCTGCCCCCATCGGCCTCCGAACATGCTAGGATTACAGGCTTGAGCCACTGCACCCGGCCATTTTTTTTTCTTTTTTCTTTTTCTTTTTTTTTTTTTTTTTTGAGACAGAGTCTAGCTCTGTCTCACAGTCTGGAGTGCAGGGCGCAATCTTGGCTCACTGCAACCTTCGCCGCTGGGGTTCAAGCAATTCTCCTGCCTCAGCCTCCCAAGTAGCTGGGATTACAGGTGCCCACCACCACGCCCGGCTAATTTTTGTATTTTTAGTAGAGACCGGGTTTTGCCATGTCGGCCAGGCTGGTCTCAAACTCCTGATCTCAGGTGATCTGCCTGCCTTGGCCTCCCAAGGTGCTGGGATTACAGGCAGGAGCCACTGCGCACAGATGGTGAGTGATTTTTTTATTGTGTCTTGAAAGTCTGGGGTGTTATATTAGGAGGCTCTCAATCTGATTTAAATATTCTTTAGCCAACATCACACTGGTGGGAAAAGGGAGTTGCGACCTCATTACCATGGGTGGAGGCAGAAATCCAGGCTCCCCTCTCAGCCCCCACCAATACCACAGAGATGGTGGAGAGGACAGGAACAAACAATTCATGCTCACCTGGCAGGGCTGGAAGTTCAGTCTCCACCCAACCTCTACTGACACTGTGGAGAAAGGGAAGTGCCCTACACTTCCAAGAGCAGGGGGAGGAGTTTCAGGTTCCCCATTCAACCTTTTTTAACACACAGAGGATCCTGGGGGGAAAAACTAAGTACAAATTTCTTTTTTCGGTGGGGTGGGGCACAGAGGCTCATGCCTGTAATCCCAGCGCATTAGGAAGCCAAGGTGGGAGGACTGCTTGAGCCCAAGAGTTTAAAACAAGCCAGGACAGCTGGGCGTGGTGGCTCATACCTGTAATCCCAACACTTTGGGAGGCTGAGGCGGGTGGATCATGAGGTCAGGAGATCGAGATCATCCTGGCTAACACAGTGAAAGCCCGTCTCTACTAAAAATATAAAAACTTAGCCAGGTATGGTGGCACGCACCTGTAGTCCCAGCTACTTGGGAGGCTGATGCAGGAAAATCGCTTGAACCCAAGAGGTGGAGGTTGCAGTGAACTGAGATCGTGCCACTGCACTCCAGCCTGGGCGACAGAACAAGACTCCAACTTAAAAAAAAAAAAAAAAAAAAGTGAGAGGCTGTCTCTATAAAAAATTTTAAAATTAGCTGGGTGCAGTGGCACACATGTGTAGTCTCAGCTACTCAGGTGGCTGAGAAGGGAGGCTAGCTTGAGCCCAGAAGGTCCAGGCTGCAATGAGTAATGTTTGCAACACTGCACTCCAGCCTGGGTGACAGAGCAAGACCTTATCTCATAAAGAAAAAGAAAAAAAAGAATTTCACGATGGCAGCTACAGAGCCCTAAAGTCCAAGCACAGGGCACTGTGCAGTCACATCTTTGTGCTTCTCACTCAATTTTCTGTTTTTCATAACGATCCTGAAAGCTCTTGTTCTCTATAGGTGATTTATATTTGTTTCTATTGTAAATTAATTGTTTCTCCATAATATTTGCTAAGTAGTTAGTAATAATATATAGGAAAGTCATTTTGTACAGTTAGTTTTTATGGTTATTTTAGAATTTCATCTCTAAGATGGAGATGAAATTCTATAGTTTCAATATAAATTCTTTTGGGTTTTCTTTTTTCCTTTTTTTTTTTTTTTTTTTTCTGTGAAAGAGTCTCACTCAGGCCAGCATGCAGTGGTGAGATCACAGCTCACTGCAAGCTCAAATTCCTGGGCTTAGGTGGTCTTCCCCTCAAGCCTCCCCAGCAGCTGAAATTACAGGTACACACTACCATGCCCGGCTAGTGTTTTATTTTTTGTAGAGATGGGGGTCTCGCTATGTTTCTGATGTTGCTCTCGAACTCCTGGCCTCAAGCAGTCCTGCTGCCTTGCCTCCAAAAGCGATTACAGGTGTGAGCCACAACACCCAGACTTCTCTTGGGTTATCTACATAAAATAACCATTTACAAATAATAGCTATTATTTGTTCTAAGTTCAGACAACAACCCCATGAAGCAGTAATATTATTAACTCCATTTCACAACTGAGGGCTCTGAAACATGAGATTTGTTCAGGGCCAATGAGCTAATAAGTAGCAGAATAAAATTCAAAACCAAATCCAAGACTTCCAGCTCCAGAGTTCATGTCCTCACCACCAGACAATAATAGCTCTATACTGATTATGTTAACTCCTTTTTTATCTACTTTTATTTCTGTTTGAAGACTGAGTATCTTGACAAATGTCTCCAATGTTTCATTTTTAGGAATGATGATGGCTGCAGCTTAACCAGAAAACCTTTGTAGCATGAGAGTATTAATAATAATGTATATTTTCCTAAGAAAGAATCAAATCAATTTTTGGAACAGGGGTGGATTGCAAAACTTTATTAATAAAGACTTCTGTTCCAAAGGTTTATTCTAATCACATTTACCCTACATAAAATACCAACACCTTCTTGTTGCAAAAACAGAAACTCCAGCCATTGTATTGACACTGACTTAAGAGAAATAGAAACCTCTACATAAGGCAAGAGTCCGTACCAGAATAATTCAACCAATATGAGAAACCTCCAAAAAAATCAATTCAATGACCTACTTTAAAGATATGTGAGAGTCCCCAAAAAGTCAGTTTTTGTGGGAAGTTGGTATGCAGTTGATATGGTGCAATCTTGGCTCACTGCAACCCAACCTCCCATTTCAAGGAATTCTCCTGCCTCAGCCTCCTGAGGAGCTAGGATTACAGGCACCTGCTACAATGCTAAGCTAATTTTTGTACCTGTTTTGAGATCTTTTAGGCAATTTATCAGAAATGCTCCCTAAACATCCTGGTTTCCCGTCCCCCCACCCCTTACTTCGCAGGGTCTTAGCACAGAAAACCAAGTCCATAAGCTGCACCACTCCAAATTGATTAGCTTCACAGTACATTTAGTCGAAAGCAAATAAGCAGAGTTTAGTAGGAAGAAAAAGGAAGAATTCAGGTCAGGAGTGGTGGCTCGTGCCTGCAATTCCAGCTCTTAGAGAGGTCGAGGTTGGAGGACTGCTTGAGCCCAGGAGTATGAGACGAGCCTGGGCAACATAGTGAGACACGATATCTCAAAAAAAAAAAAAAAAAAATTAGCCCAGTGTGATGGTGCATGCCTGTGGTACCAACTACACAGCAGGCTGAGGTGAGAGGATTGCTTGAGCCTGGGTGGTCAAGGCTGCGGTGAGCTACGATTGTACCACTGCACTCCAGCCTGGGTGACAGAGTGAGGCCCCGTAGCAAAAAAAGAAAAAAAAAAAGGGGGGGGGGGGAAGTATTCAGCCTTATTAACTTACAGATAATTAAATACTGTCTTGCCTAGAATCAATAACCACTGTAACAAAACAATGCTTGAAAATCACTTCACATCCTCTGAACTGACCTTTTTAAAAAAATATCTCAGAAAATGCTATACAAAAATGCTACACAAAGCATCTTTGTACTGGATGTGAGAATACAAAAATTAGCCAAGCGTGCTTCTATGTGCCTGTAGTCCCAACTACTCAAAACAGTGAGGCAGAAGGATGGCTTAAGCCCGAGGGATTGAGGCTGCAGTGAGCTATGATCACACCACAGCACTCCAGCCTGGGCAAGAGAGCAAAATCCTGTTAAAAAAAAAAAAAAAAAATTCAGCTACTAGAATCCAACACACTTAGGCCTACAGTGGCCAACTCTACAGCATGTGGATTTTCACTAGCTACAGAAATCACGACATTCACACCTGCTAATTGGCAGAGGGGATCAAGTAAGGTAATAAATTTAATCTCAAAATAACATTTTAATTCTCCCAGAGAAAAATTTCACTACCCACGACTACCACTAAGTCCAAGCAGTGGGCTCTCATGAATGCCCAACCTTTTCCAACAAGCGTGGCGGACAGCAAAGGGTGCTGAAGCACGTGGTGACAGCACTGCTGGAGAGGCAGCGTGCCTCTATGGGTGCACATCTGCCGGTAACTTGGAACATCATAAAAGAGCCAAGGCAGCTTAATTTTACACCAAATTCTTGCCACTAGCAGGAATAAAACTTTCAGACTCTGGCCAGGCAGTGGGGTATACCAAAGGGTTCTTTCAGCTCTTAGATCATCCCTGAGGTCAGCTTCCTGGGGAACCCTCCTTGGCCCATCTGCCATGAAAGACAACGTGTGGGGGACAGATACATTGGGCAGTGCACAGGCCTTATCTTAACTTTTGAGTGCTTTTATTCCCTTATGAGGCTACTGTGTGAATTACATAACTTTTGCTTATTTTATTGTTTGGTTCCTTTAATCTTTTAATTCTAGGTTATAATTACTGTTACTATGTCTTGATCTATTTATTTTTCTTTTCTACTTATATGGAACTTATAAATAAGAATTGGGTAAGACTGGGTAAGACTTTTTTTTTATAACTTACTTTTTATTGAAAGTATCTTGCATTCATGATGGATGCTTTCTGGGTTTTACCACATATTTTAATGTAAAAAGTTAAATTATTTTTTACATGCAAGTAGTGTGAATAATTTTCTCCACATGGGAACAATGATTATAAAAACATGACATCCCACATGGGTTAAGTGTCTTTTTAATTGAAAAGCTAACAAACTGTCCAGTTATATTTCTCCCAAAAAACCACAAACTGGGTAGTAACCGAGTCTCTAGGCAATATATTTAAAACTAAGAGGATTAAAAATAAAATTAAAGAAAAAGAAAACAAGTCCTCAAATGCAATGAAGGGAGCCCTGCTACATACAGACTAATCATTACAGTGGTACTCCTTGACTGCAGGAGGCTGGAAGACATCCTAGTTAACTCCACTCAGAACATTTACTTCAAGAAGCCTTTTTCCAGTTTCCAACTCATGAATAAAGATAATATTTTGTTAATTCTATTCCAGAAAACTTTTTTGCAAGTTGTTTTATTTACAATGCCAACTTTTAAAAGGTCACTAAAGTTAACTGGACAATAAACTAGGCAGACATTACTTTACAAAAAAGAAGGAAAACCCAAAATGCCACTTATAGAGAACCCACAGTTCAGTTTTATTCAGAGCAAAAAAAAAAAAAAGAAACTTTTGATCATACTAGAAGAAACTCAGCCATAGGTTTGGAATCTGTACTCAAACTGCACATGCAATGAGGACAATATTCTGCTAATACAATTGACTTGCCACTGCTTTTGTCTACTGTTTGTCTAATATTAACAATTATAAACAGAGCAGTGCAACTAGTATTTGGAACAATCCTTACAGTGTTACAGTGTCAGGCACAACATTTCACTTCTCTTCACACCACTGGTTCTCTTTGCGTACCTGGGCTTCCTCCTCTTCAGTAAAGTCATTTTTGATATTGAATGTCTTGCGAATCTCCTCAGGAGTTTTCCCCTTGATCATATTGGCAACAGTCTTGCATGTAACATCAAGCAAACCTTTGATGTCTAAGTAGTTTGCAGCCCGAATGAGTTCAAAAAGTGTTCCTTGAGCAACTTTCAGGAATTCTTGGTCCCAAACAGGGATATCGTCTGTTTGCTTTTCTTTGTTCTCATCATCTTCAGGGGGAGGAGGGTCATCCTTGTGGTGGGTGCACCACTGAATGACCTTTTTTAATACTGCTGCATTCACATTTGGTAGAGGAACTGGGTCATCTCCTTCATCATCCATTCCCAAATCTTCCAACGTGGTCTTGATAGTCACAGATTGTTTGGCAATTTCCACATCAACTGCAAATATCTCTCCATCAAAACTCTGCAACTGAATTGAAGGCATAGTGTTTGGTGTTAAGGAGATGGCCAGCAGGAGGCTGACGAGAGCTGGGAGGCATCAGCGGAGGAAGAGAAAAGTGGAGGACGAAGCCACTACCGACTTTTTTTTTCTTTTTTTTTTTTTTGAGACAAAGTTTTGCTCTTATTGCCCAGGCTAGAGTGCAGTGGTGCAATCTTGGCTCACTGCAACCTCTGCCTTCCAGTTTGAAGCGATTCTCCTGCCTCAGCTTCTCAAGTCGCTGGGATTACAGGTGCCCGCCACCATGCCCAGCTAATTTTTTTGTATTTTAGTAGAGACGGGGTTTCACCATGTTGGTCAGGCTGGTCTCAAACTGCTGACCTCGTGATCCACACACCTCGGCCTCCCAAAGTGCTGGGATTACAGGTGTAAGCCACAGCGCTTGGCCCAAGATTGGGTAAGATTTTTAAAGCCATTTTTAATACCTTCATTTATCTTTAGACTTCTGCCTTTTATTGGTGATTTTTATTCTTTTAAAGTTTAAACCACTTTCTTGTTAATCTTTATTTTTCAATGTTCTTTCATCTGGCATCCTGTTCATCTTTATTGCTGACATTTTGAAAGCGAGTAAAAAGTGAATTATGTTTTATCTGGATGTGTGGCTGCTATTGCCATAAGGCATGGCTGGGGTGGAAAAAGGGAGAGAAGGGAAGGAAAAGGAGAATAAAGGAAGACAAACACCCCAAGGGATCTCTTCCACATGCTTCATCCTGCAGAGACCCCTTCCTAGCATCCTCTGGCCTGAAGGAATTCTTCGTGGAACTCTTTGGATTCCCATCCTGGTGTGTGATTCCATGATTTGCACTGCTTCAAAGTCTCAACTAGGAGATATGTGAGAAGAAAGCAACATACAGGAAACTCACTGCTGTCTAATAATTTCCCTCCCCAGCCTGCCTGCTATGATTTACTTTTCAGAGCCCTGCATAATTGCTCTATGTCTTCTCCCAGGGCTCTGCCTTCTCATGAATAGGAAGTATAGAGCTGAGTGTGCACTCCATCTCTGCTGGATCCAGGTGTCCAGGCTTATCTTTAATGGTGGTGTGAAAACAAAGGCTATACCTCCTCCAGGTCATGGCTTCTCAACATGGACACTCCTGACATTTGGGGCTGAATAATTCTTTGTTGTAGGGAACCATCTTGTGCCTGTAGAATGTTTAGTAGCATACTTGGCCTCTACCCACTAGATGTTAGTAGCACCCCACAGCTGTGACATTTTAAAATGTCTCCAGGCCCGGCTTCGTGGCTCACACCTGTAATCCTAGTACTTTGGAAGGTAAAGGTGGGAAGACCAATTGAGTCTAGGAGGTTGAGAACAGTCAAGGCAACATGATGAAACTCTGTTTCTACAGAATGTAAACAACAATTAGCTGGGCGTGGTGGCCTGTGGTCCCAGCTACTTGGGAGGCTGAGGCGGAAAGATCGCTTAAGCCTGTGAGGTCAAGGCTGCAGTGAGCCATGATTGTGCCACTGCACTCCAGCCTGGGTGACAGAGAGATCCTGTCTCAAAAATAAATAAATAAAAATGTCTCCGGATGTTGTCAAATGAACCCAGGACCACTAGTGCCTGGCTGAGAACCACTGCCCCCATAGCCACACAGAAGTCATGCAAGCGGAGCCAAATGGGAAAGGGTGTCTGTCAACAGATGAATGGATAAAGAAAACGTGGCACACATACACAGTGGAGTACTATTCAGCCATACCAAAGAACGGGATCCAGTCATTTGCAACAACATGGATGAAACAGGAGGATATTATGTTAAGTGAAATAAGCCAGGCACAGAAAGACAACCATCACATGTTCTCACTCATTTGTGAGAGCTAAAAAATTAAAACAACTGAAGGATGTTTTACCAGAAGGATGGTTAGCAGAGGATAGGAAAGGTAGTGGGGGGCAAGGGGGATAGTGGGGATGGCCAAGGGGTACCAGAAAAGTTAGAAAGAATGAATAAGACCTAGTATTGCTAGCACGGAAGGGGAACTGTAGTCAAAAGTAATTTAATTGTACATTTAAGAGTAATTAAGAGAATATAACTGGGTTGTCTGTAACATAAAAGCTAAATGCTTCAGAGGATGAACCCCATTTCCCCTAAGGTGATTACGACTCATTACCTGCCTTGATCACAATAGCTCATGGAACTCATAAATATATACACCTATTATGTACACATAAAAATTAAAAATTAAAAAAACAAAACAGAGAGAAAGGGAAATTTCCACCATCAGCCACAGGCCCTGACACTCTCTTTGTCCTAAACTCTTGGAGCTAAGAGGAGCTGATGATGGACTCTCTGGTCCCCTTCCTGGGGTGACACACACTTCCTTTCAGAAGTCCTGAAGAGTGTTCGACCTCAGGGCAGAGCACTTGATGACTCTCAAAATTTTATGCAGTTCTCTTCAACAGACCTCGTATTACTTGTCAGCCCAGAACATGAGTTCTCAGCCCTAGAAGAATGTGACCCACACTGCGTAACTTGACAGGCAGCCTCTCCTATCAAGTCTCAATATTTCTGGAACACAGCTACACTTCCCTGATCCCTTGGGCAACCCACCCCTACTTTCACCACTGATGGGTCACAGAAACACTCGCTACCAGCTGACGCCCCAATGAACCATGCCCTACCTGGGTGAAAGAGGCCAGGAAGGCCGGGGACTTCCTTATTAGCAATAGGTCGTAAAGGCTACGTTGGCTTGGACAAAACTCCCATGGAACACTCTAAATGTAAAGCAGCTGATCTTGAACTTTCTAGTAAGAGTCAGGAAAAACAAAAGTCCCAGGTCCATATTCAGGCTTTTAGAAGGCCTCCAGCTTCAACCTCTTTTTTTTTTTTTTCACCTTCAACCTCTTATGAGGTTCCCCGAGCAAAAGGTGCGGGGGGCAGAGTAGTCATGACCTATGCCATAGAATAGCAGAAAAGCTTGCAAGAAAAAAAACACATAGTATTGACCTAGGCCACTTGGATTCTACCCCCAGAACGTGCACAGGAAATTACAGAAACCAGTAATTTACTTAACAACAGGAGTTGACATGGGAAGATACACAAAGAGAAGCAGAACCCGAAAAGTGGAAGAATCACATCAGCAGAGAATGCCTGGAGCAGACCCTCTTCTGCGTAGAGGCAGTAAGATAGCCCACTCCCTAGAGGACCGTTGGGGCTGAGGTCCTGAAAGACTCCACCAGATTCTTTATAAACCTGATAATACCTTAAGCAAATCTCCATTTCTTCTGTAGCTTGGGTGAGTCTCTGGTTCCTGTAACAAAAGAAGCCTACTCGATGGCCAGCCTCCAACACTACTATTATCAGTTAACCCACTTCCTTTCCAGTAGAATTTCATTAACAATGTCTACATGAACAAGCCTTTCCAAGGCCTCTTTCTAATAAAGGAGACACTGGCCAAAGATGACCATCTCTCCGTTAAGATTTTCTTTTTAATTGAAACGTTTGTGCTGCACTCTTCCTGGGTCATTCCCATGAATGAGAAACAAACCTTATTAGGAGGCTGGACCTGTCTAGAACGGCAGCACCACATCAACCTGGGGAACTTCATTTATTTCCTGATTAAACCAGAAAAATAACTCACAGCGCTTCTCTAACAACCAGTCAGAGGCATCATTTTACTACGTTACTCCAGCGTGAGGATTACCTTGCCTTACCAGTTCCCTTCCTCTCTCCAAAATTATTTTGAATATATAAATGCAACTGAATCTTAAGAAATTTGTTCTATCATGGGAACAGTCAGCTGAATTTAAAAAACTACATAAAAAAAGAACAAAAAAAATTATTCTATCTGTATTTGACCTTAGTTTAGTTCAATGCCCAAGAAACGAGACCATAATCCCTGAAAATAAAGGGGGAAAAGAGTTAACCTGCTCTTCTGAATGCCATCAAATTCATAAAACTAACAATCTTACAAATCACTTTTACTACATTCCAATGTACCTTCAATAATCTGCATTTTACAAAGTTATACACTAATATTACAGTAAAATGTTAACTTTAAGGGGAAAACATCCCAATAAAAAGGCTCTTGGTTTCACTGACCTGTGATTGCCTTCAACACCGTATCAGACACTTCTGGGATGTCTTCATTAACAGGGACACACAGCATCTGAGGTGTAACCCAGTGAAGGGCTCTAAAGGGAGAGAGACAGTAAACAAGAGCTCCAAGGACAAACCGTGACCATTCGTCTTGTCACCTCCTTCAGTTTAGGGAAAGCCTGAGGCATCACTGACCACTCAGACAATCCCAGGCCCACACACATCACCTTTCGAAGTACTAGGTCAAATGACATGACAAAGCAGCTAGGATCCTAAAATGAGACTTCTCTTCTGTACTTATCACAAGAATGGAAGGCCATTTGCTGACTGAAGTGACGTTACACAGTGCTACCAAGACTGAAATGCACTCGGTATTTGAAAGTGACGATTTGAGAATTGGCTGCTGCCTGTCCTCACTGTCTACTGTGTTAATGTCCTTTTACACTCAGTCCTCAACTACTTTTTTTGTGGGGGATGGAGTCTCACTCTGTTGCCCAGGATGGAGTGCAGTGGCATGATCTTGGCTCACTGCAGCCTCTGCCTCACAGGCTGAAGCAATTCTCCTGCCTGAGCTTCCCGAGTAGCCAGGACTACAGGCGTCCACAATCAAGCTCAGCTAATTTTTGTATTTTTACTAGAGACGGGGTTTCACCCTGTTGGCCAGGCTGGTCTTGAACTCCTGACCTCAGGTGACCTACCTGCCTTGGCCTCCCAAAGTGCTGGGATTACAGGTGTGAGCCACCACACCTGGCCTCAGCCCTCAATTTCTAAGGCACACTGGAGCTCGCGTAGGACGCCACAGGCAGGATCACCATACCTGAATCACTGTGTGTTTCCTGGTCCCACCCTAACTGCACTCCAACTACCCTGCTGCAGGCCTCCCCTCTTGCTTGGTTACTGCTTTCCTTCTGCATCTTGGTCCAGGGCCCCTCTGGTTACTTCTGGCTCCTGACCTTGGGCTCCACAACTTCAGCCTGCCCAGTATCAACTCCTCACTTCAGCTGTGAAACTTCCAATACAGATCTAGCAAGTACCAGCCCCTTGTCTGGAACCTGGGACTCCGAGTCCCCTCTCCTCTTAGAACAACTCATCAGCTCAGCCTTGGCCCTGTTCCCACACTTGGGTGGTCTCTTCCTCAGTGTCCACCGCAACTGGAGTACACAGTGCTGGGGTTCACCCCAGTGAGCCTGGAAGACTGGGTGCTGTGGGAAATGTCATCAATCCAATGCTAGTGAAAGATGTGACTGGGGAATGGTGAAAAATGCACACCACTGGGAGGAATGAGGAAAGAGGACATCCACTGACTTGTTATTTTTTTGAGAAGGAGTCTTGCTCTGTTGCCCAGGCTGGAGTGTGGTGGCACGATCTCGCTTCACTGCAACCTCCGCCTTCTGGATTCAAGCCATTCTCGTGCCTTAGCCTCCCAAATAGCTAGAAGCACAGGCGTGTGCCACCATGCCTGGCTAATTTTTGTATTTTTAGTAGAGACGGGGTTTTACCATGTTGCCCGGGCTACTCTTGAACTCCTGGCCTCAAGTGATCCACCCACCTCAGCCTCCCAAAGTGCTGGGATTACAGGTATGAGCCACCGGGCCCAGCCGACATCCCCTGCCTTGATACGGATATTCACAGCTTCCTGCTTGAGGAAATGGTAATGGACCAAGAACACAGTCCCCCTGTTCCTTGGAGAGTTCAGAGATTGAAAACAATCTCAAACACCAAACACGACTTACCAAAAGCTGCCTTGAGGGAGATGGATAGGTGAGGTCACCACATTCCTTGTCTTTCTGACACCACAGAGCAGCTTCCACTCTAAGGAAGCAGAAACATGAGCTGTTGCTTTCTCTTAAGGTTTGAAACTCAGATGCCTTATTTTCCCCCAATATGTTCTTCCATCAGTAGGTAGTAAGCATAAAGCAAAACAAAATAAGCAACTACCTGATCCTCTTTTGAATGGCAAGATCTTTCATCTCATCATCAGTAGTTTCTGGACAGAACACATATTTATAGAGATGAGTCATGATGTACTTTTCAATCTGATCCATTTATCTTCTCAACTCATTCTGGAGGCACTGAAATAGCCAAACAGAAAAGCTCAAGAGAGTATATATACTCCTTGTACTGATAGTAAGTAAGCCACTCCTTGTACTGGCAGTAAGCATAAAAGTACTCACAGATTATATTAATCCTTCAGGAGAGTAAAACCCATCCATTAACATTATTTCCAGTATCCACTGTTGCAGGATTTTTCCTTAGTTCAGCTAAGGACGGGGTCCTTGTCCGTCTCAAGGCCACAAAAATTTAGGCTTACAGACGGTTTGAATGGTGAGTAAGGCAGGGTTTTATTGGGACTCTCACAAGGCCAGAGTCCCTGCTAGAGTGCTTTCTGCCAGCAGCTAGAATAATGGGTTTTACACAGTAAGAAGAGGTGCCAGGCTCCTCCCCGCTATCAACGGTGCAAACTTCAAGTTCCACCCCAGTGCACAGGCCAGCTGGAGTTTTTCTGGGGACCCCTTCCTACCTAGTGGTGTCTCACCATGACCATCTCATTCTTTTTGCTATATCTACATACTCTTAAATAGATTTAATGCATGTTTTGATAATTTACATATTTTATGGACACTTCTATTTATCTAACCCACCAAACATTTTTGGTGGCTTTATAGCATTGCATTATATTAACTGACTTATTCAACTCTCCTCTACCGCTGTGCATTTGGGTTGCTTCCCCTCTTTCATTGTTGTGCACTGTAGCAATAAATAATTTTGTAAGGACTATCTTCTTCTGAGTTAAATTCTCTGTGATACATTTCCAAAAGTGGCATTAACCACTTAATAAGAATAAACACCGTTACAGCACTAAGTATCTATTGCTAGCCACACTCCTCGGAAACTCAGTGCACACTGTCATTAACCACGTGTATGCGCTTATTTCCCTATGGCCCTTACAACAGTGGGCTTGATAATTTGTATTTGGTTTTACTGATTTTATACATAGAATATATGCATTTATTCCTCACTTTCTGCCAAAGAATATTTAAAGTCTATTTAAAAGATAAATGCAGTTCAGCACAACGGACTAGAAAATAAAAAGAGTAACAAATAACTGTAATCCCAGTGCTCTGGGAGGCTGCAGCTAGAGGATCGATTGAGCCTAGGAGTTTGAGACCAGCCTGGGCAACATAGTGAGAACCCATCTCAAGAAAGAAAAGAAAAGAAAAGGAAAAGAAAAGAAAAGAAAGATAATTTTAAAAATTTTTTTAAAATTTTAGGCCGGGCTTGGTGGCTCACGTCTGTAATCCCAACACTTTGGGAGGCCAAGGTGGGCAGATCACAAGGTCAGGAGATGGAGACCATCCTGGCCAACATGGTGAAACTCAGTCTATACGAAAAATACAAAAACAAAAGTATCCGGGTGTGGTGGCGGGCACCTGTAGTCCCAGCTACTCAGGGGGCTGAGGTGGGAGAATGGTGTAAACCTGGGAGGCGGAGCTTGCAGTGAGCCGAGATTGCACCACTGCACTCCAGCCTGGGCAACACAGAGAGACTCCATCTCAAAAAAAAAAAAAAAAAAAAAAATCACACATGGAGAGAGACCTAAATGACAAGACAGAAATGTTTTCCTGGAAGATGTCTAAATTAGTCAAGAGTCAGCCCATACATCTGTCTCTAACTAAACTTCTTAGCAATCATCATTAAGATGAAAACAGTTACGTAATTCAGGGTTCAAAAGATGAAAGCATGGTGTTTTTTAATTGGAGCATTTAGTCCATTTACATTTAAAGTTAATATTGTTATGTGTGAATTTGATCCTGTCATTATGATGTTAGCTGGTTATTTTGCTCGTTAGTTGATGCAGTTTGATGAGTTCATGTCCTTTGTAGGGACATGGATGAAATTGGAAATCATCATTCTCAGTAAACTATCGCAAGAACAAAAAACCAAACACTGCATATTCTCACTCATAGGTGGGAATTGAACAATGAGATCACATGGACACAGGAAGGGGAACATCACACTCTGGGGACTGTTGTGGGGTGGGGGGAGGGGGGAGGGATAGCATTGGGAGATATACCTAATGCTAGATGACAAGTTAGTGGGTGCAGCGCACCAGCATGGCACATGTATACATATGTAACTAACCTGCACAATGTGCACATGTACCCTAAAACTTAAAGTATAATAATAAAAGAAAAAAAAACTTAAAAAAAAAAAAGATGAAAGCAAACAAATTCTTCAGGTGAAATTCTGACACCAAAATCAAAAATTTCTCCCAATGGTTCTCACAAGGATGTCACAGTAGAAGAACATGAATAAGGCTGAGAACAAACCCCCAGGACTGGCTGTCACAGACCTCATCTACACAGGCCACTGACCTCACACGCCAAGCACCGATACATCCTGTGGAAGCCTGCAGCAGTCGACCATCTGGCTTAACTCTAAAAGGAAGGCAGGACACTGGGGGTCAGGGGCAGTCACCTCATTCCCTCAGTGAAAATGGCCAAGCACTCAAGCACACATGTGATCATGGTGATCACAAGTCATGGGATCACCTTGACTGCAGCCCTAATCACTGTCAACTAGTTACCCATATACATGCCATTTGGTTGAATTAAAATTGATCCCTCAACTATAAAAGCCTAGGTGCTACCTTTAGTAAAGTTTAGATATTTCACTATATGAAGCTCTTATTTATATTCATGACTTCCCATGTTTTATTTTTTATTGCACAGATTTTTAAAAAGTTAATACTATTAAGCCTTTTATCTGGTCATTAAAAACAATTCTTTTGGCTGGGTGCAGTGGCTCACGCCTGTAATCCCAGCACTTTGGGAGGCCGAGGCGGACGGATCACCTTAGGTCAGGAGTTCAAGACCAGCCTGGCCAACATGGCAAAACCCGTCTCTACTAAAAATACAAAAATTAGCTGGGCATGCTACTGCACACCTGTAATCCAGATACTTGGGAGGCTGAGGCAGGAGAATTGCTTGAACCCGGGAGGTGGAGGTTGCAGTCAGCCAAGATCATGCCATTGCACTCCAGCCTGGGCGGCAGAGCAACACTCTGTCTCAAAAACAAACAAATTTCTTGTAAGTTTTTAATTTTATTTCTCTTTTTTTTTTTTTTTAATATATAGAAACAAGGTCTCACTATGTTGCCCAGTCTCGTCTCAAACTCCTGGGCTTAAGTGATCCTCCTGCCTTGACCTCTAAAAGTGCTAGGATTACAGGTGTGAGCCACCGTGCCCAGGTAAAACAATTTTTTGATGGTTCAATTTTTGCTCCTCTCTACAGCTGAAATACGTATCCTAAGGTACCGTTCATATATTTTTTTCTTTTTTTTTTTTCCCCGAGATGGAGTCTCGCTCTCTCACACAGGCTGCAGTGGTGTGATCTCATTGTAACCTCTGCCTCCCTGGTTCAAGCGATTCTCCTGCCTCAGCCTCCCAAGTAGCTGGAATTACAAGCATGAACCACCACGCCCAAGCTAATATTTTATTTTTTTATTTTTTTGAGACAGTCTTGCTCTCTTGCTCAGGCTGGAGTGCAATGGTGTGATCTTGGCTCAGTGCAACCTCCACCTCCGGGTTCAAGTGATTCTCCTGCCTCAGCCTCCTGAGTAGCTAGGATTACAGGCACCTGCTACAACGCTCAGATAATTTTTGTATTTTTAGTAGTGATGGAGTTTCCCCATGTTGACCAGGCTGGTCTCAAACTCCAGTTTTTGTATTTTTAGTAGTGATGGAGTTTCCCCATGTTGACCAGGCTGGTCTGAAACTCCTAGCCTCTACTCATCTGGCTGCCTTGGCCTCCCAAAGTGATGGGATTATAGGCATGAGCCACCATACCCAGCTCATATCCTAATCTACTTTCTTCTCAATTTTTTCATGTTTAGCTCTTTGATTTGGCTGGAATGTAAGGTGCATGGTATGAAACAGAACTAAAACTCTATACAAGTGTATCTGTCATCACCATCAGCAGTTAGTAAAGCACAACCTTGTTCCCCCTCGTCCTCCAGGTGTCATGTAACTTGCTCCTGAGAAATTAAATCTATTTCTGAAATCTCTGGCTGATTTCACTGTTCCGTATTTTCATTTTTTACCCAAATCTCATCTAGGTGTGATGACTTTCATTTTAGAATATATTAAAAACTCTGCTGGATTTGGAAACATCCCCGCTTCACAAATTCTTGCTTTTTACCCCCTCACACAAAAAAAAAACATATGGTATATTTGTTTCCCTCTTTTTCTATAATAAATAATGTAACACAGTGATTCAAATGATATTTTAAGTGTTTATACTGACCTGCAAAGTATTTTTTTTTTTTTGAGACGGAGTCTCACTCTGTTGCCCAGGCTGGAGTGCGGTGGTGCAAACTTGGCTCACTGAAACCTCCGCCTCCCAGGTTAAAGCAATTCCCCTGCCTCAGTCTCCGAGTAGCTGGGACTACAGGCGTACGCCACCACGCCTGGCTAATTTTTGTATTTTTAGTAGACACAGAGTTTCGCCATGTGGGCCAGGCTGGTCTGTAACTCTTGACCTCAAGTGATCCACCTGCCTCAGCCTCCCAAAGCACTGGGAGTGTGATGACTAGGTTTTCACACTGGGTTTTCATGTGTGAGATATGCCTTGCTCAAACCTTGTTACAGCACTGGCACATTGCCTGTCGGATGTGAAGAAAGACAAAAAAAAGACCCTCATGCACATAACGGTGGAACTTGGCTCTGACAGGGTTCAGCTTGGTGGTGCTTGCTGAACACTTCCTGAATCTGACCTTCACTCATTGTGAGAGTTTCACAGAGGTTCTTCAGGTGATGGTTATTGTCTTTAATTTCTTCTTCTGGAACACACTGTGTTGCCTTCTCCAAAACATCTGCAACCTCTAACGAGTCCTTGCAGAAGCCCTGAATGCTACACATATTTGCCTCCTCCACCAATTTTTGGCTGCTCTGCTGCAAGCCCTCAGTATCTGCCAATGCTTGCTTATCTTCTTCCACAACCTCCTTCAGTTGCTCTTCTAACTTGACTTCTTCCATGAGTATCTTGTCCATAGAGGGAGTATCTGTCCCCCATTTGGTTTGGATCCACATCCTCTTCCAACTGCTGGCAACTGTTCTTTTGTTTTGTAACTGCGTGCGGAACAGAGAAGGCCTGGAGACAATGCCAACACCGGGATACTGTGTGGCACCAGCCTCACGCATGGAGCTGCCACGGCTGCTCCAGGTTGATGATTTAAGTTTCCCCTCGCCTATCACTATATGCCTCTATGACACGTTTTTAATTATTTTTATTCCTTCAGCGTAATTATCAAATACATCTTTCATCTACTTTTCTTCCTTAAGACTTACAGATGCTGAGAGCTCAGAGCTATTTCCACTGCCTCACTTCTCATCCTCAGTGCTTCTAGTTTTAAACTTAGGTCCTGGGTTGCTAGCCCTGCTGAAGTTCTCACAATAAGCCTATTTGCTGGTTAAAGTATGTTTTGGATACATACTTCTGTTCTTCTTATAGTAATTACACAGCAGGGCAAATTAATCCTTGCATAAATATATAGTTTAGAAGAATGGAGTGATTTTAAAATATAGAAGGACACCTATCTTTCTACTTATTCTGGGAAAGATCATGGAAATGAAGATATAGCCATGTCTTAAACTGTGTATTTTTTGTCCTCATTCAGGTACAAGGCTTTAAGTACATAACATATAATCAGTATCTCATTTTTTTTTTTTGAGACAGAGTTTTTTTGCTCCTGTTGCCAAGGCTGGAGTGCAATGGTGCAATCTCGGCTACCTGCAACCTTCGCCTCCCAGGTTCAAGTGATTCTCCCGCCTCAGCCTCCCTAGTAGCTGGGATGACAGGCGCTTGCCACCACGCCCAGCTAATTTTTTGTATTTCTAGTAGAGACAGGGTTTCACAATGCTGGCAAGGGCTGGTCTCGAACTCCTGACCTCAGGCGATCCACCTGCCTTGGCCTCCCAAAGTGCTGGGATTACAGGCATGAGCCACCATGCCTGGCTCAGTATCAGATTTTTACAGAAGGACTGGCTAGAAAAAGACCAATGAAACAAGCAAAAGGTGTTATGTTGTGCTTAACTGCTTCCTGAGAAAAAAGAGCTTATCAGAATGACTATTAAGAAGTCTTGGTGTAGAAACTGAATTGATTGCCATGAATGGAGTATTAAGGGATTAATAAAAATTAAAAAAATAAAAATAACTGAATTGAGAAACCCAAAAAATGGGCACCCCAGCCCATTTTAATAATAATTATTATTTTTATTATTCAAGTTATGTTGTACATACTAGGTTTTAAAATTTAAAAATTTAAAAATTAAGCTTTATTAATTTGGCTCATCAATTTAAATTCTTGCTATGATGATTTGTAAGAACAGAAAAGTAGCTGGTGACAACCGTATGTTCAACATAAAAGGATTTTGTGTAAATGACATAGTTGCCTGTCTCATTTGCAATAGAAATATCTTGTTTAAAGGACCTATAGAGGTACTATAAGAGTATGCATGTTTTAACATTAAATAGCTACTAAGAATAGCAAGAAAGAAAACAGAGCAAAATAAGCTACAGAAAAGTATTAGCAAACAACAGTATTTGCTGAATAGCACTAGGTGCGGTGGCTCACACCTGTAATCTCAGCTCTTTGGGAGGCCAAGTTGGGAGGATCACTTGTAATTCAGGAGTTCAAGACTAGCCTGGGCAACATAGGGAGACCCCGTCTCCACAAAAACTAAAAAACTCAGTCAGACATGGTGGTGTGCGCCTATAGTCCCAGCTACTCAGGAGACTAAGGCAGGAGGATCACTTGAGTCTGGGAGGTCAAGCCTGCGGTGAGCTGTGACTATGCCATTGGGCTCCAGTCTAGAAGACAGAGTAACACCCTGCTTCAAAAAAAGAAAGGAAGGAAGGAAAGGAAAGAAAGAAAGAGAGATGTGTTGCATAGTAAAGCATTACATGGAAATATTGCAGTGGGTATGAAAATTATGTAGGTGCTGAAATTTAAACTCTAAAAACAAAAAACATGTAAGTGTAGATAAAGTGTTTCTTGATAAAGATAAAATGGCTTAAAAATTTTAATGCAGTTCGGAAAAGATTTAATTTTCTAGACTTGACCCATATGCTGAAAAGGCTGCTCACCGCCGGCATATACTGGGATTGGTGAAAACAGAAATTATGTGGGAAAACATGTGGGCAAGAGCAGATCAGTCTTCTGGATCTCAGAAATTTTAGAAAGCATAATACTGTGGGATCCAGTAGGAACAATTATCCGTTTATGGCAAGGCTGCCTGGGCAGTTTTTAAACAGGTAAGAATGAATTCTCATATTGCATAGGCCCTTAGGATGCCATCTAGAAAGTTTAGTTGGTGGGAATAACATGAATTTAAAGTTTTTGAGCAGTTTTGATAAACTGAGTACAAAGGCTATTTTATACTACCACATTCTTCACAACGTCAGAGGAACTGCCCCAAGAAATTTATATGATTACTGATCTGAAGTTAGTTAGGTTAGTTCAGGTGTAAAGAGTGTTTATTTATTTATTTCAAAGGACATTAACTTGCAGCCAAAGGCCAAAAGGGCTTCTCTAGGGACATCCAGTTTAAAAAACATTTCTTTCATATACAATATGTGCAGACTTCATGTTGGTCACTAAAGATACCTGAGATACATGCATAGGACTTGGCCACCTAACCATGAAACACGTAGTGTAGAAATGGAAAATAGGTGGCTTAGTGGCTCTTAAAACAGGAGAAATCTGAGGCCATATCCAGGTCTCTGATATAAACTAGTGATGCCTTACAAATAAACATGGTGATATTTGTACCAGTTAATTACCTCTTTACTTTAGTACACTAATTTAGAAGTCTACTAAATTATTACAGAACAAGAACACATCACACTTCTGAGCAAAAGAAAAACATCAAATCCAAGTTGAGCAATTTTCTAAAACATATTATTATACAGCATATATGCTTAAGTACTACAGTATACATATTCTAAGTTAGTATAGCTATCCCGTCAACATTTCAGGTGGGCTCAAGAATAAATACAAAACCTCAGTTTTTAGTTCTGATAAAAATGAAAGATGTATGTCACATGAACTCCGAATTTTTCCACATTAAGATATCTATCATGGTTCCTAACTTAAAAAAAAAAATCAATAACAGCTCACTTGTTTTAACTCCAAATATTTTACTCTAGAGAGAAAAAATATCTAGAGAAAGACAGCTACTTACTTACACAGTCTAATTACATTTCTGAAGGGCAAGAAAGCAAGCTTTTCTCCTTTACAAACTGAATTCAATATCTAAAAATTATTTCAACACAAGTCCACTGCTTATTAGCCTAGTGATTGCTGACCCCAGCTAGAATATAGCTAAACAGTTAAACACCCTGCTGCTTTTCTAATTTCCTTTTTCTTTCTAAGACTTCCTTACTGCATAGAAGGAACTTTTGGAGCTAATTCTGAGTTTAATGGTTATAGAATGTTACAACAGAATTAATCCCTATTTACAAAATGATTTCCTTTACAGGGAGTCTCATGAATTATTGCCACTGAAATTATGGGTCAGAAATTATGGATAAAAGAAACAGGTGTGGAAGTCACAACTACTTGACATTGGCAAAATCTAGCTGTGTAACCTGGACAAGTCACTTATCCTCTTGGGCTCTCAACTTCCTCATCTATAAAATAAAGGGACTGAAACTCCATAGCTGCTAAAGTCCCTTTCTTGTCTAAATTCTATCTGTCCTTTCTCTAACTGAATGAAAAAATTCAAAATCAAAATACAAAAAACAAAACAGAATTCAACAACAACAACCCTTAAAATTACTGCCACTGGCCTAACAATGGTTGCACAGAGTTAAAGGTCTACTATGGCAGTTTATACTATTTACAAGGTCACAAGTCAAAAAGGCCTGTTACTAAAGCACATAATTCAAGTGGCTTCAAGGTCAGAATTTCCACACAAAGATGATTCAAACACCACTGAGTTGCAGTGGAAAAGTACTAGCCTAAGAGTTGGGTTTTAGCTTGATTCAGAGGCTTTTCTTAGGTAAGTAATTTAACATCTCTTGGTCTTGATTTTCTCAGGCATAAAATGACAAGGTTGCACTATATTATCTCTAAGACCTTTCCTCAAACCAAAACTCTATGTTTCTATGTGATTATTCTCAACCTACCCTTTTGTAATGCATCCCTTCCAAAAACAGCTTGGTCAGTTTATAGATTTCTTGGCCTGTCTTGCAGAAGGTCTTGAGAAATTCTATGAACTCCTTAGACACTCTATCCATTTCAATGCTGGTTTGCCGGTTTATGGAAGGACTGGGAGCTTTTGCTTCCTGAATTTCAGCTGGGAAAATTAAACATAGTAAGTTTCAAGACATAAAAGATCCATGCATGGAATTACTTTAAGTATCTTACCTAAGGTTATTTAAATTATGTTTCATCAAAGTTAAACTTGAATTTAAATCATTTTATGTTTGAGTGGTTGGACAACTTCCCTTAAACTAAATCTGTTTTACAAGTAGAAAGTATGAGTAGACAAAACTACATTATCTAAAAGATATTCCTACTGAAATAAAAGTTGTTCTATTAGTATTTTCTTTGCCAAAATCTATCATGCTTTGATCTATCTATTCAATCATGAACACTGAAATGGCACCACTAGGCTTCTCAAAGACTGCTGGAGTTTATAAAACTAGTCAACAAATAGAATAACAATCAATAGAAGCACTGAAATGTTAGGTACTTATAAATGTCAGACAACCTTTCCAAATCCCATTTTACTTAACAAAAAGGCAAAGGTTAATGTGTTTATGTGGAGACTCACAATTATTTACCCACCATTTCGTTGGTGAGTCATACTGATCAAAGTGAAAGAACGCATCCAAAGTATTAATAGCAAGATGAACACGACAAAGCATAAAATGAAGAGACAAGGGAAACATGCACTACACTATCCCACCGGCTGGGCAGACAATTCTTTCCCCTCTTCAAATAAACACACTGAAAGGAAAATGGAACATTTACACAAGAGAGATAAGGATGTTGTAACAGGCAGTAAGTGCTTTCAGAAAGTATGAACTACCACTTGGTCTCTGACCACATTCTAAGCCTCCTGATTTTGAACTATGCTCTCTAATGTTTATAAGGAATTTAAGTTCCCCATATCCCAATGATTTCCTAAAAATAATTTTTTAAAAAGGTATGTTTTATTTGATTTTTTTTTTTTTTTTGAGACAGAGTACTGCTCTGTCACCCAGGCCAGAGTGCAGTGGCAAGACTTTAGCTCACTGCAACCTCTGCCTCCTAGGTTCAAGCGATTCTCCTGGCTCAGTCTCCAACTAGCTGCAATTACATGCGAGTGCCACCACACCCAGCTAATTCTTGTATTTTTTTTTTGTTTTTGAGACGGAGTCTCGCTCTGTCGCCAGGCTAGAGTGCAGTGGTGTGATGTCGGCTCACTGCAACCTCCACCTCCTGGGTTCAAGCGATTCTCCTGCCTCAGCCTCCCAAGTAGCTGGGACTACAGGCATGTGCCATCATGCCCAGCTATTTTATGTATTTTTAGTAGAGATGGGGTTTCGCCATGTTGGTCAGGCTAGTCTCGAACACCTGACCTCAGGTGATCCGCCCGCCTCAGCCTCCCAAAATGCTGGGATTACAGGCGTGAGCCACCGCATCTGGCCAGAAAGTATGTTTTAAAGATATTAACCTACCTATTCTACAGTTTCTTAAATTTTTTTTTTTTTTGAGACGGATTCTCACTCTGTCACCCACGCTGGAGCGCAGTGGATCTCAGCTCACTGCAACATCTGCCTCCCAGGTTCAAATGATTCTCCTGCCTCAGTCTCTCAAGTAGCTAGGATTACAGGCATGCCCCACCACGCCCAGATAATTTTGTATTTTAGTAGAGACAGGGTTTCACCATGTTGACCAGGCTGGTCTCAAACTCCTAACCTCAGATGATCCTCCTATCTCAGCCTCCCAAAGTGCTGGAATTACAGGTACAAAACACTGCGTCTCGCTCTCAGAGTAATTCCTTATAATCTTTGATCTTCAGGAGTTTTTTGTTTTTTTTTTTGAGACGGAATTTCACTCTTGTTGCCTACACTGGAGTGCAATGGCGCGATCTCAGTTAACAACCTCCACCTCCTGGGATCAAGCGATTCTCCTGCCTCAGCCTCCCGAGTAGCTGGGACTACAGGCATGTGCCACCACGCCTGGCTAATTGTGTATATTTAATAGAGAAGGGGTTTCTCCATGTTGGTCAGGCTGGTCTTGAACTCCCGACCTCAGGTGATCCACCAGCCTCGGCCTCCTAAAGTGCTGGGATTACAGGTGTGAGTTACTGTGCCTGGCCTAACATTTCTATTTCTCCAAAATTTTCTACTAATAAAATCTTACATGTACCAAATGAAATATGTACATTTTAGCATTACTGGTAATAGCAAAAGACTGGAAATAACTGGCCATCACTGAGGGACTAAATAAATTATCCTTTAATCCATAAAATAAAATGCCATAGGGTTTTAAAATTAAAAAGTATGCTTCTTGTGTACTGATATGGAAAGAGCTCATAAATGTATTGGAAGCAAAAACATAAATTAGCAACATAGTGAGATGCGCTCTCTACAAAAAGTAAAAACATTAGCCAGGCATGGTAGTGCGTACCTATAGTGCCAGCTATTTGGAGGGGCTGAGGCAGAAGGATCGCTTGAGCCCAGGAGTTTGACTGCACTCCAGCCTGGGTGACAGAGTGAGACCTGGTCTCAAAAAAAAAAAAAAAAAAAAGTAAGGTATGTACACTGTGCTATGTTTTATATAAAACGGGGTAGTGGGGTAAGAATATACGTTTTTATAAATTAGAATAAAAGCACAGAAAGAGGATACACAAGAAACTAATAACAAAAGTTCTGGGAAAGTAGGGGAACAATAGGCGGGACGCGGTGGCGCACGCCTGTAATTCCAGCACTCTGGGAGGCCGAGGTGGGCGGATCACGAGGTCAGGAGATCAAGACCATCCTGGCTAACACGGTGAAACCCCGTCTCTACTAAACATACAAAAAATTAGCTGGGTGTGGTGGCAGGCGCCTGTGGTCCCAGCTACTCGGGAGGCTGAGGCAGGAGAATGGCATGAACCCGGGAGGCGGAGCTTGCAGTGAGCCGAGATCGCGCCACTGCACTCCAGCCTGGGTGACAGAGACAGACTCCATCTCAAAAAAAAAGAAAGTAGGGGAACAATAGCAGTGGTACTTAGGAACTAGATGGGCGAGAGACAAAGTAGAAAGGAAACTTCTAACCGTATCTGTTACGTTTGAGTCATTTGGATATACTACCTATTTTTTTAAGCACATAAATAAATCAGGTACAATCTAATTCAAAACAAAAAGAGCAACATCTTTTCTAAAATATTTTTTATGTAAATAAAAAACCAAAGATTGTGCTGACATCTGTATGATTAGGAAAAAAATCTTTATCAAAAATCCTTCTCTGTCAGATAATTCCACTTCCAGTCATGACGGAATAATCTGATGGCATCAGGTTTACCCTACTATCTTAACAACTGCAACGTCAAATATATGAAAGAAAGGTTTTCAGACATTGGACGACAGGTAAACAGCAGATTAACTCCTGAAAGACAGGAAACAAACACAGTCTGTCCTACAGTGTCCCAGCTCACTGCTGGGAGAGTTTTAAAGTCTTGGCACAGGGAGAGGCCACTCAAACACAGCTTAGCTGAATTGCTGAATTGAGGAGATAGCATTTGGAGTTCAGGGAGGCCAATGTGACCAGAATTTGCATGGCAAAATATCATGCAAACGCTATGGAGGGGAGAGGGCTAACAGAAAAAGCTCCAGGTATCTGCAGAGGGTTCCCTTGAGTGTGGCTGAGTACTACACATGCATATGAGGAAACTACCCAAGATGAGAGAAAGAACCACCAAGTAGCATGTAGAACCACAGCACGAAGGACGGGAGGAAGAAATATAAGAATCCTGTTTAAGATTCTTATATGTAAAGTCGTATAATACTATTATTAAAAAAATTTTTTTCTGTAAAGTGGTATAAATATTACTTGAAGGTAAGTAAGTTAAAGATGTATTCTGTAAAGCCCAGAACAACCGGTAATAAAAACCAAACAAAACAAAACAGAACAAAGAGGTGTAGCTAACAAGCTGATAGTGGAGGTAAAGGTGTGGTCATAAAGAAGGCAAGAAAAGAGGAGAAAAGGAACTAAGACAAGATGAGATAAACACAAAGAGCAAGATGACAGGGGTAAAACTTCCCTTATCAAAAATCACATTAATTACAAATGCTATAAACAGTCTGATTAAATGTCAGAGATTATCGTATTAGATTAAAAAACAAGACCTCACTTCATGTTGTCTGTAAGAAATTTACTTTAAATATAAAGATACAAATATGTTAAAAACTAATGAAAGGAAGAGGATACTCTGAAACAATGAAATAGAGCTTAAGTGGTTATACCAATGTTAGACAAAGTAAACTTAAGAACATGGACCATATTATCAAGAACACAGAGAGGTATCTCATCATAAAAAAGGGGTTAATTCTTCAAGAAAACACAGCAATCCTAAATTTGTATATACTAATAACACTGTTTCAAAACACATAAAACAAAATTTGATAGAACTGAAAGGAGAAACAAATTCACAATGATATTTGGAGATTTCAATAATCCTCGCTTAGTAATTGACAGAGAGATATTTTTAAAAAGTCAGTAAAGACAGAAAACTTGAATGATGTTATTAACCAACTTGACCTACCTGACATTGACAGAACACTCAACCCAATAAAAACATAATACATATTCCATCTGACAAAATAATAATGGTAGTATAAACTTACATATAGGTAATGTCTATTATGCACTAGGTACTTTTACAATGCTATTTTGTATAATCTTCACAAGTCTATCAGGTAGTACACTTATGATATTTACAAATGAGGAAGCTGAGGCTTGAATATGTTAAGTAACTTGAATAATGTTGCAGTCACTTATAAAGACTGGAATTTGAACCCAGGTCTGTGCACTTAAATCCAAACCCTGAGCTGTTGACTATGCTATAACTACACCTCAGTAAGCCAGAGAGGACTGAAGACTCTTTAGAATAACACCAATCCCTCTGACTTTGGAGGTCTGTACACCAGTCAAAGACAGGAAAACCCTACTCATTTCCTTTATTGCTTTGCTTACAACATGCTTCCCTCCCACACATACTTTTCCAAAGGACACTTTTGCTTAAAAAAGAAAAAAAATCTCCTTTTAAAATGTAAATGAAGATTAATTCTATTAGCTAGTTATGACCATACAAGTTACTAAAATCAACACTTTGTTGTTTTTCTCTAAGCTTCCTAAAAATCAACCCCTATTAAGAGGCCACAAGTTTGGATTAGAGAGGGGAAAGTGAGAGACAGTTCAGGTGTTTGGTACACAGGGAGGAGGTTAGTTATGTTTGAACAGCCAATAGGGATTCAGTGTGTAAGGTGAAAGAAGTGAAGAAGAAGGAAATATGGAAAAGAACAACCTCACCCACATTACAGTTCATAGTTTTGGCTAGGGCTCAAATGGCAAGTGCTTGCTCTTCAACTTAAAGTCACCTTGCGTTTTTGTTTGTTTGTTTGTTTGTTTTTTTAATCAGGGTCTCGCTCTGTCACCCAGGCTGGAATACAGTGGCACGATCACAGCTCACTGCAGCCTCAACCTCCCAGGCTCAAATGATCCTCCGACCTCAGCCTCCAGAGTAGATGGGGCTACAGGCACTAGCCCGGCTAATTATTATTATTTTTAAGAGATGGAATCTCACTATGTTACCCAGGCTGGTCTTGAACTCTTGGGATCAAGCGATCCTCCTGCCTCAGTCTCCAAAATGCTGGAATTACAAGCATGAGCCACTGGACCAAGCTGCACCTTATGTTTTTAATACAGAAACAAAGCTTGTATTTCAGGAATAGCAAGTAGACCATGATTATCAAGCCTTCCATTGCCCAATCTCTCTCTTTTTTTTTTTTTTTTTTGAGGAGTCTCACACTCTGCAGCCCAGGCGGGAGTACACCGGCGCATTCTCGGCTCACTGCAACCTCTGCCTTCCAGGTTCAAGTGATACTCCTGCCTCAGCCTCCTAAGTAGTAGGGATTACAGGCATGGGCCACCATGCCTGGCCAATTTTTGTATTTTCAATAGAGACAGGGTTTTGCCATGTTGGCCAGGCTGGTCTCCAACTCCTGGACTCAAGTGATCTGCCTGTCTCGGCCTCCCAAAGTGTTGGGATTACGGGCGTGAGCCTCTGAACCTGGCCTGTCTCCATGCTTCTTCCACAGCCTGCAGAACTGTGAGCCAAATGAACCTCTTTCCTTTATAAGTAACCCAGCCTCAGGTATTCTTCTATAGCAATGCAAAGGGATTAAGCCATTGTTTTATGTACCTTACAGGATAGCTACCAAATTCAGGAAAATTTACATTGATAAAATACTTTTACTCAATTGAAAATCCATATTCCAAGTTTCTCAATTGTTCACAATGAGCAGTTCACAATTTTCCCAACCTTTGTTTCTCTCAGCATGACACTTCTGAAGAACACAGGCCAGGTATCTTGTTGAATGCCATTTAGATTGGGTGTCCTCATGACTGGATTCAGGTTGTTAAAAATTTTCGGCTTAGATATTTCATAAATGATGTTGTGTTCTCAAAGTGTCATGTCTGGAAGCACACATGACATCTATCCTTGCCTCCTACATCCCCATTTTATAGTTACCATTTCTCTATTTATAATTAATAAATAATCTGGCTGGGCATGGTGGTTCACACCTGTAATCCCAGCACTTTGAGGCTACAGTGGTGGGATCACTTGAGGCCAGGAGTTCAAGACCAGCCTGGGCAACACAGCGAGACCCACCTCCCGTCTCCACAAAAAAAGGAAAAAAAGAAAAATAAACACATAAATAATTCATTGGCAGTGAATTTGAGATCATGTTCGTAACTTGTTTCCTGGGAAACTCCCTCCCCTCATCCAAGATTTAGCACCCAGATAAACTTTACCTGAATCAATTTTTGCTACTAACATGACTATAACCTCTCATTTGTGTATTTCTCTATTTTTTTTTATTTTTTTTTTATTTTTGAGATGGAGTCTTGCTCGTTGCCCCGGCTGGAGTGCAATGGCATGATCTCGGCTCAGCACAACCTCCGCCTCC